>NC_000007.14:99779506-100082536 GCF_000001405.40 Homo sapiens | reverse complement strand
TCGGCTCACTGCAACCTCCGCCTCCTGGGTTCAAGCGATTCTCCTGTCTCAGCCTCCAGAGTAGCTGGGATTACAGGCGTCTGCCACCACGCCCGGGTAATTTTTTTGTATTTTTAGTCGAGACGGGGTTTCGCCATGTTGGCCAGGCTGGTCTCGAACTCCTGACCTCAGGTGATCCGCCCGCCTCGGCCTCCTAAAGTGCTGGGATTACAGGCGTGAGCCTCCGCGCCCGGCCGGTAAGCTTCCTCTTCTCTGCTCTCATCACCTGTACACGGGTTTTTTCCTCATGTCAACTCTGTGATGGACTGGAATGTTTTCTTCAGATGTGGGTAATTTAAAGGGGGCATTTTTACAAGAAACAAAAAAAACTCGGTTTGTTCGGAGGCAAGTTTTAAATCAGGGTTCATTTTTTAATATTGATGAATCCTTCAATAATTGTATGTTTACTGCTGCCCTTCGCGAGCCAGCCTGAGAAGCGCGGGCTCGACATCCCCGCGCGCCCCCGCCGCCCGCCCCCAAGGCCGGCGACGCTGGAGCACATGTCCTGAGGCCCAGGACCGTGGTCGGCCGCTTTCGCACATTCGTGGCCAGCAGAGGGCGCAGCCGGCCAGCCCCCGCAGCGAAAGATCCCCGAGTGCCGCGTCAGCGATCGCGCTCCTTGCCCTCGCCGCCTGCCAGCCGCCCTGAGTCAGCAAACCACAGAGAGGCGAGGACCTCCCATTTTCCTAGACAGAACAAGTGGGCGTTGGGGGTACGGGTGAGTGGCAAGAACAACCGACCCGGAAGCGAAACGAGGGGGAACTTCCGTTCTTTGTTCTGTCCCCGGTGTGTGGGTCTGTGACAGGGTCCAACAGGGCCTGGTCCGTGTCCGGTCCCCCAAATCTGTCGTCCCTGCCCCCAGGGTGAGTCCACGCGTCCCCGGGTCTCGCGGTGAGACGGAGGCTGTGGTCGCCGGGGAAGGGGGTGGTGTCTGTGCCACTGCGGCCCGCAGGGTCCCCCGGCCGGCCCGGAGCAGGGTTCGGGGAGGCGCCCCTCCGTCCCCTGCAGCCCGTCCTCTACTCCGCTTCCCCAGGGATCCCCCTAGCCTAGCGGGATCCTGCGTAGGGGTTAGTAATGGGGCTCCGGTTCTGGTTTTGTGACTTTAACGGCGACCCAGCTGGAGCGTTTAAAAGTTTCAGCAGAGCGGTAGGGGCGCCTCTCTCTTGAAAGCAGCTAATGACAGCGACCCTAACTTGGTATTTCTCCCAGACGTTTTTATTTGATGTTAACACAGTTATTCGCGCCCGTGGCAGGAGAGGAAGTTTATTTTTACGCAGCTGGGTCCAAGGATCAGAGAAATTCTGCTAAGCGTACGCAGTTAGCACGAGGGCTGGGAGTGGGTGCAGACGCCGATTCCAGGGGTAATCCTGCTGGAGCCCAGTGCATCGCGTGATACACCTGGCTCAGGCTCCGTTTTCAGTTGTATTAGATTCCTGGTTTGATCCTCTCTCCGGAAGTGGGATTGAATCCACATCGGTGTTTACACTCTGAAGGGCTTTTGTAAACTCCAGGAGAAGATAGCAGAGTGATGAACCTGAAACCGATGGGCTAATTAGAGGAACGAGCGTATTATTTTCTCCAGAAAAGACATCTGTGGAGAGTGGGCATCATTTGATTATACGTGTTTGATGGACAGTCGGGTGGAAGGAGAAGATTCTGTTATTGAAGCTCTTTTTTTAAAAAAATTAATTTTTATTTATTTTTGAGACTGTCTCTGGAGTGCAGTGGCGCGATCTCGGCTCACTGCAACCTCCGCCTCCCGGTTCAAGCGCTTCTCCTGCTTCAGCCTCCCGAGTGGTTGGGACTACAGGCGCCCGCCACCACCTCCGGCGAATTTTTTGTATTTTTAGTAGAGACGGGGTTCCGCCCTTTTGGCCAGGCTGGTCTGCAACTCCTGGCCTCAAGTGATCCACCTGCCTTGGCCTCCCAAAGTGTTGGGATTACAGGCGTTAGCCACCGCGCCCGGCCTTTTTTTTTTTTTTCCTTTTAAAATGTTTGTGTGTGTATTAAGGTCTTGCTCTGTTGCCCCCGGCTGGAGTGCCGTGGTGCCATCATGGCTCACCATAGCCTGGAACTCCTGGGCTCAAGTAATCCTCCCACCTCAGCCTCCTAAAGTGCTGGGGTTACAGGCGTGAGCCACTGCAGGTCGCCAGTCATTGAATTTCTGTGATGCACTAGGTCTCTGTGCGGTGAAGGTCCAAGGAGATAGATTTTCAGCGAATCACCTGAAGACTTCTAATGGCTCAGCTGTGCAATGTGGATCCCCTGCTGAAGTAGTTCGGAGCACAGTGTCTAGCAAGTTAGCTGACAGAACGTTAGAACTTTCTTACCCTGGGTGGAGGTGGACCTGAGAACCTACCATTCCCTTTCATCTCTCCACGGGTGCAACGCAAATACTAGTTGTGGTGGTGGTCTTAATTGGTATTTATTAGCATATAATAAGTATTCTCTTTTTTTTCCTTTTCTTTAAATGTCTTGATTAGAAATGAAGTTTAGGCTGGACTCGGTGGCTCATGCCTGTAATCCCAGCACTTTGGGAGGCTGAGGTGGGAGAATCACTTGAGGCCAGGAGATTGAGACCAGCCTGAGCAACACAGTGAGGCTGCATTTCTACAAAAAGAATTTTAAAAAACTCAGCCAGATGTGGCAGTGCACACCTTTAGTCCCAGCTCCTTGGGAGGCTGAGCTGGGAGGATCACTTGAACTTAGGAGTTTGAGTCTGGAGTGAGCTCAAACTCACTGCACTCCAGCCTGAGCAGCAGAGTCAGACCCTGTCTCATGGAAAAAAAAAGACGTTTGCATGAATATTTTAAATTCCTTTTTTTCCCCTTAATCACACAGCATTGGCATCAACAAAAGTCAGAATTCCCGGGAACTTGAACAGAGGCTGCTAAATTCCCAGTAATTGCTCCTTTGGCCTTCTAGGGACTGACTTCAAAGAAGGAAGGAAAGAATCAGGCAGGTAAAGCTTTCCGTGTCTTGTTCTTACTGCCAGGCCATCTATCTCGGTCCCCACGGGCAGCACCAGGGAGTGAGGCTGGCAACAGAGCAGGGGAAGGGCCCTGTCTGGACCTGAAGCCATGGGGGCACAATGGAGAGTTTTCTTTCTGTGAGAAACGCTGTTTACTGATCTGGACACTGGGTGCTTGTTCTCAACAATATGCCTTTGAGTTCCAGCTTCACTTAACCCAGCTGTGAGAGGGAGCTGTTGCCTTTTTCTCTGGAGTCAGACCTTTGACCTGCCTTTCTAGGAGTTTGTACTGAAAGCTGACTTGTTGAGGGCGTCAGCTCATAAATAGCTCCGGAGATTGTAAAGGTGGTTGATAAGAGGATATGATGGTTGGCTCTGAGACACCATTGAAGGGACCCTGCTAGGAGGGCGATGGTGGCAAGAAGGTGTGTCACCTTGATTGCCAGTGGCCTGGCTTGTGCCTGAGTCAGTGCTTTCCACTGTGTAAGGGCTCTGGTATTGGACATTCTATATCCCCTGCTACCCGAAGACCAGAGTTGCCCAAACTTGCGACTGACTTTCAAACAGGACCCCTCTTCCTTTGTTCTTTTTTTTTCTTTTATTCTCTCAAACATTCTCTTATCCATTCCTCTTCCTTTGATGCCTTATGTGAGTGTAACAGTCTGTAATTATGAAGCACATACTTTTTGCATTCCCGATTTTTTTACTCCTTGCAGTTGTGAGTGGCAATAGAGTTAGCCCTCAGCAAACATTTGCTATGTGAGCAAATGAGTAAAGAGATAATGAGAGGTAGATCAAATCCAGGGTTGGTTGGTTTGTTTTGTTTTGTTTTGTTTTGTTTGAGACAGAGTCTCACTGTTGCCCAGGCTGGAGTACAATGGTGCGATCTTGGGTCACTGCCACCTCTGCCTCCCGGGTTCAAGCGATTCTCCTGCCTCAGCCTCCCAAGTAGCTGGGATTACAGGCGCATGTAACACCATGCCCAGCTAATTTTTGTATTTTTTCTTTTCTTTTTCTTTTTTTTTTTTTTTGAGGCAGAGTCTCTGTCTATTGCCCAGACTGGAGTGCAGTGGCGTGATCTCGGCTCACTGCAACCTCCACCTCCTGGGATCAAGTGATTCTCCTGCTTCAGCTTCCTGAGTAGCTGGGATTACAGGCACACACCACCATGCCCAGCTAATTTTTTGTATTTTTAGTAGAGATGGGGTTTCATCATCCTGGCCAGGCTGGTCTCGAACTCCTGACCTCGTGATTTGCCTGCCTCAGCCTCCCAAAGTGCTGGGATTACAGGCATGAGCCACCGTGCCCAGCCTGGGAGTAGTCTTTTTATGCCAGTGAATGTATATACCCGCTCCTGCATTTTGTTATAAATATTACTCAAAGTGATGGGGGCAGCCAAAGGCGGGATATTGTTGAGGAACTTGGGCCCTTTTTGTGGTCCTTGTGATAGTCTCATTTCAGGGAGTATATTTACCAGGATCTAAAAGACTAGTCTGAGGCTGGGCATGGTGGCTCACACCTGTAATCCTAGCACTTGGGGAGGCTGGGGTGGGCGGATCACCTGAGATCAGGAGTTTGAGACCAGCCTGGCTGACATGGTGAAATCCCACCTCTACTAAAAATACAAAAATTAGCCAGGCATGGTGGTGCGTGCCTGTAATCCCAGCTACTTGGGAGGCTAAGGCAGGAGAATCGCTTGAACCCGGGAGGCAGAGGTGGCAGTGAGATGAGATTGCGCCATTGCACTCCAGCCTGGGTGACAAGAGTGAAATTCCGTCTTAAAAAAAATAAAGAAAATTTAAAAATACCGGGCGCGGTGGCTCACGCCTGTAATCCCAGCTCTCAGGGAGGCAACAGGTGGGAGGATAGCTTGAGCCCAGGAGTTCCAGACCTGCCTGGGCAATATAGCGAGACCCTGTTCTCCACAAAAAGGAAAAAAAAAATTAAAAAATAAAAGAAAATAAAAGACTAGTCCCAGTTGCCACATTTCTTCTCACTGTTCCTGGGTACTCACTGAAATACTAGCTCCCATCTTTCTGTATTCAGGAGGTTTTTTTGAATTATCTTTGAACCTTGAACTTTTGCTTCTGCAGTGCTTCCTCATTCTCTTTTAAAACCCGCTTCCCGCTGAGTCTGCACCCAGGAGACCAGAGAGCACCTTGCCCTTCCATGGAAACTCAGGCTGATCTCGTATCTCAGGAACCTCAGGCCCTGCTTGACAGTGGTGAGGAATAAGGACTCATTCATTCTTTTACTCAGTCATTCTGCAATCATCCATTGAAATCGCTCACTTACCAGGTACTAGGCTAACTACTAGAATCCAGATGTGAATAAGACACACTCTTCGCCATTCAGTAACTCACAGCCTAGTGGGGAAGCTGACCGAACAGTAATCAATGACAGCTTGATAGGTTTGATAATTGAGGCAGATTGTTTTGTTTTGTTTTGTTTTTTTTGAGATGGAGTCTTGCTCTGTTGCTCAGGCTAGAGTGCAGTGGCACAATCTCGGCTCACTGCAACCTCCGCCTCCTGGGTTCAAGTGATTCTCCTGCCTCAGCCTCCCATGTAGCTGGGACTGCAGGCGCCCGTCACCATGCCCGGCTAATTTTTGTAGAGACGGGGTTTTGCCATGTTGGTCAGGCTGGTCTTAAACTCCTGACCTCAGTGCCCACCTTGGCCTCCCAAAGTGTTGAAATTACAGGCATGACCCACCGCGCCTGGCCACTGAGGCAGTTTTGAGGGGTTGTGAGTACCTCACGCGAGATTAATGAAACCGTGTCAATCATTCCATTTCTCGGGCATTCTATGCAGCCGACTTCATAGGCATAGTTTGTGCTTTTTAGGAGCATGCTTTTAGAGGAGGCGCTTCGGAATCATTTTATGGGTCATAGACAAAAAGACAGAGTGAATAGGAAGCCACTAAAGTATACTTTGCGGCCGAGCGCGGTGGCTCACTTCTGTAATCCCAGCACTTAGGGAGGCTGAGGCGGGCAGATCACAAGGTCAGGAAATTGAGACCATCTTGGCCAACACAGTGAAACCGCATCTCTACTAAAAATACAAAAAATTAGCCGGGCATGGTGGCACGCACCTGTAGTCCCAGCTCCTCCAGAGGCTGAGGCAGGAGAATTGCTTGAACCCGGGAGGTGGAGGTTGCAGTGAGCCGAGATCACGCCACTGCACTCCAGCCTGGGTGACAGAGTGAGACGCCACCTCAAAAAGAAAAAAAAAAAAGAATTGCAGAAAAAGGTAAGAGATTCAACACAGAAACAGGGAACATTTTTAGTGTACAGATTTGATCTGGGGTGGAGAGAAAGGAGCTGTGGGCATTGTGTTTCCAGTCAGGGCTGGGGTGAAGCTGCTGGTTTTTCTCTGGTCTAAGAACTTCATGCTGGGTGCAGTGGCACACGACTGTAATCCCAGCTATTTGGGAGGCTGAGGCAGGAGGATCACTTGAGCCCAGGAGTTTGAGACCAGCCTGGGCAACATAGCAAAACCCACCTCAAAAAAAAAAAAAATAGAACTTCATGCAAGAGCGGGATCATATGTTTCTGGCCAAGCTTGGGTGAATGGACAAGAATGCAGTAATCACTAAGATAGGACTGGGCGGTTTCATTGAGAGAAGAGTGACTGGAGAGAAGAGGGGACCTGGGACAGACTGGAGACTAAGAATGACCAGGCCTGTGGCCATCTGCTCAGGCAGGATGGACTCGCTCTGAGTTTGCCTTTGTTGGACACACTGTAGCTAGCTGCAGAGGAAGCAAACTTAGAAATGTGAGAGAGAGGGTCCTGTGTTGTCCCAGGACCCCGGGAGCTTTCTGTGGGTTGGGAAGTCAGCAGGTTGGGAGGTCACAGAGCAGATGGACTCATTCCTGGGCCCTTTTATTGCCCTTCAGCTCTTCCTTCAAAAGTTCCTGCCTTTTCCGACAAGGACAGCCTGGGGGATGAGATGTTGGCGGCTGCGCTCCTAAAGGCCAAGTCCCAGGTGAGCTGTGGTTCCGTTTATCCTTTTCCTTTCCATTTTCTGTGCAATGACATCCCATTCAGAGCTTTAAACCCTGATCTCCTCCATCAGGCCCATGGTTCTGTCCTGCTGAATCATGGACCCTCACCTTCTATCTTGGACTCCTGTCTCTCTTCCTCCACCCTGTCCTCCCTTCCTCCCTTCCCAAATGTGCATTTTTCACCCCATCCTCAGTGATTTTTTTGGTGCCGCCATTCACATTCCTCACCCTGAAATTGCATGCCAGCACGTGTTGTTTCAGGAGCTGGTAACCTTTGAGGATGTAGCTGTGTACTTCATCCGGAAGGAGTGGAAGCGTTTGGAACCTGCTCAGAGGGACCTCTATAGAGATGTGATGCTGGAGAATTACGGGAATGTGTTCTCACTGGGTAAGGAGTTATGCCTTGTCAACAAAACTCGCTGGTGTTTCTTTGCTTCTTCGTTTGCTAGTAACAATCTAGTCACTGAAAAGAGCTGTTTCAGCAGATTTTTTTTTTGAGGTGCAATGGCACAATCTTTGCTCAGTGCAACATCCATCTCCCAGATTCAAGTGTTCCCAGGTTCTCACCTCTGCCTCCCAAGTAGCTGGGACTACAGGCACGCACCACCACACCAGGCTAATTTTTGTATTTGTTTTGTTTTTTTTTGTTTTAGTAGAGACGGGGTTTCACCATGTTGGCCAGGCTGGTCTCAAACTCCTGACCTCAAGTGATCCACCCGTCTTGGCCTCCCAAAGTGCTGGGATTATAGGCATGAGCCACTGCACCTGGCCTAGGTAAGGATTGACTTAGTCTTAGGAAACTGTAAGAACAATAATCTTAACTCATTTATACAGCAGTCTGCAACTTATAAAGAGTTCTCATATATATTCTTTCATTTAATCTTCACAGTAACACATTAATTGAGGCAGCTAGTATTATTCCTCATTTTACAGGTAAGGAAAGTGAAAGTAGTCCAGGCGAGGTGGCTCACACCTGTAATCCCAACACTCTGAGAAGCTGAGGCAGGAGGATCACTTGAGGTCAAGAGTTCAAGACCAGCTTGGGCAACATGGCGAGACCCTGTCTCTACCAAATATCCAAAAAATTAGCCAGGCATGGTGGCACATGCCTGTAGTCCCAGCTACTTGGGAGGCTGAGGTTGGAGGATCACTTGAGCCTGGGAAGCCGAGGTTGCAGTGAGCCGAGATGGCATTACTGCAGTCCAGCCTGGGTGACACAGACCCTGTCTCAAAAAATAAATAAGTAAATAAAGTGGAGGTGAGAGTAGCGGTCTCAATGTCTTGTGCATGCATGGTCATCAGTTGGGCTGATGAGTGGCAAAACTTGGGGCCCAGTCTTTAACTCCAAATCTGGTACCTTTTTTTTTTGAGATGGAGTTTCACTCTTGTTGCCAGGCTGGAGTGCAATAGCGTGGTCTCGGCTCACCGCAACCTCTGCGTCCTGCGTTCAAGCAATTCTCCTGCCACAGCCTCCTGAGTAGCTGTGATGATAGGCATGCGTCACCACACCCAGCTAATTTTGTATTTTTAGTAGAGACGGAGTTTTTCCATGTTGGTCAGGCTGGTCTCGAACTCCTGACCTCAGGTGATCCACCTGCCTCGGCCTCCCAAAGTGCTGAGATTACAGGCATGAGCCACCGCGCCTGGCCAAATCTGATACTTTTTCCGTGTTATTCTCAGGACTTAATATATAATCCAGAGACTTTTCCGAAGGATTATCCCTGAACACATGAGGTGCTGCTCTTTGCCCACGTCTCTGTCCTCTCCTTCTCTGCTTCTCTGCTCCCCTTCTCTAACTTCTAGGGACCTGTTGCTTTGTTCAGGACCTAGTGCCCCTGCTGCTCTGTAGAAACTTAGAAAGGTTAAGAAATTAGGCCAGGCGCGGTGGCTCATGCCTGTAATCCCAGCACTTTGGGAGACTGAGGCGGGCAGATACTGAGGTCAGGAGTTTGAGACCAGCCTGGCCAACATGTTGAAACGCCATCTCTACTAAAAATACAAAAAAAATTAGCTGGGGGTGGTGGCATGTGCCTGTAATCCCAGCTACTTGGGAGGCTGAGGCAGGAGAATTGCTTGAACCTGGGAGGTGGAGGTTGCAGTTAGCCAAGAACACGCCACTGCACTCCATCCTGGGCGATAGAGTGAGACCTTGTCTCAAAAACAAAAACAAAAAAAGAAAGATTAATAAATTAGTTTCTCAACTTTTAGGATGTAGAATTCCTTGTCTCTCACCCCACTCTTAGTGGGCATTTTCCTGAGCAGAGCCAGGACGTCTTCCTAACTCTCATTTGAGACCTTCCTGTACATTTCCCTTCTGTCCCCGGCAGATCTGGGGTCTGGAATTGAGCTCTGGGACTCTCAGGGTGAGCAGATAAACCTCCTTGTCCCATGTCTCTCCCCATGAGCAGAATTCCCATTTCTGAATCCTGCCACCATCTCTCTGCTAGAATGAGAGGAAGAGCCAAGGGGCCTGGGTTTCAAAGGAACTGAGAGCAGAGAGGTCCTAAGAGGTACCTCTTCAGGTGAAGGAGAAACAGCCGTTCCCGTCCCTAACACACATTACCCTGTCTTTACTTTTTAAAATATCAATTAAGCTAAAAACGCAAACTCTCTGGACCCTTTACATTTATCCTCTGTGCCCAGAGTTGGCTTTAGAAACTCAAAAGGAGTGAAAACAGAGACGTCAGACACTGAGATTCTTTGCATAGCCTTACGTGCGAGCATAGCCTTTTATGCATAGGGCCCAGAGGCGGACTCAGTTGTCTTGCCGTTTCCATGGGCTTGGCATTTGTGGCGTGACGACAGCCATGATTGCTCTTCTTATGGGGCCATGGCAGCCACTAGCATCCTCCCCCTTGCTTGTTCCCGCGCTGCTGCTGTCTCTCCTCACCCTTCCCCCCTTTTCTCACCAACTGTCCTGTACTTGCTCTCCCTTCTTGCAGTCACTGTGTCCCCAGTTATATCCACTGCCCTGACCTCTCTAAAGGCTTTGTCACTTCATTAAGCAATATGACCTTCCTCTTCTAAAGTTGGTTCCCTGCCTCTCTGCCTGATCCGTCCTCCCCTCCACACACACTCAGCTTTCTTTCCACTTCCAGCTCTGTTCTCCTTGGTTTTGCTCTGCCCTGCCCCTTCCCTGTCTCCTTAGCCCGGCTGTCTCATTTTGCCTTAGCCGCACACATGTGGGGCAGGCCTCTTTGTAGGCATGTGCTTTTGGCACTGTAAGTATTCGTTACAATGATCCTGTCCTGTGATTTTCACTCTTTCTTCCCTAAGGAACAAGTGACATTTGCATTTTTTATTGTGTCAGATCGTGAGACCAGGACTGAAAATGATCAAGAAATTTCTGAAGACACAAGATCACATGGGGTCCTACTGGGAAGATTTCAAAAGGATATTTCTCAGGGTCTCAAGTTTAAAGAAGCCTATGAACGAGAAGTCAGTCTGAAAAGGCCGCTGGGGAACTCCCCTGGAGAAAGACTGAACAGGAAAATGCCAGATTTTGGTCAAGTGACAGTTGAGGAGAAGCTAACCCCCAGGGGAGAGAGAAGCGAGAAATATAATGATTTTGGGAACAGCTTCACTGTGAATTCCAACCTTATCTCACATCAGAGACTCCCCGTGGGAGACAGACCCCATAAGTGTGATGAATGTAGCAAGAGCTTTAATCGAACTTCAGACCTTATTCAACATCAGAGAATCCACACTGGGGAAAAGCCCTATGAATGTAATGAGTGTGGGAAGGCCTTCAGCCAGAGCTCACACCTTATTCAGCATCAGAGAATCCACACTGGGGAAAAACCTTATGAATGTAGTGATTGTGGGAAAACCTTCAGCTGTAGCTCTGCCCTCATTCTGCATCGGAGGATCCACACGGGGGAGAAACCCTATGAATGTAATGAGTGTGGGAAGACCTTCAGCTGGAGCTCCACCCTCACCCACCATCAGAGAATCCACACTGGTGAGAAACCCTACGCCTGCAATGAATGTGGGAAGGCCTTCAGCAGGAGCTCAACCCTTATTCACCATCAGAGAATCCACACTGGAGAAAAACCCTATGAATGTAATGAATGTGGGAAAGCCTTCAGCCAGAGCTCACACCTCTATCAGCACCAGAGAATCCACACTGGAGAGAAGCCCTACGAATGTATGGAATGTGGAGGAAAGTTTACCTACAGTTCAGGCCTTATTCAGCATCAAAGAATCCACACCGGGGAGAACCCCTATGAATGTAGTGAGTGTGGGAAAGCCTTCAGGTACAGCTCGGCTCTTGTTCGCCATCAGAGAATTCACACTGGAGAGAAGCCTTTGAATGGGATCGGCATGAGCAAAAGCTCCCTCAGAGTTACGACCGAGTTAAATATCAGAGAGTCCACGTGAAAGAGCCACACACCCATTTTCCTCACTTTCCCTGAGTCTCAAGAGCTCTTGCCTTACCCTATAAATCTCAACAGCTTAGGATGTGTCCCTTTCAACTCAGACTTTTCATTTTAGAGAATGGGGCAGATGGGGCAAATCGTTGAATTTTCCCAGAAATCACACCAGCCTTAGAAAGCGTCAAGGCAAGTGGATGGCGTGCTGGGAATAGAAAGCAGCTCTGGGACCAGTTACCCCATTTAGGAAAGGAGTTTGCACTAAACTGTTTTTCTCACAGCAGAGGAACCTTTCCAAGGTGGGGATGGAAGCACAGTCGGGACAGAATTCGATGGATTCCTTTAGTTGGAGTCCGCGTAGTCAGCACAGACAGCAGTGGAAAGGACGCTCTGGGTCCTGTTATTTGCTAGGGAGGGTAAAGGGAGACTATTTCAAAGCTACTGTTCCTAGTCCAGCTTTAAGTTTCGGTAAGAAACATGCTGTTTTGTTTCATGATTTCGTTAATTATGGAAATTTGGCATTGAGGGATTATTTTATTGAGGGTAGAAGAGATTCCAGAATCATCATCTGTGATGATGGTGTCCTTTAGGGCTCTTGGAGCAGCCAGACCATGTTTCCAAGAGAAACCTGGTGATATTGCCAGCAGACCCCCTGCCATCCCCCCCAGTTGTCCTGGGGCTGAATGGGCAAATCTGTCCAAACAGCTAGTAACCGGCTGTGAGGGAGAGGGTCAGAAGCACTTAGCGTTGGCCTCTGATTGCTGTCCTCTCTTGTCCTCTTCCCACTCCAATGATGAAAATGATTTTCTCTAAATGCCTGGGTAAGGATGCTTTCAAGGAGCTCACTTGGCCTGCTTGCCCTGCCCTCTCACCTCTGACACCCAGCCCCAGGAGCCAGACCACTCCTGCCTCCACCTCTGACTCTTCAGCAGCTGAAGATTAATGCAGAGAAAGAGCAAAGCCCAAAAGGGAGAAAAAAAAAACAAAAAAACAAAAAAACGAAGCCCAGAGAAGGCAGGCTGTGCCTGAGCCTGGTAGCAGAGCTCGTTGCTGGGTGAGGATGGCACTCCCCGAGTTTTCCCAACCGACGGGATGACCTTCCATTGTGTTTTCCCAACCCTGCTCATCCTGTAGCATAAATGAAGTGCACTATTAAACAGAATAGTTTTTCAGAAGAGATTGAGTGTGGTTTTGTGCAATGTTTGGACCATATATTTCAGTTAAAACAAGACATGTTGGCTGGGTGCAGTGGCTCATGCCTGTAATCCCAGCACTCTGGGAGGCCAAGGCAGGCAGATCACCTGAGGTCTGGAGTTCTAGACCAGCCTGACCAACATGGAGAAACCCCGTCTCTACTAAAAACACAAAATTAGCCGGGCATGGTGGCACATGCCTATAATCCTAGCTACTCAGGAGGCTGAGCCAGGAGAACTACTTGAACCCGGGAGGCGCAGGTTGTGGTGAGCTGAGATCGCGCCATTGAACTCCAGCCTGGGCAAGAAAAGCGAAACTCCATCTCAAAAAAAAAAGACAAGACATGTTGGTAACTATAAATGGAATTTGAAAGTTGACTTAATTTTTTTTTTTTTTTTTTTTTTGAGACAGAGTCTAGCACTGTTGCTCAGGCAGGAATGCAGTGGCACCATCTTGGCTCACTGCTGCCTCTGCCTCCCGGGTTCAAGCACTTCCCGTGCCTCAGTCTCTAGAGTAGCTGGGACTACAGGTGTGCACCACCACGCCCCAGCTAATTTTTGTATTTTTAGTAGAGATGGGGTTTCACCATGTTGCCCAGGCTGGTCTTAAACTGAGCTCTAGCAATCTGCCGGCCTCAGCCTCAAAGTGCTGGGATTATAGGCGTGAGCCACCATGCCTGGCCCTAAAATTTCTTTATAGGCTAGGTACAGTGGCTCATGCTTATAATCCCAACACTTAGGGAGGCCAAGGCAGTAGAATCTCTTCAGACCAGCCTAGGCAACGTGGCAAGACCCTATCTCTACAACAAAATTAAAAAAAAAAAATTAGGGCTGAGCGCAGTGGCTCACAGTTGTAATCCTAGCACTTTGGGAGGCCGAGGTGGGCGGATCACAAGGTCAGGAGTTCGAGACCAGCCTGACCAACATGGTGAAATGCTCTCTCTCCTAAAAAAAAAAAAATTATATATATATATCAGCCAGGTGTGGTGGCACGTGCCTGTAATCCCAGCTACTCAGGAGACTGAGGGAGGAGAATCGCTTAAATGCAGGTGGCAGTGGTTGCGGTGAACCAAGATTGCTCCATTGTACTCCAGCCTGGGCAACAGAGTGAGACTCCATCTCAAAAAAAAAATTAGCTGGGTGTGGTGGTGCACACTTGTGGTCCCAGCTACTCGGGAGGCTGAGGTGAGAGGACTGCTTGAGCCTAGGAAGTTGAGCCTGCAGTGAGCCCCTGTGATTGCACCACCACACGATAACAGAGCAAGACAGTCTCAAAAATGAAATGAAATTACTTTATAGATTGCCATTTTTTTTTTTTGAGATGGAGTCTTGCTCTTGCCCAGGCTGGAGTGCAGTGGACCAATCTCGGCTCACTGCAACCTCAGCCTCACTAGTATCTGAGATTACAGGCGCCCACCACCACGCCCAGCTAACTTTTGTATTTTTAATAGACAACGGGATTTCACCATGTTGGCCAGGCTGGTCTTGAACTCCTGACCTCATGATCTGCCTGCCTCGGCCTCCGAAAGTGCTGGGATTACAAGCATGTGCCACTACGCCCAGCCTATGCAAATAAATTTTAAATCTGTGTTCTCATGGCTGTAATCCCAGCACTTTGGGAGGCCAAGGCGGGCGGATCACGAGGTGAGAGTTTGAGACTAGCCTGGCCAACACGGTAAAACTCTGTCTCTACTAAAAATAGAAAAATTAGGCTTGGTGGCACATGCCTGTAATCCCAGCTACTCGGGAGGCTGAGGCAGGAGAATCACTTGAACCCAGGAGGCAGAGGTTGCAGTGAGCTGAGATAATGCTGCTGCACTCCAGCCTGGGTGACAGAGCGAGACTGTCTCGAAGAAGAAGAAAAAAACCTGCCCATGTCCTGATGGCTCTCCCAAGCCTCAGTCGTGGGTCTCCAGTGGACTGCAGAGCAGTTACACCTGGACTTTCTACAGTTTCATAGTATGTTTCAAACCAGATCCCACTTTCCCATTTATTGCCCCCTCTTAAAATTTCTGTAAACCTGTCAGGATCAAAATTTTGTAAGTTTTCTTTGATTATACTCCTCATCCTCCTCCATCTAACCAGCATCAAGCCTGGGCAGGTTCAGTAAAGATGGAGTGGAATGATACTGTTTTCAGAGTTGAGATTGTAGAGGAGATGGGATTTGCAAGTGATGGTAGCAGTAGCTGATACATGGCATATACTCTGTGTCAGCGTTGCCTGGCTCTTTTCCGAGTGGTTTTCATGTATTAATCAGCTGGGTGCAGTGGCTCACGCCTGTAATCTCAGCACTCTGGGAGGGTAAGGCAGGAGAATCGCTTGAACTCAGGAGTTCAAGCCCAGCCTGGGCAACATAGTGAGACCCAGTCTCTACAAAAATAAAAATTAGCTGGGCGTGGTGGCACACATCTGTAGTCCCAGCTACTCAGGAAGCTGAGATGGGAGGACTGCTTGAGCCCAGGAGTTGGAAACTAGCCTAGGCAATATAATGAGACCCCTGTCTCTCTGAAAAGAAAAAAATCCAATACTTGGCGAGGAATGATGGCCTACAGTAAATGAGGTAGAGCTGCTAAAATGATGAGCAGAGAAAGGGTGTCAGCAGACTCAGCGTGTGTTAAAATGAATTTCTTACACGAGATCTGAGAACCAAACACCTATGTTATCTCGGAAGGCCCAAATAGCTTCCCGTTCACTCAGACAATAAAGGATGAAGTGAGGGGAGCACCGGGATTGTTCAGTGACAGCTGCCTCAGCAGGGTTAATAGTAGGAGATTCTGCCACAGAACAGAGTTCCCTGTTATTAATGGGATGACTGGTCAACAGAGGCCAGGCGGCAGCACTGAGCTATCACAGGCAAAGTGGACACAATTACCATGATGGGCAACCAGGCCAGAGTGGCAACTAGGGTGATTTTTTTTTGAGATGGAATCTTGACACTCTGTCACCCAGGCTAGAGTGCAATGGCATAATCTCGGCTCACTGCAACCTCTGCCTCCTAGGTTGAAGCAATTCTCCTGCCTTAGCCTCCTGAGTAGCTGGGACTACAGGCGCACGCCACCACACCTGGCTAATTTTTGCATTTTTAGTAGAGACAGGGTCTCACCATGTTGGCCAGGCTGGTCTCAAACTCCTGATTTCAGGTGATCCACCTGCCTCAACCTCCCAAAGTGTTGGGATTACAGGCGTGAGCCACCACACCCGGCCTATTTATTTATTGTTTGAGATGGAGTCTCACTGTGTTGCCCAGGCTGGAGTGCAGTGGCGTGATCTCGGCTCACTGCAACCTCCACCTCCCAGGTTCATGCCATTCTCCTGCCTCAGCCTCCGGAGTAGCTGGGACTACAGGTGCCCGCCACCACGCCCAGCTAATTTTTTTTTTTTTGTATTTTTAGTAAAGATGGGGTTTCACCTTGTTAGCCAGGATGGTCTCAATCTCCTGACCTCGTGATCCGCCCACCTCGGCCTCCCAAGTGCTGGGATTAGAGGCGTGAGCCACCACGCTCGGCCTTATTTTTGTTTAAATTAAATATGAATTTAAAAAACAAGAGAGATGGGATCTCACTATGTTGCCCAGGCTGGTCTCGAACTCCTGGGCTCAAACGATCCTTCTGCATCAGCCTCCCAAAGTGCTGGGATTATAGGCATGAGCCACTGTGCACAGCCCACTAGGGTGTCTTGACCCACAGAGAACTGTGGCATTGACTAATAACCCTTGGTGTTCTTAACAAAAACTTTCAGCCAACAGGATAAGGCTTTGATTTGTATAAACAAAAAATCCCAAGAGTTGATGAGAAGGCTGATACCGGCTGTTACAATGGGAAATTGCAATCCTGCTGCTGCTTTCCAGATCTGAGCCAGTTCTGAGATCTGGAATCCATCAAGTTAAGGGGAGTCTGGGTTTCTTTGAAGACCTTCCAACTGTACCACGAGTATTATGCAATAAATATTTCCCCAAAGGACCTGTGGCTGTTCACTAGAGTAACGTACTAAGAAAACAGAATGCCCAGGCCTTTTGAGGCTTTTTGATACAGGATCTAGTATGACACGGATCTAAAACTTACCATTGCCCTCCAGACACAGGTCAGCTGATAAATGGAGTCCTGGCCCAAATCCATCTCAGTGGGCCCAGTGGGAACAGACTCACCCTATGGCCATGTCCCTGAGAAGATAATTGGGATATGTTTAGCAGGGGGACAGATGCCCAGCACATTGTTTACTTAACCTGTAGCTTAGGTCATAGGCAGAAGGGTCAAGTGGAAACTCCTGCACACCCTGCCCTTCCCCAGCCAATCAAAGTGGCAAGAAACAATACCACACCCTGAATGGAACTGAAGTGATTATTGCTGCCCTCAAAGACGCAAAAGACACTCTTTCTGTATGGCTTCTGTAAAAAACCGACGAGTTGTGGCTGATAATGGTTGTTTGCCACAAACTCATCCACAACAGCTGTGCCGGCACAGTTCAACATGGCCCCTGGCTCTTGGTATGCAGTTATTATCTAGTGAAAGCATTCGCTTTATTTTTTTTTTTTTTGAGACAGAGTCTCGTTCTGTCACCCAGGCTGGAGTGCAGTGGCGCAATGTTGGCTCACTGCAACCTCTGCCTCCCGGGTTCAAGCGATTCTCCCACCTCAGCCTCCCGAGTGGCTTGGACTACAGGCACCCGCCACTATGCTCAGCTAATTGTATCTTTAGTAGAGACAGTGTTTCGCCATTTTGGCCAGACTGGTCTCGAACTCCTGACCTGAGGTGATCGACCGCCTCAGGCTTCCAAGGTGCTGGGATTACAGGCGTAAGCCACCGTGCCTGACCCCCAAATCCAAATTTTCTAAAAGCTAAACCAGTAGGAATAGTTTTCTCCATCTGTAAGTATTCAATAACCAACACATCATTTGTTATAATAATAGTCCTGAGGCATTACAAGATGTTATAAGTTTATTCTGAATCTCATTCAATTGTGTTCAATGTGGCTCAATTCTTTACAAATTAAAATTCTTGAATATATGTTAAAAATTAAACAATCTTAATGTTTCTTCCTTAACTAGACTGGATACACGTCTGTTTAACTACGCAAAAGGTAATGCTGGCATGGCTTACTGGGACCCTAAGTGTGGCGAAGGGACTCTGCTCCAGTGAACTGGCGAGTGTGGAACCTCCTGACACCTTCTGAGGACCTCCTGCCTGCCATGTTGCTGTGGAGCTCGCACTCCTCAGGCATCCCCTGATGTTGAGTGATACAAACTCTATCACCGGAATCGATGCTGCTGCAATGACAAGACTTCTTTCTGGTTTTCAGATTCTAAAGTTTAAAACAACGACAACAACAGGAGCGCTTGAAAGTTACGGTGCTTCTCCCTCTCCAGTGTGGACTCGCTGATGTTTGGAAAGATTGGACTTGCTACAGAAGGTCTTTCCACAGTGATGACACCAGTAGGGCTTTTCCCCGGTGTGGATTCTGTGGTGTTTATTGAAGTTGGAGCTGTGGTTGAAGGCTTTCCCACACTCCTTACACTTATATGGCTTCTCTCCGGTGTGGAGTCTCTGGTGGGAGCTGAGGCCCGCATGCTGACTGAAGCTCTTCCCACATTCGTTACACTGATAAGGCTTCTCCCCAGTGTGGATCCGATAGTGACGAATGAGGCTGCCTTTCCCGCTGAAAGCCTTGCCACAATCTTTGCACTGATATGGCGCCTCTTCTGTGTGCATTCTCTGATGTTTAAGAAGGTCTGAGCTCTGCCCAAAAGCTTTTCCACACTTACAGTCATAGGGCCGGTCCACCAAGTGTGTTCTGTAGTGGAGGGTGAGGTTTGAGCTGTGGCTGAAAGCTTTCCCACACTTGGTGCACACGTAAGGTTTCTCCCCAGTGTGTGTTCTCCTGTGTTTGGTGAGATTTGAGCTATTACTAAAGGCTTTGCCACATTCAGCACATATATAACGTCTCTCTCCTGGGGTAGGTTTAGTAGGAACTGATTCTCTACCTTTCTTGGAGCCTGCCTCTTGAAGAGGGGGTTTTGTTCCTTTTTCATTTTCAAGGTTTACGCACTGCCTCTCTAAGCTGGCCTCAGGTTTATTGGCGATAATCACAGAAATTATATCCCCTTTGAGCCCCTCTGCTTCAGAACCTTTCTGCTCATCTGCTGATTCCTCGTGCTGGGTACTCAATCTGCAATCTGAAACAATAAGCAGATTAAGGATACTTCAGTTGTTTCTTGTTCTGAGGAAGAAACTGTTACCAGAGAGATAGAACCATCAGGTGAGACTGATGGTTTCTGAAGGGTGACTAAACAGAGCTCATGATAGCGCATAGATACAAGTAAATCAGCATCCAATCTAGTTTACAATACTGCACTTCTTTTTTTTTTTGAGATGGAGTCTCGCTGTCAGCAGGCTGGAATGCAGGTGACCTCAGCTCACTGCAACCTCCAACTCCCTGATTCAAGCGATTCTCCTGCCTCAGCCTCCAGAGTAGCTGGAATTACAGGCACGTGCCACCACACCCAGCTATTTTTTGTATTTTTTTTTAGTAGAGATGGGGTTTCAACATGCTGGCCAGGATGGTCTTGATCTCCTGACCTCAGGTGATCCGCCTGCCTCAGCCTCCCAGAGTGCTGGGATTATAGGCATGAGCCACCAGGCCTGGCCTCCATACCACACTTTCACACAATTCCCCACCCGAAGCTATTAAGATGTGAAGAGAACGTGGCTTTTTCTGCCAGAAAAACAGCTTCACATACAGAAGGCAAAATGCAGCATATGAGAGTGGTAGCCGGGCACAGCGGCTCACGCCTGTAATCCCAGCACTTTGGGAGCTGAGGCGGGAGGATGGCTTGAGTCTGGGAGTTCAAGACCAGCTTGGGCAACATAGGGAGACCCCATTTCTACAAAAAGTTAAAATAAAAAAATTAGGTGGGCATGGTGTGCCCCTGTGGTCCCAGCTACTTGGGAGACTGAATAAGAGGATCACTTAAGCCTGGAAGGTCAAGGCTGCAATGGGTCAAGACTGCAGTGAGCCATGATTGTGCTGGCCTGGGCAACAGAGTGAGACCCTATCTTTAAAAAAATATTTATTTTATTTATTTATTTTGAGACGGAGTCTCATTCTGTTGCCCAGGCTGGAGTGCAGTGGTATCATCTTGGCTCACCGCAGTCTCCGCTCCTGGGTTCAAGTGATTCTCCTGACTCAGCCTCCCGAAGAGCTGGGACTAGAAGCACCTGGCACCACGCCCAGCTAATTTTTGTATTTTTAATAGAGATGGGGTTTCACCATGTTGGCTAGGCTGGTCTCAAACTCCTGACATCAGGTGATCCACGTGCTGGGATTACAGGCGTGAGCCACCGTGCCCAGATGTTTTTTTTTTTTTTGAGATGGAGTTTTGCTCCTGTTGTCCAGGCTGGAGTGCAATGGTTCAATCTCAGCTCACCGCAACCTCTGCCTCCCAGGTTCAAGCGATTCTCCTGCCTCAGCCTCCCGAGTAGCTGAGATTACAGGCATGTGCCACCATGCCCGGCTTATTTTGTATTTTTAGTAGAGACAGGGTTTCTCCATGTTCTAGACCATAGGCTGGTCTAGAACTCCTGACCTCAGGTGATCTGCCCGCCTCAGCCTCCCGAAGTGCTGGGATTACAGGCATGAACCACCACACCCGGCCCTTTAAAAAAAAAAAAAAAAAAAAAAAGAACAGTTGAGCCTCACGCAGATTAAAAACAAGGGAGAATGACTGCTGCAGGGCCAGGGTTAAGGAAAATGACAAGGACAATTAAGGATGAGGCTGAGTGGCAAACTCACAAAAACCCATGTTCCCACAGCAGTTGAACATAAAAGCAATCAGAGGGCATTCTGACCATTTACAATCATTCCCGCCCCAGATCCGTATCAATCAGAATGAAAGCACGTGATCTCCAAGAGGGCTTCACGCTCATCATTTACTTACACTGGCTACATCTTGTAATTCAGTTATAAAGTGACGCTCACTATTAAAATCAGATGGAACCAGTTTATCTTTTTAGAACGCCTCACCAGGCAGTCACACCTCTTCAAAGTCCACCTGGCCATCCACATCAGGGAAAAGGGGAGTAAGAGAAATTCGCTCTGAAAAATGGGACCCCTTGGAGAACTGTTAGTCCTCTGAGGGTACAGAAGCCTGTCAGCAAGCTACCTTCTTCACCCGTTTCCCCTTCCCTAGGAACCGCCCTGACAGCTTCTCTCTCTCTGCCCAGCTGTCTATCTCCTTCCTTTGCTGACAGTGACTATCAGCTGCTTCCAGGCTCACCCTCTCCTCACCATCTGCTGGGGGTCAGAGCTTCAGCAGCTGAAGTCCTTCACACTCTCCATAATTAGCAATCGCTTGCCTACACACAGACTTCTCTTCGAGTCACTGGACAGCCATGGACTACATGTGTGGGACAGAAGTAACCTCATAAACTTTGTTTTGTTTTGAGATAGAGTCTGGCTCTGTTGCCCAGGTGGGAGTACAGTGGCATAATCTTAGCTCACTGCAACCTCCACCTCCCAGGCTCAAATGATCCTCCTGCCTCAGCCTCCCGAATAGCTGGGACCCCAGGCACTAGCCACCACACCTGGCTAATTTTCGTATTTTTTGTACAAATGGGGTTTTACCATGTTGCTCAGGCTAGCCTCAAACTCCTGGCCTCAAATGATCCACCTGCCTTGGCCTCCCAAAGTGCTGGGATTACAGGTGTGAGCCACCATGCCCAGCCAAAAGTTAACATTTTAAAAAATAGCTGAATGAGGCAAAAATTGAAAAAGAATTTACCAGGACTATTTATTTCATTGTCTTCCAGGCTGCACTGTTACTGTTGGGTAGTTTGTCATCAGTCTAATCAGCATTCCTTTGAGGGGGGTAATCCGTCTTTTATGTCTTGGTTACTTTTGAGACCCGGTCTCACTCTGTCGCCCAGGCTGGAGTGCAGTGGTGCAATCTCAGGTCACTGCTGCACCACAACCTCCACCTCCTGGGTTCAGGTGATTCTCCTGCCTCAGCCTCCCAAGTAGCTGGGAGCTGGGACTACAGGCGTGTACCAATACACTCGACTAATTTTTGTATTTTTAGTAGAAATGTTTTTTTTTTTTTTTTTTTTGACGGAGTCCTACTCTGTTGCGCCAGGCTGGAGTGCAGTGGCGCGATCTTGACTTACTGCAACCTCTGCCTCCCAAGTTCAAGCGATTCCCCTGCCTCAGCCTCCCGAGTAGCTGGGACTACAGGTCCCAGGGACAACACGTGCCACCATGCCCGGTTGAGATGGAGTTTCACTATGTTGGCCAGGCTGGTCTCAAACTCCTGACCTCAGGTGATCCGCCTGCCTCAGCCTCCCGAAGTGTTGGGATTACAGGCGTGAGCCACCATGCCCAGCCAGTCTGGTTTTTTTTTTATTTTTTGAGATGGAATCTCACTCTGTTGCCAGGCTGGAGTGCAATGGCGCGATCTTGGCTCACTGCAATCTCCGCCTCCTGGCTTCAAGCGATTCTCCTGCCTCAGCCTCCTGAGTAGCTGGGACTACAGGTGCATGCCACCACGCCCAACTAATTTTTGTATTTTTAGTAGAGATGGGGTTTCACCATGTTGACCAGGATGGTCTCCATCTCCTGACCTCATGATCCGCCCTCCTCGGCCTCCCAAAGTGCTGGGATGACCGGTGTGAGCCATCATGTCTGCCCTCTCCAACTCTTTCCGCCTCCTCTGGAACAGCTATTAAACATACACTGGACCTTCTCATCTGATCCCACACTGATGTCCAATGCCTGCCACCTTGATCTTTCTAAGTAGCATTTCAGATGACTTCCTTCCATCTACCTCTGTTTGCTAATCATGTCCTTCATTATTTAAAACAGCCATTGCATTCTTCATTTCAATGACTACAGTTTTCACTTTTAGAAATTCTATTTTGTTTCTGTCAAAGGTGCCTGTTTGTGTTTTTATTAACAGTTTCTTGGCTGGGCGTGGTGGCTCACGCCTGTAATCCCAGCACTTTGGGAGGCCGAGGAGGGCGGATCATGAGGTCAGGAGTTCGAGACCAGTCTGGCCAACATGGTGAAACCCTGTCTCTACCAAAAATACAAAAATTAGCCGAGCATGGTAGCAGAAGCCTATAATCCCAGCTACTCGGGAGGCTGAGGCAGGAGAATCACTTGAAACTGGAATGCGGAGGTTGCGGTGAGCCGATATAGCGCCACTGCACTCCAGCCTGGGCAACAAGACCGAAACTCTGTTTTTTTAAAAAGAGCTGGGCGTGGTGGTGTGCACCTGTAGTTCCAGCTACTCGGGAGGCTGAGGCAGGAGAATCTCTTGAACCTGGGAGGCAGAGGTTGCACTGAGCCGAGATTGCATAAATGCACTCCAGCCTAGCAACAGAGGGAGACTCCGTCTCAAAAAAAAAAAAAAAAAAAAGACTTTATGCAAAGCTTTCACAGCCAACTTCCCTTTCCTTAGGAGGGCCCAGCAGCTTTGTCTTCTGTCCCATCTGGGTACTAAAACCCAAGCCTGTTCCTGGCTCTGATAATCCTTCCACTCCACCCTCCTCTTTGTGTAATACTGCCAAGGGGCTACACCAAGAGATATGGAAAATAAAACTGACCAGATAGGTCTCCGGCTATTTTTATCTCTAATTACTGTGGCAACTCTGGGGAAACCCCAATTGCCTGGAGAGGTCTACTGTGTTCACCATAAACCATGAAGAATTTAGCTAACAGTTTAATTTTTTACTTTTCCTAGAAAATGTGATTTTTAACCGGCTCGAAACTCTGTTTCCATGATGGAGTTTCACGTTTCAGACACAGCAAGCATGGAGGGAGATTTCTGAGGGCCATGGACTCTTGTCATGAAATCACACCACACACATAAATAGTGGTCTACACCACCAACACGTAAGCAAAGTCCTGGTTTGAAACTATTAGGATTTGGAATAATATGCCATATTTTTGCAAACATATAATTAAACATTAACTCTGTTTCAAAGATTTAGTTCTAATCCTTCTGGTAAATGAAGGTACTTAAGAGTAGAACCCATAAAATAACAAAATAACATAGGGCCAGCTTGGGCAACATAGTGAGACCCTGTCTGTACAAAAAAATAAAGTTAGCCAGACATGGTGGTCCCAGCTACTTGGGAGGCTGAGGTGGGAGGATCATTTGAGCCCCAGAGATTGAGGCTGCAGTGAGCTATGATCACGCCACTGCCCTCCAGCCTGGATGACGGATGGAATCCCTGTCTCAGAAAAACACACAAAAACACCCCCACAGGGGATGACCATTTATGGCCTGAGATTATTCTATAAACCATAATATATGGAGATTTGAGCTCAGGAGTAGTCACCTAATACAGCTTTGACTTGTGAAAAATGCCCCACCTCTTTCCATAGCTTCAGAAAGGAGGTTGCCAATTATTTCCCATTTGCCCTTCTCAGATCCATTCTCTGACCCGCCCTGTGCCCCAGGAAGCTGACCCTAAGGGCTGCACTGTCTTGTCTTTCCTGCCCTCTGGCTGCCAACTGAGTTTGTCATTGGGGAACAAAAGCAGGAGATTTAAGGGCAGGAGGAGGGTGCAGTTGGGGTATTTATTCCGTTTTCTCCTCATCCCACAGCAGGGCCTACAGCCACAACTTCTATCAAGTGACCCCCTCCTCCATGACTATAGCTCTTACCTGATTCTGGTAAGAGGGTCCCCCTCTGTCCCTTTAGGCTCACAGGGAGTAACAGCTTTTCACTGTTGTCTGGTGCAACACTATTCCTTATTGGTTCATTTGAAGTCTCTACACCTCTGTTAACAGTTTCTTTTTTAAACTCATTTCAATTGACCCTTTAAAAAAAATTATTTGTAATACTCAGACTTCAAAGAGAAACTGATCCTTTAAGAGTGATCCATTCCCATGCTAGGGCCCAGGTTAAGACAGCCTTACTTGGGGGAGGAAAGGGGACTATTTCCACCCAGTCAGCCCAACTAATCAAGTCAATCTATGAAATCACCTCACAACCAAGAATTACTAATTATTCTGCTTCTCCAACCACAGGGGCCTGGGGCACTGAATAGGAGTCTAATGGGTGGTCCTCACCTCGGACCTTTCTTGGATCTTGAGCGAACTCCTGCTCCTCACCAGACTCTTGGATGTACAGGGGCCCCCAAGACTCGTATTTGTGACTGGTCTCCAAGGGCTGTGGCTGCATGCTGCTCGGGGATTCCTTTGCAGTTCCTGAGGAGGATATCTTCTCCCACACCGGTTTCTGTTCGTTTGGAGGAGTTGAGACCTAGAGACAATCAGGAATGGCTAGGTTTGTGCATGGCTCACTTTAAGACCAAGAATGAAAATCCCAGTAGAGCTACATAGAACCTCTAGGAAAGAGAAAAGGAAAACACCCATCCCATTCCATTCCCAAGGCTAAAAGTTAGTTTAGGATGATAGAGAAAAATAGGAGGAAACAAGGTCTAATTCAGCAGAAATTTCCATTCAGCAAATCTTAATGTATGGACAAACCCTTGTTCCTGCCTAGAATGTTACGCTCCCAATCTCCTAGAATAACAAAGGTCTCTCCTGCCTACCTGGTGTCCTGGCTCATCCAGTTCCCGCTCCAGATCTTCGAGGAGAGTGACAGCCTCTTCAGCGCTCTCCGGGCAATGCTCCTGCACCCAGGCCTGGAGCTCCTGGGGCAGGATGGTCAGGAACTGCTCCAGCACCAGTAGCTCCAGGATCTGCTCCTTGGTGTGGATCTCGGGCCTCAGCCACTCACAGCAGAGCACCCGGAGTTGGCTCAGGGCCTCTCGGGGTCCAGGGGTATCATGGTACCCAAACTGCCTGAAGCGCTGGCGGAACATCTCCAGGCTAGGAAGGTACTTGCCTTTCTCTTCTTTCTCCTCGACTTTTACCATCAGAGGCCCCACCTGCTCCTGTGGAGGCCTAGGGCCCAGAACTGGGGCCATGCCTAGTACCTTGGTCATCATGTAAACTCCAGAAACAGCCTCACCAAAGATGGGACTCTGTGGGGCAGGAATATTCGTTCCTTTGGGTTTCCAGTTCTTTAGGGCCACAAGTTAAACCTAAGAAAATATAGTTACCAAAAAATAATCAAACTGAAAAGTGTTTTTGGGTCTTTACAGCCATACCTTTAACACAAGAAATTGTGGAAATTATGTCCACCATAAAACTACCATACAAAAACAACTGCTCAAAATCTTTCTGGAATGAGCTGGGTACAGTGGCTCATGCCTATAATTCCAGCACTTTGGGAGGCTGAGACGGGTGGATCACATGAGGTCAGGAGTTTGAGACCAGCCTGGCCAACATGGTGAAACCCTGTCTCTACTAAAAATACAAAATTAGCCAGGCGTGGTGATGGATGCCTGTAATCCCAGCTACCTGGGAGGCTGAGGCAGGAGAATTGCTTGAACCCAGGAGGCAGAGGATACAATGAGCCAAGCCTGCGCCACTGCATTCCAGCCTGCGCAACAGAGCGAGATTCCATCTCTAAAAAAAAAAAAATCTTTCTGCAATCAGCTCAGGATATCCTACTTTGATTTCAGTGGTCTCCACTTTCCTAAAAAGTGCAATGTGGCATAATTTTAAAGTTAACTTTGCTCCAAAACTAGTTCAGAATCTCACCACTATAGATATTATAGTTTCTGAGATTTTATCAAGCTATCTACTGGCTAGATGCCATCTGTTTAAACCTAAGACATTTAGCTTGAGCAATGAAAATTCACTAGTCAAGGCCAGGCATGGTGGCTCACGCCTGTAATCCCAGCACTTTGGGAGGTGCTGAGGTGGGCGGATCACGAGGTCAGGAGATCGAGACCATCCTGGCTAACACGGTGAAACCTCATCTCTACTAAAAATACAAAAAATTAGCCAGGCGTGGTGGCGGGTGCCTGTAGTCCCAGCTACTTGGGAGGCTGAGCAGGAGAATGGTGTGAA
Source organism: Homo sapiens (assembly GCF_000001405.40). Lineage (NCBI taxonomy): Eukaryota > Metazoa > Chordata > Mammalia > Primates > Hominidae > Homo > Homo sapiens. The sequence continues at coordinate 100,056,036 of NC_000007.14, read as the reverse complement.
CCCGGGAGACGGAGCTTGCAGTGAGCTGAGATTGTGCCACTGCACTCCAGCCTGGGCGACAGAGCGAGACTCCGTCTAAAAAAAAAAAAGAGGAGGGCCGGGCGCGGTGGCTCACGCCTGTAATCCCAGCACTTTGGGAGGCCAAGGCGGGCGGATCACGAGGTCAGGAGATCGAGACCATCCTGGCTAACATGGTGAAACCCTGTTTCTACTAAAAATACAAAAAAAAGTTAGCCGGGCGTGGTTGCAGGCGCCTGTAGTCCAGCTATTCGGGAGGCTGAGGCAGGAGAATGGCCTGAACCAGGGACGTGGAGCTTGCAGTGAACAGAGATCGCGCCACTGCACTCCAGCCTGGGTGACAGAGCGAGACTCTGTCTCAAAAAAAAAAAAAAAAGGAAAATTCACTAGTCAAATGACTGGGCCTGTCAGTATGACCTGAGTCATGCTCGAAGGGTGTAATTAACTAGTACATTAAAAATAACTGAGGTCGGGCGCAGTGGCTCATGCCTGTAATCCCAGCACTCTGGGAGTCCGAGGCAGGCCTGGACTTGAGACCAGCCTGGCCAACATGGTGAAATCCTGTCTCTACTAAAAATACAAAAATTAGCTGGGCATGGTGGTGTGCACCTGTAATCTCAGCTATTTGGGAGGCTGAGGCACACAAGAATCCCCTGAACATGGGAGGCAGAGGTTGCAATGAGCCGAGATCGCGCCACTGCACTCCAGCCTGGGTGACAGAGCAAAACTCTGTCTCAAAAAATAAAAACAAAACAAACTGAAGTGCCAGGTGCAGTGGCTCACATCTGTAATCCCAGCACTTTGAGAGGCCAAGGCGGGCGGATCACTTGAGGTCAGGAGTTCGAGACCAGCCTGGCCAACATGGTGAAACCCTGTCTCTACTAAAAATACAAAAATTAGGCGGGTGTGGTGTTGCACACCTGTAATCCCAGCTAGTCAGGAGGCTGAGGCAGGAGAATCGCTTTAACCTGGGAGGGGAAGGATGCAGTGAGCCAAGATTGCACCACTGCACTCCAGCCTGGGTGACAGATCAAGACTCAGTCTCAAAAAAAAAAAAAAAAGAGAGATCATAAGTAGTTTTCTGACAAACAAAATGGACTTTAGTGCTAACATTCTGTAAACACGGTTCATAGTTATGAAATTAAGGCTTTGATTAGTCTTTTTTTTTTTTTTTTTTTTTGAGACAGCGTCTCACTCTGCTGCCCCGGCTAGAGTACAGTGGCGTGATCTCGGCTCACTGCAACCTCCGCCTCCCGGGTTCAAGCGATTCTCCTGCCTCAGCCTCCTGAGTAGCTGGGACTACAGGCACGCACCACCACGCTCCACCAAAAGAAATGTTGGTGGAGTGTTTAGCAGTGGAATTAAGACATCAGGAAGCAAACCAAAGCATGAAAAGGGAAACTGTAAGGCACGGAAAAAAATGCATACAGAATTATTTCCCAAAATTTGTTCAAAAGCACTATAACTAAGGCGGGGTGCGGTGACTCACGCCTGTAATCCCAGCACTTTGGGAGACCGAGGCAGGTGGATCACCTGAGGTCAGGAGTTCGAGACCAACCTGACCAACATGGCAAAACCCCGTCTCTACTAAAAATACAAAAATTAGCCGGGCGTGGTGACAGGCACCTGTGATCCCAACTACATGGGAGGCTGAGACATGAGAATAGCTTGAACGTGGGAGGCAGAGGTTGCAGTGAGCCGAGATTGTGCCACTGCACTCCAGCCTGGGCAACAGAGTGAGACTCCGTTGCAAAAAAAAAACAAAAAACAAAAAACAAAACACACTATAACCAATAATTTGAATAAAGGATTCTTTGGCCAAATAAGTCTGTATGTACTCAGTACATACCACAGGAGTGCCCAAGTTGAGGACTACTTAAAAATTGAGTCAGGGGAGATGCAACGTCATCTCACCTACTAAAACAAAGGCCTGAGCACCAAAGACTAAAATAAACAAGAAATAATGAGGTAGCTGTGCTGGAGAGCATTCTTTAGAATATTTAAAACGACTGGCCGGGCGTGGTGGCTAACGGCCGTAATCCCAGCACTTCTGGAGGCCAAGGCAGGCGGATCACTTGAGGCCAGGAGTTGAGACCAGCCTGGCCAACATGGTGAACTGGGGCCATACCTAGTATCTTGGTCATCATATAAACTCCAGAAATAGCCTCACTAAAGATGGGACTCTGTGGGGCAGGAATACTGGTTCCTTTCGGTTTCTGGTTCTTTAGGGCCACATGTTAAACCTAAAAAAATATAGTTGCCATAAAATTACAAGTTACAGTCTCCACTAAAAATACAAAAATTAGCTGGGAGTGGTGGCAGGCACCTGTAATCCCAGCTACTTGGGAGGCTGAGGCAGGGAATCACTTGAACCTGGGAGGTGGAGGTTGTAGTGAGCCAAGATCCTGTCACTACACTCCAGCCTGGGTAACAGAGTAAGACTCTGTTGCAAAAAAAAAAAAAAAAAAAAAATTATGTATGTATGTATGTATGTATGTAAGAGCCCTCCTCAGTGGCAGATTAACTTTACGTAACTGTTACAAAATTTAATACTCTATCCAGAGGAGGGCACCCTAAGACCAGGAAAGAAACCATTGTTTGGGCTGCTCAGCTTCTGTGATCTGGCCTGGGAAACAAGGCAATTCACCAGGGAGTCATGCAGCACCTGCTGGCATCACACAGGGAGCGTCATGTAGTAACATAACATTCATGTGCGATACACTCTGAGAACTTGGTGAATCCAAATTCACAGATGCCACTGGATCACATGATTGCCTCTGCAAATTACAGAAAAAAAAGTTTCCTTGGATGTTGCTGCTGGGCAGTTGGCTGGGTAAGCTCATTAGCTAAGTGATTTATTCTAGGCACATCAGTTCTTTTTTTTTTTTTTTTTGAGATGGAGTCTCACTCCGTTGCCCAGGCTGGAGTGCAGTGCCATGATCTTGGCTCACTGCAACCTTCGCCTCCCGAGTTCAAGTTATTCTCATGCCTCAGCCTCCTGAGTAGGTGGGATTACAGGTGCGTGCCATGCCCGGCTAATTTTTATATTTTTAGTAGAGATGGGGTTTCACCATGTTGGCCAGGCTGGTCTTGAACTCCTGACCTCAAGTGATCTGCCCACCTCGGCCTCGCAGAGTGCTGGGATTACAGGCGTGAGCCACCACGCCCGGTGGTACATCAGTTTTGCGGTGCACACAACTCAAATGTACAATGCATAAAGACTACAAACGAGTAGAGGGCCGGGTGCCCTTCCTCCTTCCTGCACTCACTCTCCTTGGTGATTTCACAAGTTGCATGGTTTTAATTACCATCTATATACTCACAACTGCCCAAACTGTATCTCCAACTTAGACCTCCCTGCTGACCTCCAGACTCATACGACCAACTACCCACTTGCCATTACCACCTGGATGTCCAGTAAGACATCTCAACCTTAACATGTCCAAAATGGAATTCCCATCTCTCCCTCAAAAGCTGCTCATCTCAGCTAATGGCAACTCTCATTGTTCTTTTTACTTGGACCGAAAAACCTGGGGTCATCCCGAATCCTCTTTCACTTTTTTTTTTTAATTTAATTTTTTTATTTTTTAGAGACAGTGTCTTAGCCTGTTGCCTAGACTGGAGTGCAGTGGCACAATCACAGCTCACGGAAGTCTTGAACTCCTAGTCTCAAGCCATCTTCTTGCCTTGGTCTCTCAAAGTTCTGGGGTTACAGGCGTGAACCACTTCACTGGGTCTTTATTTTATTGTTTTTCAATTACAGAGGCAGGGTCTCGCTTTGTTGCCCAGGCTGGCGTGTAGTGGTGCCATGACAGCTCACTGCAGCGTTGAACTCCTGGCCTCAAGCGATCCTCTCACCTCAGCCTCCAAAGTAGCCAGGACTACAGGTGTGCATCACCACATCTAGCTAATTAAAAAAAATTTATTTATTGATTTACTTATTTTTGTAGAAACGAAGTCTTGCTTTGTTGCCCAGGCTGAGGCATAACTTGAGCTCAGGAGTTCCGGGCTGCAGAGTTGTGGCTGTACCACTGTGCTCCAGCCTGGGTGACAAAGGAAAACCCTGTCTCTTAAAAAAATAAAGAAGCATGCGGCTAGAAATCAAATGCTTCATTACTAACTCACATTGTCTACAATCACAGTGACTTTTTAAAAGCTATCTAGACTGTTTATCTCAAGAAGTCCATCAAGCAAAAGTTCATGGTCTATCATAAACAGAAGGCCCTTGTTCTGTGTCCATTTTCCCTCCTCCTTTATGCCAATCTCCCACAGCTTATATGCCCTTATGAAAGCGCCCCAAGTCCATTCTGTAACAAGATGAGGCATAAAAAAATCAAATTACCATAGATTCTAAAAGTAGAACAGCACTTACCCACTTGTGCTAAAATGCTTCACACTCAGTCCGTACCTGAAAATCCCTAGGGGGCCCGGCGCCGTGGCTCACACCTGTAATTCCAGCACTTTGGGAGGCCCGAGGCGGGCAGATCACGAGGTCAGGAGATCGAGACCATTCTGGCTAACACGGTGAAACCCCGTCTCTACTAAAAAATACAAAAAATTAGCCAGGCGTTGTGGCGGGCGCCTGTAGTCCCAGCTACTTGGGAGGCTGAGGCAGGAGAATGGCTAGAACCCGGGAGGCGGAGCTTGCAGTGAGCCGAGATCGCGCCACTGCATTCCAACCTAGGCGACAGAGCGAGACTCCATCTCAAAAAAAAAAAAAAAAAAAAAAAAAAAAAGAAAATCCCTAGATCCCTAGGCAGCCAAATTAGATAATTCTTGAGCCACAGAATTCCACTAATTGTTACAAGTTCTTCCTTTTTTTTTTTTTTTTTTTTTTTTTGAGACGTAGTTTCACTCTTGTTTCCCAGGCTGGAGTGCAATGGCGCGATCTCGGCTCACCGCAACCTCTGCCTCCCAGGTTCAAGCGATTCTCCTGCCTCAGCCTCCTTACAGGCATGTGCCACCACGCCCGCCTAATTTTGTATTTGTAGTAGAGACGGGGTTTCTCCATGTTGGTCAGGCTGGTCTCGAACTCCCGACCTCAGGTGATGCACTCGCCTCGGCCTCCCAAAGTGCTGGATTACAGGCATGAGCCACCGCGCCCGGCCACACAAATTCTTTAACCTGAATCAAATTCCGCATCATTTCAAAAATCCTAGGTTAGTCCAAGACCAATACTCACTTTCTCCATAGCAGCCTTCCAACACTTGAAAACAATTATCTTGCCTCTTAATTCTTTTCCTCTCCACAGCTCAACTGTTCCTTAGATTTCGTGGGTTTCCAAGTACCTCACCCATCAAATCAACGTTCTTTTTTTTTGTGAGACCAAGTGTTGCTCTGTCGCCCAGGCTGGAGTGCAGTGGCGTGATCTCGGTTCAGTGCAACCTCCACCTGGTGGGTTCAAGCGATTCTCCTGCCTCAGCCTCCTGAGTAGCTGGGATTACAGGCGCGCTCCACCACACCCAGCTAATTTTTGTATTTTTCGTGGGGACAGGGTTTGGCCAGGCTGGTCTCGAACTCCTGACCTCAAGTGATCCGCCGGCCTCGGCCTCCCGAACTGCTGGGATTACAGGCGTGAGCCACCGCGCCTGGCCCAAATCAACTTTGTCCTGACACTCTTTTATTTATACATGGTTCTTTAAGACTGTTTTTCTAAACCATGAGCAGATCCCTATTCTGTGTGTGTGTTCTAGCCCGAACAAAGCCCGAGGGGACTATTTCTTCCCTTGGATTTGATTCTACCCAACACTTCTAATGAGGTTCGGCTTCCCACAGGTTTCCAACACCTTGGGCGTATTGCCATCAATGAGCCTTGCGTTCGGACCTCCAGTTCAGAGAAAGGGAAAAAAGGCGGCCACGGTCAGACTGATAGACGGCTTGGCTTGGGGAACGCACAAAAAAAACTATTCTGGAACGCGAAAGAACTTCCAAAACATCTGTTCTTCCAGCTTTCATTTGTTAAAGCCCCAAGTGGAAGAAAAGGCTTTCCAGGCAGCCAGCGCCCCCACCAGCTGGTCCTGGGCGGGGACGAGGAGCTCCTCCCCACAGCCCTGCTAGGACCGGTCTAGGTGGGGTCCTCGGAAGCCACAGCTGCTAAACCCACTCCTCCCTCCCCAGACCATTCAGCCACGGCTCCCTCTCCTGTCCGCCTCGCTAACCCGCGACCAGCAGGCTCACCATGAATCAGAGCCGCTCCGGGTACCGGGAGACCGCACCGCGTACCTCGGGACCGCGCACCCGGAAGTGCGTCATAGCCCCGCCCCCGCGGAAAAGTAGTGCGGGGCCGTAGCGGCCCCTCTAGAAATTCGGGAGGTCCTCTCTGTGTCTCTGGCCCTTGGGACATCAGGGAGGAGTTGAGTCCACCCCGAAAATGAAAAGCCAGGGACTCTTTCTGTTTTTACCGAAGACGGTCAGACCAGATGAAGGCTGCGGCGGTTCTCTCACCCAACCCCGACGCCCTGGGGCAGGGAGGGCATGGGCTGAGGCAGCCACCTCGGTCACCCTCGTGGACTTCAGAGCCCAAGGTCCCTGAGTACCCTTGGGATAAGCACAGGGTTCCTTGTCCATAAACCTGGATCGAGGTCACTGGATACCCTTGGGCCCAGCTCCTCGGTCCAGGTTTATGGACATGGAACGCTGTGCTTGGCCCGTGAAGCCAGAGATTGAGTTAATACTTCGTTGATGAAAACAATCAAACTGTAAAATATTTGAAGACATTTATTTTGAGACAAATATGAGTGACCAATGGCCCAAGGTACAGTCTCAAGAGGTCCTAAGAACATGTACCTATGATGGTCGGGCTACAGCTTGGGTTTATACAATTTAGGGAGACATAAGACACCAATCAAGACATGTAAGATGAACATTGGTTCTGTGGGAAAGGCAGGACAATTCCAAGCGGGGATGTTCCAAGTCATAGGTGAACTCAAGGATCTTCTAATGGGCAACTGGCTGAAAGTTATTGTCTAAAGACCTATAATCAATAGAAAGGAATGTCTGGGATGACTAAGGCAGGGGTCCCCAACCCTTGGGGCACAGACAGATACCAGTCCATGGCCTGTTAGGAACTGGGCCGTTACTGCAGGAGGTGAGCTGCAGGAGCAAAGCTTCACCTGTATCTACAGCCACTCCCCATTGCTCTAATTACTGCCTGAGCTCCGCCTCCTGTCAGATCAGCCATAGCATTAGATTCTTACAGGAGCACAAACCCTATTGTGGACAGTGCATGCGAGGGATCTAGGTTGTGCACTCTTTATGAGAATCTAATACCTGATGATCTGTCGCTGTCTCCCATAATTCCCCAATGGAACCCTCTAATTACAGGAAAACAAACTCAGGGCTCCCACTAATTCTATGTTATGATGAGTTGTACAATTATTTCATGATATATTACAATGTAATAATAATAGAAATAAAGTACACAATAAATGTAATGTGCTTGAATCATCCTGAAACCACGAAACCATCCATCCCCCTCCTGCCATCCATGGAAAAAACTGTCTTCCACAAAACTGGTTCCTGGTGCCAAAAAAGGTTGGGGACCGCTGAACTAAGGGGTTGTGGAGACCAGGGTTCCCATTATGCAGATGGAGCCTCCAGGCAGCCGGCTTCAGAAAGAACAGACTGCAAATATTTCTTATCAGACTTTAAAAAGTGCCAGACGCCCAGTTGATTCTCTCCTGGATCAGGAAAAAGGCCTGGAAAGGGAAGGGGATTCTCTACCAAGTGTAGATTTTCCCCACGAGAAGACAGCTTGGTAGGGTTATTTCAAGATATGGCAAAAAAACATATTTGGGGTGGAAATATTTTCGTTTCCTTCTTTATCTGCCATGTGATGTTATGCCAGAGCCTGGTTGAAAAGTCAGCCAGGTTATATAAAGTTAAATAAAACCTGTCTGATGAGGCTTTATGGTTTGAAGGGGGTGACTCTCCAGGCCCCTTAGATAGTAATTTGGGCAAAAGAAGAAAACAGTCAGAGTTTAGTCCTCAACTTTGCAGACCAGGGTCATGGTGACATCAATCAGAAGTAGCCTTGCCCTTCTGTGGGTCCTAAACTTCCTGAGCAGAAGACCTAGGGGCTGAACTCCTTCCAATGCTGCAGGACTCGATGAAGATGTCTTTGCCTGCCTTTTCCTCCTGCTGCTCTGGCTCAGCTGCAGGTTTCCAGACTGAAGAGTCTGTATTTTCCACCTCAGCACTACTCCATCGGGCCCCCTGTGAGTTTGCTTTTGTCTGGTCCTGCAAAACTCACATGTGTTGAGGAACACCAATATGGCTGCCTGCACGTGGAATTCCCTGTCCATACGCGTCATGAATTCATAGATACTCAATATCATTTTTCCCTGACATTTTCCAGGATAATTTAAAAATTTTTTATGTTTAAAGACATGCAAAATTAGAGAAAATGAGCCTCCATGTGCATTCTTTTGTTTCTTTCTTTTTTTTTTTTGAGATGGAGTCTTACTCTGTCGCCAGGCTGGAGTGCAGTGGTGCAATCTAGGCTCACTGCAACCTCCGCCTCCTAGGTTCAAGCGATTCCTCTGCCTCAGCCTCCCGAGTAGCTGGGACTACAGGCGCGCACCACCACGCTCGGGTAATTTTTTATTTTTTTTTGTATTTTAGTAGAGACAGGGTTTCACCATGTTGGCCAGGATGGTCTTGATCTCCTGACCTCATGATCTGCCCGCCTCGCCCTCCCAAAGTGCTGGGATTACAGGTGTGAGCCACCGTGCCCGGCTGTTTCTTTACTTCTCTAATAAACTTGCTTTCTCTTAAAAAAAAAAAAAAATGAGCCTTGGCAGGGCACGGTGGCTCACGCCTGTAATCCCAGCACTTTAGGAGGCTGAGGCAGGCGGATCACAAGGTCAAGAGATCGAGACCATCCTGGCCAACATGGTGAAACTCTGTCTCTATTAAAAATACAAAAATTAGCTGGGTGTGGTGGCACATGCCTGTAATCCCAGCTACTCGGGTGGCTGAGGAAGGACAATTGCTTGAACCCAGGAGGCAGACATTGCAGTGAGCTGAGATTGCACCCCTGCACTACAGCCTGGTGACAGAGTGAGACTCTGTCTCACCAAAAAAAAAAAAAAAGCCTCCATATACATTGGCCAGCTTTAACAATTGTTACATGGTTAGTCCTTTTAATTCATTCCCCCATGGTCTTGAACTCGTGACCTCAAGTGATCCACCTGCCTCAGCCTCCCAAAGTGCTGGGAGCCACCGTGAGCCACTGTGCCTGGCCCCAAAATCTCCATTTTATAGACCAGGAAACAGGCTCCAAAAAGTCACTTTTCCAATATCACACAACTGATACGTGGGAGCATCAGGAGTGAAACTTGGCCCCCTTTCTCCAAAGCCTGTGCTCTACTGCCTCTCAGTTAGACGGGGAAGAAAGAGATGGGAAATGGAAACAGGATCACCAGGACAGAGGGAAGAACCGGGAAACCTACACACATTTCAAGAGCCACACCTGTGTCGATGCTTTGGTGGGGCTCCATTCAGCCTCTTGGTCAACGGGTCTTTGTCTAGTTATGAAACCATTAAGTGGTTATGCTGGGGCTTGAAGAAAATCCATCTATTTCCAAACCCATTGTCCTTTCCAGGGCTGAGATGCTCCTCAAGCAAAGGGGCTTAGAGCTGCTGTAAAATATTAACGTCAAAAGAGACCTTAAGGACAATCTGGTTAAACTCTTGTTTCTTGTTTTCAGTTGAAGAAACCAGTGCCTGAAGAAGTCGGATCCAAGGTACACTAGTTAGCTAATTAGTATCAAAGCTGAGAGCACAAGCCAGATTCTCCAATCCTGTGTGCTTGCTGTGTCTCAAGAGATTTTTTATTTTTATTTATTTATTTGCGGTAGGGCCTCACTCTGTTGCCCAGGCTGGAGTGCAGTGGTGTGATCATAGCTCACTGCAGCCTCCAACTCCTGGACTCAAGTGATCCTCCCACCTCAGCCTCCCGAGTAGGCACATGCTACCATGCCTGGCTATTTTTCTAAAAAATTATTTCTTTTTTTTTTTTTTTTGAGACGGAGTCTCGCTCTGTCGCCCAGGCTGGAGTGCAGTGGCGTGATCTCGGCTCACTGCAAGCTCCGCCTCCCAGGTTCACACCATTCTCCTGCCTCAGCCTCCCGGGTAGCTGGGACTACAGGCACCCGCCACCATGCCCGGCTAATTTTTTGTATTTTTAGTAGAGACGGGGTTTCACCGTGTTAGCCAGGATGATCTCGATCTCCTGACCTCGTGATCCACCCGCCTCGGCCTCCCAAAGTGCTGGGATTACAGGCGTGAGCCACTGCGCCCAGCCCCTAAAAAATTATTTCTAGGGGTTTTACCATGTTGCCCAGGCTGGTAGAGAACTCCTGGGCTCAAGCAATCCTGCTGCCTCAGCCTCCCGAGTAGCTGGGACCACAAAAGAAAAATAATTCCCATGCACGCCACCATGCTGGACAATTTTTTTTTTTTTTTTTTTTTTGGTGAGACTGAGTCTTGCTCTGTCGCCAGGCTGGAGTGCAGTGGCGCCATCTCGGCTCACTGCAACCTCCAACTCCCTGGTTGAAGCAATTCTCCTGCCTCAGCCTCCCAAGTTGCTGGGATTGCAGGCATGCGCAATCACACCTAGCTTTTTGTATTTTTAGTAGAGATGGGGTTTCACCATGTTGGGCAGGATGGTCTGGATCTCCTGACCTCAGGATCTGCCCACCTCGGCCTCCTAAAGTGCTGGGATTACAGGCGTGAGCCACCGCACCCGCACCGCACCTATTTTTTGAAAAAATGTTTCGTAGGGGTTTCGCCATGTTGCCCAGGCTGGTCGAGAATTCCTGTGCTCAAGCAATCCTCCTGCCTCAGCCTCCCAAGTAGCGGGATCAGATGCACACCACCATGCCTGGGAGATTATTGGCTTGACAAAAGAAAAATAATTCCAGTGCCCTTTGCAGCGGAAACCCAGGAGAGGAAAAGATTCCAGCATTTAGTGTTGTCTCTGGCACCTTCCTTCCATTTCCAGTAAGGTGTTCATGGTTCTCTCTAAAAAGGTGCATTTCTGGATCTTCCTCGCTCGTTCTCATCATCACCTATTTTTGCTGCCATCAGCTGGCCAGCAGAGGGTAACCAAACCGTGACTTCCCTTAGAGCAGGCTGGGCAAGCCTCTGGCGCATGACAACTCCGAACATGTCCTTTTTCTTCCAGGAAGCAGAAGACATGTGCAGCATGTTGGAAAGCTGCAAAGACATTTGCTAAAGAAATTGAAAGGAAAAGAGAATGAAAGTGGAATGGTGGAGTTAAACTTCATGAAAAAAATTATTCAGTGCTACTTTTTTTTTTTTTTTTTTTTTTTTTGAGATAGAGTCTCACGCCATCACCCAGGCTGGAGTGCAGTGGCACGATCTCAGCTCATTGCAAGCTCCACCTCCCGGGTTCACGCCATTCTCCTGCCTCAGCCTCCCGAGCAGCTGGGACTACAGGCACCCGCCACCACGCCTGGCTAATTTTATTTTATTTTTTTGTATTTTTTTTAGTAGAGACGGAGTTTCACCGTGTTAGCCAGGATGGTCTCGATCTCCCGACCTCGTGATCCGCCTGCCTCAGCCTCCCAAAGTGCTGGGATTACAGGCGTGAGCCACCATGCCCGGCTCAGTGCTACTTGTTAAAGCATGGTAAGGAAGACTTTATTCAGGACCATCCTAATAAATACAGGAACCACTGCAGTGGGGTCTTGCAGTGAGGGGAGAGAGATTGGGCTCAGCTCTGAACACAGCATGGGCAAGTGGCAATTTATAGCCAAGGAGCAGGATGGGGGTCAGTGTATGGAAAATGATCAAGAGGAAACATCAGAGGGAAGGGGTATTCTTGCTGAACACAGGCCAGGCTGATCAGACATCGCCTGGGGGATGGTGGAGGACAAGGAACCTGACCAGATAAATATCAAGAGTAATTAGATATGGGCTGGGAGCGGTGGCTCACGCCTGTCATCCCAGCACCCTGGGAGGCTGAGGCAGGTGGATCACTTGAAGTCAGGAGTTCGAGACCAGCCTGGCCAACATGGCGAAACCCCGTCTCTAAAAAAAATACAAAAATTAGCTGGGTGTAGTGGTGTGCACCTGTAGTCCCAGCTACTCGGGAGGCTGAGTCAGGAGAATCACTTGAACCCAGGGGGTGGAGGTTGCAGTGAGCTGAGATCATGCCCTCCAGCTTGGGCAACAGAGAGAGATTCTGTCTCCAAAAAAAAAAAAAAAAAAAAAAAAAAAATCAAGAAAGAAAAGAAAAAGAAAAAAGCCTAAGTAGATATGGAGGGTGGGAGGTTTTTGCTAAACTTAGCAGGGTTCTTGCTAAAACTGGATTTTAGGCCCTTGCATGGTGGCTCATGAATATAATCCCAGCACTTCGGGAAGCTGAGGTGGGAGGATTGCTTGAGGCCCAGGAATTTGAGACCAGCCTGGGCAACATAGCAAGACCCTGTCTCTGCAAAAAATTAAAAAAAAATCTAGGCGTAGTGATGCATGCCTGTAGTCCCAGCTGAGGCTGAAATAGGAGGATTGCTTGAGTCCAGGAGGTTGAGGTTGCAGTGAGCCACAATCGTGCCACTGCACTCCAGCCTGAGCAACAGAACGAGACTTGTCTTACAAAAATAAAGAAAAATAAAATCCAGTTCTGGGTCGGGCACAGTGGCTCACGCCTGTAATCCCAGCACTTTGGGAGGCCAAGGTGGGAGGATTGCTTGAGGACAGGAGTTCGAGACCAGCCTGGGCAACATAGGGGGACCCCCATCTCTATAAAAGAAAAAATAATTATTAAGAAAAAATAGGGCTGGGTGTGGTGGCTCACACCTGTGAGGCCAAGGCAGGCAGATCACTTGAGCCCAAGAGTTCAAGACCAGCTTGGGAAATAGCCAGACTGTCACTACAAAAAATACCCAAAAAAGGCCAGGTGCGGTGGCTCACGCCTGTAATCCCAGCACTTTGGGAGGCCTAGGCAGGCAGATCATGAGGTCAGGAGATCGAGACCATCCTGGCTAACACTATGAAACCCCGTCTCTACTAAAACATACAAAAAAAGTTAGCCGGGCACAGTGGCGGGCGCCTGTAGTCCCAGCTACTCGGGAGGCTGAGGCAAGAGAATGGCGGGAACCCGGGAGGCGGAGCTTGCAGTGAGCCGAGATGGCGCCACTGCACGCCAGCCTGGGAGACAGAGCGAGACTCCGTCTAAAAAAAAAAAAAAAAAAACCCAAAAATTACCTGGGTGTGGTGGTGTATTCGTATACACACACACACACACACACACACGTGTATCTATACACATATACACATACACATGTGTATATATAATAAAAATATATATGAGACCTATGAGCCATCCCAGCAAATTATCAAACCTGAGACTGAGGAGAAGATTGTGGAAGCCCTTGATTTATAGCCGGTCCAAAGCACAGGTGAAAACCCGGAATGTAAGACTGGCGTCTGAAATGGGGGCAGTCTTGAGGGACTGAGCCCACAACCTGTGGAGTCTGCATCAGTTACAGGTAGTGTCAGAATTGAATTGAATCGTATGGCACCCAGTTGGTGTCCAGAGAATTGGTTGGTGTATGAAAAAAAATCCCACATTGTGTCAGAAGTGTGAGTAAAAACAGTCAGAGATGTGTTTGGATGCCTCCTGGACACAACCTCACATCCTCCCAGTTCACCTTTTTTTTTTTTTTTTTTTTGAGACAAAGTCTCACTCTGTTGCCCAAGCTGGAGTGCAGTGGTGCGATCTCGGCTCACTGCAACCTCCCCCTCCTGGGTTCAAGTGATTCTCCTGGCTCAGCCTCCCGAGTAGCTGGGACTACAGGCGCCCGCCACCACGCCTGGTTAATTTTTGTATTTTTAGTAGAGAGGGGGTTTCACCATGTTGGCCAGGCTGGTTTCGAACTCCTGGCCTCAGGTGATCTGCCTGCCTCGGCCTCCCAAACTGCAGGGATTACAGGCATAAGCCACCATGGCTGGCCATGTCTATCAGTCTTAAAGAGTCTGTTGTTATCAGTAATTCCATATGGGGAGAGGGTATAATGAGGCATGTTTGGCTCCCCCTTCCCATCATGGCCTGAACTAGTTTTTCAGGTTAACTTTGGAATGCCCTTGGCTGAGAGGAGAGGTCCATTCAGGTGACTGGGTGGCCTTTGAAATTTAATTTTGGTTTGCAAAGTAAACAGATAGTTTTGCATGAGAATTTTGTTTGTGGGTTGCAGCTCCAGTCTTTTAACTTTGGAATACTTTTTTTTCTTCACCCCCAATGTGTATTTATGCAACCAAGGATGAGAAAAACAAAGAACAAAAAACAAACCAGCACAAGCACTGCCACCTAGAGATGATAATTTATTGTTTTACCATGACTCAGAAGAGAAACAACATAAAGAGAATATTTCAAATCCCCACAATTTCCTTCCTCAACCTCACTACTCTTAACATTTCTTTATCAGACGCCACTGGCTTCCTAAAATGGACCACTGACTATGTATGTGTACACATTTCATTATGCTGCCTTTTCTCTTATGATTAAAACTTTAGCCCTCATTCGAGGTTTCCAATGGTTACTTTTAGTGGAGGAGTTCCCTAGCTTTTAAAAAACCACTTTTCCTCTAAGATTCCATTATTTATTGAAAGAAGTCTTTCTAGAAATGTTAAGGAGGATTTTAAATGAACACATTCAATTAAAAAAAAAATCACGTATTGAACATCTACCAAGCATCTGGACTCTTCGGAACCTAGTAAAATGAAAAAATCCAGTTTTAACAACAGTAACTTCATTCTGCGGGTATACAGAGACAAGCACGTTTCTTCTTTTGGTCTAATTTATTCTAAACGAAGAAGCTGGGAACTGACAAAACAGGACAGGTTGTTTTTAATCCAGTCTACAAATAAACAAGACAATGCCTGAGTTAGCCCTCTATATAGATTTAGGCTTATGCTGACCTCGTTGTAAAATCTGTATTTAACTAAAAGTTAATAAAAATACATATGTTCATTTTAAAATAATTACTGATTTTGCTTGGCTATCCCACCCCTTACCCCCAAACTCATATATTTTTAGGACAAGATTTTCCTGCATAACCACAACCTGTCTCCTCCCACCCCACCCCCATCATAGATGTTTTCAAATAAGAACCCCTGCGATCAGCAGAAGCATCTCTAATCTAACATGCTTTGTCCTTGCTAGGGCAGGCTAAAAGCTTTAAAAAGCAACCGGATGCTCTTCTCTGGTTGAGGTGAGGGGAAGGCGCTCGGGTACCAACCCCAGCACACCCCAACAGCCTTTCCTCGGCCCCTCCTCAGGCCTCCTAATTACTCTTTCTCAGCCTGGAGTGTGGGGCCGTTACCGTCCTCTTCCCCCTTCTCCTTCCATACTGCACTTAACCTTGCTGGAAGACTTAATGATGGAGATTTAGGGCAACTGTGGCTGCTTGGACCCTTCCCTGGACCAAAGGAACTTAAAACCCAAACCTGACACTGGAATGAAATCCAAGTTTTTAAATATCACCTTTCAATCACTCACAGATCTCACTCTATCTTAAAATACTCAGCCTCACTCCTTAATGAGTGCTTGCTGAAGGGAGAAAATTCCATTTTAAAAACGTATTCACTTTACTGATTACTGTGCAATTTGAATTAAGTCACGATTCTTTAGTAAATGGAGGTGAGAATCTCAGATTCAAATTGTCAGAGACCATGATTTAGAAGTCTACCAAACACCCAGTTTCCTTCCACTGTTTTAGGGTAACAGGAAAACATGAGATTGGGGTGGTGTCCGCTATTAAATGGAACCACACATCATGAAATTCAATTCTCATGTTAAGACATTCTGTATTGTGGGATGTCAAAAGTATTTCCCAAACTTTCGTTTGACCTGCAGAGTTGGAGATGGCTTACCTCCCTATAACTTCAAGTTTGTTTCACAAAGCTTTGAAAAGTAAAACAGATAATTTCATTTTCAGATAATAAAAAATCTGAATAGCAAAATAATTGCTTTTAAATGTAGTGTGTCCACTCTAAAAAAAAAAACCCTAAATCTATGTTAGAAAAACTTTTCAAATAATGCCTTTTATTAAATTCTCCAGTAGTAGTTGAAATAAAAATCTACCCTAATTTCTATGAAATGATCTATTTATATCACTGACTTTTCTTTTTCTCTGATTCTATATTTCATTTAACAATCTGCAGACTTTCACCCCATTTCCCAGATGGGAAAACCCTAGCCCCCTCGTATCTCTGAGAAGTTGCTCAGAGTAGGACACAGAGAAATATGGCCCCCACCCTGGGAAGTACTGCTGTCACTGTTTAAGTGTATTTCAGTTCTGTTACTCCAATTCATACACACAGTCTTCCATGAGGATGGTAGGATGAACCTGGTTAGCTGGCTTTGGATAAGCAGATCAGCATGACTACCTGGAATAAAAGTGACTGACTCTAGGATAAAAATTAAAAAAAGATTCTTTCACAGCAACGAGTCTTTGCAAAACCTCTCTCCTAATAATCACAAACCAGGGGAAGAAAAGTGGGAGCAGGGAACACAGGAACACAGCCAAAGGGAATATTGCAAAATGCTTCCCGAGCTTCATCAGACAGACTTCTTGCAATGCCACGACTGGATGCATCTGCACACAATTCCGGGAAATGCCCACCTTGCTGTTCTCCTATCCCCAATTTTCTTTCTTTCTTTCTTTTTTTTTTTTCTTTTTTTGAGACAGAGTCTCTGTTACCCAGGCTGGAGTGCAGTGGTGCAATCTCGGCTCACTGCAACCTCTGCCTCCCAGATTTAGGTGATTCTCCTGCCTCAGCCTCCTGAGTAGCTGGGACTACAGGCGCCCACCACCACGCCCGGCTAATTTTTGTATTTTTAGTAGAGACAGGCTTTCACCACGTTGGCCAGGCTGGTCTCAAACTCCTGACCTCAAGTGATCCGCCCACCTCTGCCTCCCAAAGTGCTGAGATTACAGGAGTGAGCCACCGTGCCTGGCCAGTCCTATCCTCCCCCCAACCTTTTTTTTTTTTTTGACATGGAGTCTCACGCCATCACCCAGGCTGGAGTGCAGTGGCGCCATCTTGGCTCACTGCAACCTCCGCCTCCCATGTTCAAGTGATCCTCCTGCCTCAGCCTCCTGAGTAGCTGGGACTACAGGCGCCCGCCACCACGCCCAGCTATTTTTTTGTATTTTTAGTAGAGACGGGGTTTCGCCATGTTAGCCAGGATGGTCTCGATCTCCTGACCTTGTGATCCACCCGCCTTGGTCTCCCAAAGTGCTGGGATTACAGGCCTGAGCCACTGTGCCCAGCCTTATCCTCAATTTTCTAAGCATAAGGATTTAAGAGTTAGTGGGAAAGCATGACTACGGTTTAAAAGAACCTGGTCAGCTGAAGCAGTCCCACTTGGCCATTCCAGTACACTTCCTACTCTCGCTTCATGGAGAAGACCGTCTACTGACAAGAGAATCCATCCCCTTTGCACACAGTGGTCACCTGACAGCTCAGAGGTCAACTTCTTGGTTTTGAGGAAAAATTCAAAAGGCTGCACGTTTAAAGGAGTTGTTCCATTTCAGTGCCCCATTAGCCTGTCTTTCCTCAGAAATTTACCAATCTCTTGATGTGATAAGCACCAAACTATGAAGCTTTTCCCTTCCTCTCCCCGCTGCTCCGTTCTGTGAACCGACTTTTTGTCTACAATCACACTGATTTCTTCACTGTTTGCTCTGAAACTTCACTTTTTCTGAGTGATGTGTTCTGTCAAATAGGCTAAAATAAAATACAGTATCTGCTTACAGGTAATATACGGAACAATAACAAGGGACTGAAGGTACAAAACACACACGGACATTATGGTCATATAAAATATATAGAAGTACCTAACGTTAACAATTTTTGTAAGAAGTTGCACATTTTGCTATTTTTTTAAAGCATTTCCCCACATTTTTTTTCATCTGTAGATCCTCTGCAGTTAAGATTGAGCACCCCCCCGCAACTTTTTTTTTTGATACAGAGCCTCGCTCTGTCACTCAAGGCTGGAGTGCCAGTGGCATGATCTTAGCTCACTGCAACCTCCGCCTCGCAGGTTCAAGCCATTCTCCTGCCTCAGCCTCCCGAGTAGCTGGGACTACAGGCGTGCGCCACTGTGCCCAGCTAATTTTTTTTTGTATTTTTAGTAGAGACAAGGTTTCACCATGTTGGCCAGGCTGGTCTCGAACTACTGACCTCGTGATCCGCCTGCCTCGGCCTCCCAAAGTGCTGCGATTACAGGCGTGAGCCACGGCGCCCGGCCAAGATTGAGCTCCCTCTTGCAATGTTTCTCAAATTCATCACGATTGGAACATACCGACGGAATTCATTTTCTGTCTGAAGCAATGAGTGCTATACATGAAAGTTTTCCTCACATATAATATTCATCAAGTTTATTTACAGTATAAGCTTTCCGATGCTAAGGGCTGAGATGTGATTAAAGGCTTTGCCGTATTCATCACATTCAGGAGGCTCCTTTCTGGAATAAATTCTCTGATGTCTATGTGAACTGTCCCACGTATCACACGTCAACCTCTCTATACATATTTAGCAGTTTCACTTTTATGCCTTTAATATTAAGTGCTTTACATATCAAGATGTCTCATAGATCGATAATCTCAGGTTTTAGCCTTGCCTGCCAGGCTGGAGTAGAAACAAATACCCCACAACCTGAGGATTTTACTTCTCTTCCTGGCAAGGGTAGGGTATATATTGAAAAACTCTTCAAAAATTTCCATTAGGACAACTAGCATGCTAATGGTTAACTGTAGAATGTTTCAACTGTTAACAGACTTCAGCGGGCCAAGAACTTTTGAATGACTATCTTGAACGCCAATTAGATGTTGCAAGCGTTTTTGACCATGACCCAATTACACTTTGCACTGAGCATCTGATAAACGAATGCACTGCAAGTGGTTTTAATAAACAGTTGTAGCCTGTTTTCCTCAGAAAACACATCTTCAAATAGCTGCTTCAAGGACAGCATGTGGCTGAAGATCGAAGCAACCCTAGTGGCAGCTATCCAACAAAGTCAGGAAGATGTCTCCATGAAACGGAATTAAATGTGAGGGCACAGGTCACATTTAACCTTCATTTAAAAACAAAACTCAAAAGTGATGGCTGAGTTATATCAGCATATAGTTGTGGCTGAAAGAAAAAAAAAAACCAAAGGCCAATGTAAACATGACCAAAGTCCTTTCCCTCTTAAAAAATAAGTGCTTGGGTCGTTGCCTGGAGTTCCACACCTCACTTTTCAGTTTCTTTCTTTCTTTTTTTTTTTTTTGAGATGGAGTTTTGCTAGTCACCCAGGCTGGAGTGCAGTGTGCAATCTTGGCTCACTGCAACCTCTGCCTCCTGGGTTCAAGTGATTCTCCTGCCTCAGCCTCCCAAGTAGCTGGGATTACAGGTGCCCACCATCATGCCCGGCTAATTTTTATAATTTTAGTAGAGACGGGATTTTACCATGTTGGCCAGGCTGGTCTCAAAACTCCTGACCTCAGGTGATCCGCTCACCTCGGCCTCCCAAAGTGCTGGGATTACAGGCGTGAGCCACCGCACCTGGCCTCAGTTGCTTTCTAGAGGGCAAAAGTCCTTGCTCAAAAGCACAGGAGTTTTCTACAAAACCATTGCTGTGGCTTATTCTTTGAAGAAAATCCTTAAAACATTTTCTGCCTCCATTTTAGTTACTTAGATATACTCTTCTGGAGTAATGGGTTTTTCTTCCGTTGCATGGGTAGAAATATCCTAGTGACTGGTTGACTTGCAACACGTTTTCCCAAGTAATGCTGATGAAACTGCTTAGAAGCTATAGGGAAGTTGTAGTTGGTTTAAGTCATAAAGCCAAGGAGAGGCCAAAGAATGACCACTGTGCAGTTTTAGCTCCCACTTCGTTGGTTCCATATAAAACCATTTGGTCTCATGGACTTTAGCTGCTGATCAGTGAATGACTGATGAGTAATAGTTTTAGTATAAGTTTCTCAAGGGAAAGTCTCAAACTATATATGGGGTTCTCTTGTTATGGGGAGGTCACACTGATAGTCTTGAGGTTTGTTCTCAGTCTATGTTTCTGTTTCCGCAGGGCGGTCCTAGCCTTGGGTAGGACCCTTGTCCTACTTGAGTGGCGATGACTACTTACACAGCTCACAATCTCCTGTGTGTGAAACAGTCTCCTGCCATCAGCTTCTAGGTAGCCAGTTGCACCCTGCGCACAACGATGGGACCAATGAAAGTTTCATAACCTCACCTCAGTCTTTAGTGATAAGAAACAGAAAAGTCACTGTGCACTATGACGATGGCACAGCCAGCCACATCTCAGTACACTGCTGAGTTTCTCAGAGCAACAAAATACATTTAGTAATTGCCAGTGAACAATTAATGCTTTTGCAAAGTTACTGGAAAAGCGTGGGAAAAAACACTCCCTACCACGTTCCTTTTTCTGAAAAGCAACAAAAATCACATCTTCTGAACTCCAGTATCTAAGTACAAATGATTCAGAAAATCCCCAAATCATCATACTGTTCAGCAGCTAACTGCAAAGAATTCTAAGAGCTTTGCCACAGAAAGATGTCAAAAAAAAAAAATGACCTTCATCAGTGTTCATATTTTTCTTCAAGATGACGATGATAAAGTCATTTCTGACATTCCATGGTATTTACTCACTGTTTAGAAAGTCTATGCAGGCGGCTGACTAGTGCCTTTCGTTTATATTTGGAACAAAAACAGCATCAGACCCTAGAGGTTTAGCATGCCTTGTGGCTACGAAGGTCCTCTTTAGAAGCTGGGCCAGGCTACCATATTTCAGGGACTCACGATTCACAGGCTTTTATCACACACGTAGAAGTCCTGTAGAAGTCAGTCTGAATGAGTGCCTCTTAGGTGTTCAGTACTCACTATGTCCAGCACTGTGCTGGCAGGGATAGAAATATATCCCTTGACAACCGAATCTTTTTTGGGGGTTAGGGGGTGATTAAAAACTTCATACATGAAACAATGAAGGATTAAAAGACAGTATACAATCAAGTGCTAACTTGTGGAGAAATGCATTTAGGAGTGCGATAGTGCTTTAGGGATTTCAAGAAGGGAGAGATGTATTTGGAGTTGTTGTTGCCATTTCAGTAGAACTGATCTCAGGGATGAGGACAGAACCATCTACATTTGTTGCAGTCCTTTGGAACTGTAGACTGGTGCACATACCCTCTCTTTCGGGAAGAGATAGAAATCTTTGGTTTGATACTGATTAGCACAGTCCTAGATTTCTACAGCTTTGGTAGGCTACCAGTGATCATATATACAACTTATCGTATATATAACTACCTTGAGCAGCATGTCCCAATGTCGTTTTTGTTTTCACTGTCCCTCTTTTTTGAGAAATAAGCAGGATGTTGGCCAAAGTAGGGCTTGTTTGCAGCAAGTAGCATCCTAACCTCCGTATCACTTTCGTGGAGCCAATCTTGATCTTTCAACTATTATGTTGTGGTTGCCGAGAGTCCAAGAGTGCCTTAAAGGTATCCTCATTACTGAAAAGACTGACATTTCACTATGCGTGTGCTTTTCTCTTGTGTGGAAATCTCACGTGGATTATCCGTAAGATTAGCCTTTCCCTGCAGGGGCTGTGTGGAAGGATTATATGCCCAACTACTACATAAAGGCAGAACACTGCTGATGTGACTAGAAGGATCCTTAAGTGTGACTTTTGTTTTTTAATCTGTTGAGGCTGTATTTCTTTTTCCCTCCAGGAGCACACATCTCTGAAATAATTTTAGAAACAAAAGGGGGAAATGGCTTGATGGCAAATTCTTCCTTTACACACAACTTTTCAGGAACGCGCCAAATGCATCAAGGGAGGCTGGGCTGTACTCAGAGGCTCTCTCTCTGGCATGGATTCTGTGATGCAGAGTGAGGGTGGAGCTGCGGGTGAAGGCCTTGCCACACTTAGTGCACTTGTAGGGCTTTTCTCGAGTGTGAATTCTCCGATGCAAAATCAGGTATGAGTTTCGGTTGAAAGCTTTTCCACATTCACTACATTCATAGGGTTTCTCCCCCGTGTGAATTCTCTGATGCTTGGTGAGGTCCGAGCTCTGGCTGAAGGCCTTCCCGCACTCATTACATTCATAAGGTTTCTCTCCAGAGTGGATGCGCTGATGGAGGATGAGATTGGAACTGTGGCTGAAGGCCTTGCCACACTCGTTACATTCATGAGGTTTCTCTCCTGTGTGGATCCTCTGATGCAGGACAAGGTTGGAGTTAAGACTGAAGGCTTTCCCACACTCACTACATTCATAGGGCTTTTCTCCAGTGTGGATTATTTTATGGCGGATAAGGCTTGAACTTCTCGTGAAGCATTTACCACATTCATCACATCTGTGAGACTTTGTTCCCGTGGGAACTTCTTCAGGGGTGGTGAAGTTGGAGCTCAGACTGAAGCTTCTTCCCAATCCTTTCCCCTTCTCCCTTGGACCTCTCTCTCCTGTGATGGTTTTTTTGTCCTTTCCTATAGCTGGCCCTGAATCTCTTTTCTCTTTCCTGGTTTTCTCCTCAGGGTTTTTCTGCTGTCTTTCTCCTGTTTTGCCCTCCTGGTCACGTTTCTCTCCAAACTCTTTCTGGGATCTTCCTGTTGTCTCCCCGCGTGATGCTGAATCTTCCGAGGTTTCAGCCTTTGAGGTTGACTCCTCGTTCTCATTCCTGTTTTCACCACCTGACATAATAAATAGAAAATTCAAATCGCACCTTTTTCTTTTGAATATACAGGTGGGTCAAGCGACAGTTTCCCGAGAAGCTTCTACACGGCTGCAAAATGACTTTGCAATATTTTTATTTTTATTTCCTTTGAGACAGAGTCTCGCTCTGTCGCCCAGGCTGGAGTGCAGTGACGTGATCTCAGTTCACTGCAACCTCCGCCTCCCAGGTTCAAGTGATTCTCCTGCCTCAGCCTCCCAAGTAGCTGGGACTATAGGTGCATGCTACCACGCCCGGGTAACTTTTTTTTTTTTTTGAGATGGAGTCTTGCTCTGTTACCCAGGCTGGAGTGCAATGGCGTGATCTCGGCTCACTGCAAGCTCCGCCTCCCAGGTTGACGCCATTCTCCTGCCTCAGCCTCCTGAGTAGCTGGGACTACAGGCGCCCGCCACCACGCCCGGCTAATTTTTTGTATTTTTAGTGTAGACGGGGTTTCACCATGTTAGCCAGGATAGTCTCGATCTCCTGACCTCGTGATCCACCCGCCTCGGCCTCCCAAAGTGCTGGGATTACAGGCGTGAGCCACCACGCCTGGCCTACGCCCGGGTAACTTTTGTATTTTTTTAGTAGACACGGGGTTTCACCATGTTGGCCAGACTGCTCTCAAACTCCTGACCTCAGGTGATCCACCTGCCCTGGCCTCCCAAAGTGATGGGATTACAGGCATGAGCCACTGCACCCGGCCTGACTTCACAATATTAATTGGACATAAAATAGGAGAAAAACAAGGGGAAAAACTGGGACAACAGGAAGATCTGTTGTCCTAGTTTTGGAACAACAAAAATTTGGAAAATGAGAGCGCAGGCAAAGAGTGGAGAGTAAGGGGAAATGACAACAGAGGGAGCATGGGGAGAGGATGGAAGAAACAGACACAAGGGGAATGAGCAGAGGGAAGACAACAAATCACAGCAGAAGGGAAGGGATGAGAAGCAGGAGCCTTCAGAGGTCACAGGTCTACTACTGGATCACCTGATAATTAATTGGAAGGTTTATGTATACATTTAAAACATCATGTTCCATTTCTAACATTATTCATAAGTTCAAAAAAAGAACAGGTCTTTCATAGAAAATGATTAGTGGTATTAGCAGAAAGAAAGGAATAGTAAATATTTCTCCAATTCTGTGAGTTTTCTATCAACAAGCTGATGATTAACAAACAAGAAACTTTGTTTTGTTTTTGTTTTTGAGACAGGGTCTTGTTCTGTCAGCCAGGCTGGAGTACAGTGGCATGAGCACAGCTCACTGCAGCCTCGATCTCCTGGGCTCAAGTGATCCTCCTGCCTCAGCCTCCCAAGTAGCTGGGACTATAGGCCTGCACCACCCCGCCTGGCTAATTTTTAAATTTTTTTGTAGAGACAGTGGTCTTGCTATATTGCCCATGCTGGTCCTGAACTCCTGGCTTCAAGCGATCCTCTTGCCACAGCCTCCTCGAGTGTTGGGATTACAGGTGTGAGCCATTGTGCCTGGTCAAGGAACTTGTTTTGAACCTGGCAGGCTACAGGAATCTTCAGACACAGGAAATAGTTTCTATCCAACAAGGAGAGGAACACAGAGCTGACAGTGCTCAAGTAACAGAGGAGTAGGTGGAAAAAAGTGGTTACGACATTAGTAAAAATAATTAAACCCTTCACTGACTGACACAGAATAACTCAGAACAAAAAAGAAACAGAAAACAATGCTGGAGACCAGGTGCAGTGGCTCACTCCTGTTAAATCCCAGAACTCCAGGAAGTGGAGACAGGTGGATCACTTTAGCCCAAGGGTTTTGAGACCAGCCTAGGCAACATGGCGAAACCTCTTCTCTACAGAACATGTAAAAATTAGCTGGGCATGGTGATGCATGCCTGTAGTCCCAGCTACTTGGGAGGCTGAGGTGGGAGGATTGCTTGAGCCTGAGAGGTCGAGGCTGCAGTGAGCTGTGATCGCAGCACTGCATGCCAGCCTGGGAAACAGCAAGACCCTGTCTCAAAAAAAAAAAAAAAAAAAAAAAATCATCTAGTACAAAGAGCAAGTACCAAGAGAAATTATAAGCCCCATTTATGCCTGATCAAAAATAGAACTTGATGTTTCATTAGTAACATCCTTCATGTTCACGCTTTATTCACACTCCCTTTGCCCTCTCCAGGTAGAAGCTTGCTGTGGACCTCCCTATTGCTGTACTCACGTGAGGGCTTCTTTGCAGCACTGTCCTGAGGGGTTAAGATCCAGCAGAGACAAATGGAAATGTCTGCCAACAGTGTCACCTTGTCTTATCTGGCTGATGCCTCTTGAACTTCCTCGTTCTTACTACACATCCAGGACCCAGAGCTCTTCATAGAAAATCACCATTAAGTTTGGAAGCTGGGAATCCTCATCACAAGGACAGTCCAGGTGCAAGTTCGTGGAATTACACAAAGCAGTGTATTGGAATCACACTAATCACACAGGATGGAAGAAGACAGAAAGCCAACAGAAGGATGCTTGGTAGTTTCGGGAATGTGGTACCGGGACAATGGGTTGGGATTAGACGGATGATCAGTTCGCCTGGTCATCTCTGCTAGGAAAGATATTCCCCCGACAGAGGCACCTAAATTGTAATCCATGGGAACGGAGCAGAACTGCCTCCCAGGCAACTGAGTGGCTGAAGAGGTGAGGACTTGGAACTCAATTATTTCTGATTTTAAAGAGCAAAAACTACTTAGCAATAAAAAACCCACCTGGAATCAGGGTCACAGTACCATGCTTCTGGAGTTAAATGAACACAAACATTCTCACTTTCCATCTGGTCTACAAAAGGGGATAGGTAGTCTCTAACTCCTCAACACTCAATTGAACACATCAGAGATCCCACAGCTAACACACAGAGAGACAAAACCATCTTATCAGACAGTAAGCCTGCATCCGTCTTACCCTGGGGAAATGCGCTCCCATAATTCTCCTGCCTGTTGTCCCTACTGAGATTCCTCCGAGCCAGATTCTGACATCCCCATTCCTCCAGAATGAGGGACACAGCCATGTCCTCGATCTTCACCATTGCCTAAAATAACACGAGACAAACAGTCATTTCCCCCCAAACTCAGGGACAATCCCATTGCTCAAACCTGGAGTCAGGAAGAGAGGTGGCTGCAAAGCTACAGGACGCTGGGAAGAAAAGGGTGGCCAGAACCTGGGGGTGGAGGGGAGTTTGTGGTAGAAAGATGCTAAAAGGAGAGGACAGGGTTGGGGCTTCTTTGAGAGCAGGGGCATCCAGAGTGGCCTGTGGAGATAATGAAGAGAGCTCAGGAACAGAGGCAGACACTGAGGACTCAGGAGAGCAGAGGGGCCACAGCTCACCTGGGAATCCGCTGTGAATAGTGCAGATGCCATCGCCTGGTCTCTGGGACTACCCTCATGAGGGGGTGCAGGAATGTGGGCAGCAGGAAGAGCTGGGGGAGGAGAAAGGGTCTGTGAGTAAATCAGCTCCGCTCTGAGCCTTGCTCAAAGAAGGGCTCGGGGCATGTTCCTTCCTGCACCAGCATGTTCACTGTTCAGTGTTTAGGTCCCAAATACAGAATTCCAGACAACACAAACGAGAGAACACAGGGCCTCAGTTTTCCCAAGACCTCTACTCTTGAGCAGGAGTCATAAAAGGGTCCTAATCACCTGGTCCAACCCTTTTATTTTAAAGAAGGGGAAACTTGAGTCCCTGAGACTGCAAATGACTTCCCTAATGTCACATTCCCAGTGGCAGAGCCAGGATGGGGACCCAGGTTCCTATTCTCAGCTATAAAAGTGGGTACCTTCAGCCCATAGCTCAAGTCTGGCTCCTAATTTCCTCCAGTCCAAGGAACGATACCAGGATATGAGAATCCCATTTATGCCTACACTTGTGGAAAACACAACACAGCTTTAAAATCTTTAGTGGCAGGTGAGGCGGGAGGATTGCTTGAGCTCAAGGGGTCGAGGCTGCAGTGAGCTATGATCACGCACTCCAGCCTGGATGATAGAGTGAGACCCCGTCTCAATGAAATCCAGAAAAACAACAACAAAAAAAACACTTTAGTAGCAATATCCAGAAAGGCAGGGAAGTAAGGAGGTCTCCTTAGCTCTGGGTAAGTTTTTTTTTTTTTTTTTTTTTTTTTGAGACAGAGTTTTGCTCTTGTTGCCCAGGCTGGAGTGCAATGGTGCGATCTTAGCTCATCGCAACTTTCGGCTCCCGGGTTCAAGTGATTCTCCTGCCTCAGCCTCCAGAGTAGCTGGGATTACAGGCATGAGCCACCACGCCCAGCTAATTTTGTATTTTTAGTAGAGGCGGGGTTTCTCCATGTTGGTCAGGCTGGTCTCGAACTCCTGACCTCAGGTGATCTGCCCGCCTCGGCCTCCCAAAGCTCTGGGATTACAAGTGTTAGCCACTGTGTCCGGCCACCTCTGGCTAAGTTTTTGCCAGTTTTTGTCCCTCTACTTTTCTCCCTCACTTGGCCACAATAAATACTGTTTTTTTTTTTTTTTTTTGATAAGATGTATGCATGGTTCAAATGCTGAGACAAAAGTTGGGGCTGACACACAACAAAAGACATGCATAACATTATCACGTGATCACAATAACTGTGATGCATAACAATTATGAAAATTTTAAATTGTGCAATTTAACCCCCTCCCCATCTCTTGCCAAGTACTATTAGATTTGGAAATGTTACTGGTAGACAGATGATGTTAGTGAGATACAAGGATATTTGAGAAATGAATTTGAAACTGAATGACCAAACCTTGTACCTATTTCAAACCTTTATACAACAATAAGATAGGCTCTCTGTCACCCAGGTTGGAATGCAGTGCTCAAACATGTCTCACTGCAGCCTTGACCTCCCAGGCTCAAGTGATCCTCCCACCTTGGTCTCCCCAAATGCTAGGATTACAGGTGTGAGCCACTGTACCCAAGTACTTTTTTTTTTTTTGGAGATGGAGTCTCGCTCTATCACCCAGGCTGGTGTGCATGGCGCGATCTCGGCTCACTGCAACCTCCCCTCCTGGGTTCAAGTGATTCTGCTGCCTCAGCCTCCCAAATAGCTGGGACTACAGGTGCCTGCCACCACGCTCAGCTAGTTTTTGTATTTTTAGTAGAGACGGGGTTTCACCATGTTGGCCAGGATGATCTCGATCTCTTGACCTTATGATCTGGCCACCTCAGCCTCCCAAAGTGCTGGGATTACAGGCGTGAGTCACTGCGCCCAGCCCCAAGTACTTAATTTTTTAAACTTCTGAGAGTAAGGAAACACTCTGGAAAACAAATAAGAAAGAGGAAATTGAGAATAAATGTACATGTCTCAATTTATTTAAGAACTATTTACTAAAGAGCAACTGTGTGTGCCAGGATCTTTGAAACTGTTACTCTGGCAACCTAAACTCTATAATCTAGTGCTTAAGACCATGAATATCCTCTCCAGTTTCCTAAGGTCGCCCTGTGACTTCTGCTTGTAGAGTGTGGAGAAACCTTACAAGAACATCAACAGTAGTGGAGTTAAACATCACGGTGCACCGGTGTTTTTTTTTTTTTTTTTTGAGACAGCATCTCCCTCTGTTGCCCAGGCTGGAGTGCAGTGGCGCAATCTCGGCTCACTGCAAGCTCCGCCTCCCGGGTTCACGCCATTCTCCTGCCTCAGCCTCCTGAGTAGCTGGGACTACAGGCACCCGCCACCATGCCTGGCTAATTTTTTGTATTTTTAGGAGAGACGGGGTTTCACCGTTAGCCAGGATGGTCTCAATCTCCTGACCTTGTGATCCTCCTGCCTCGGCTTCCCAAAGTGCTGGAATTACAGGCGTGAGCCACCACGCCTGGCCACGGTGCACCAGTTTACACAGCTTTCTCTAGCACATACCTGCTGGCTGTCCTCCAGGATGCACGGAAGAGAGGATGCATCCTTAAGCTCCATGTCTAATATTCCTTAAATGTCATCACCAATAAACACACTGGTTAAGGAATGTGCCTCGACCAATTCTTTTTTTTTTTTTTTTGAGATGAGTGTTGCTCTGTCGCCCAGGCTGGAGTGCAGAGGAGCCATCTTGGTTTGCTGCAACCTCCACCTCCCGGGTTCAAGCGTTCTTGTGTCTCAGCCTCCTGAGTAGCTGCGATTACAGGTGTACACCACCACAACCAACTAATTTTTGTATTTTTAGTACAGACGGCGTTTCGCCATGTTGGCCAGGCTGGTCTTGAACTCCTGACCTCAAGTGATTTGCCCACCTTCGCCTCCCAAAGTGCCAGGATTAGAGGCGTGGGCCACTGCGCCTGGCCTTTTTTTTTCTTTTTTGAGATGGAGTTTTGCTCTGTTGCCTAGCTTGGAGGGTGTATGAATTTTTAACAAAAAAAGCTTAAAAAGTATAAAATAAAAATTTTTTTAACTAGAAAAACCCCTATAGAATAGGGGGATAAAAAATGTTTTTGTATAGCTGTGCAACATGTTTGTCTTTTGAGTTATGTTATTACAACAGTCAAAAAGTTAAAAAAATCAAAAAGTTCATAAAGTAAAAAAGTTACAGTAAGCTAATTTATTATTTGTATTTATTTATTTATTTTTTTTTTCTGAGACAGAGTCTCACTCTGTCACCCAGGCTGGAGTGCAGTGGTGCAATCTTGGCTCACCACAACCTCTGCCTACAGGTTCAAGCAATTCTTGTGCCTCAGCCTCCTGAGTAACTGGAATTACAGGCATGCACCACCACGCCTGGCTAATTTTTTTATTTTGTAGAGACAGTGTTTCACTATGTTGGCCAAACCAGTCTGAGACTCCTGGCCTCAAGTAATCCGCCCACCTTGGACTCCCGAAGTGCTGGGATTAAGCCATGAGCCACCATGCCTGGCTGATTTATTATTGAAGAAACAAAAATTTTAAAGATAAATTTAGTGTAGCCTAAGTGTACAGTGTTTCTACAGTCTATGGTAGAGTAGTGTCCTAGGCTTTCACATTCACTCACCACTCACTCACTGACTCATCCAGAGCAACTTCCGGTCCTGCAAGCTCCAGTCATGGTTAAGTGTTCCATACAGGTGTACTTTTTTTTTTTTTTTTTTTTTTTTTGAGATGAGTTTCACTCTTGTTGCTCAGGCTGGAGTGCGATGGCATGACAATGGTGCGATTTTGGCTCACCGCAACCTCTGCTGCCTGAGTTCAAGCAATTCTCCTGCCTCAGCCTCCTGAGTAGCTGGGATTATAGGCACCTGCCACCAGGCCTGGCTAATTTTGTATTTTTAGTAAAGACGGGGTTTCTCCACGTTGGTCAGGCTGATCTCGAACTCCTGACCTCAGGTGATCTGCCTGCCTTGGCCTCCTAAAGTGCTGGGATTATAGGTGTGAGCCACTGCGCTCAGCCAATTTTTGTATTTTCAGTAGAGACCGGGTTTTAACATGTTGGCCAGGCTGGTCACAAACTCCTAACCTCAAGTGATCCACCCACCTTGGCCTCCCAAAGTGCTGGGATTACAGGCGTGAGCCACTGTGCCTGGGCTAAAAATCTTTTATACTCTGTTTTTACTTTTTCGATGTTTAGATACACAAATACTTACCACTGTGTTACAATTCCCTACAGTGTTTAGTACAGTAACATACTGTACAGCTTTGTAGCGTAGGTGTGGAGAAGGCTAGACCATCTAGGTTTGTATAAGTATACTTTATGATGTTCGCACAACAAAATCACTTAACATTGCACTTACCATAACTTATCCCTGCCATTAAGTGATAAATGTACTTTTAGCATTCCTTGTCTTTACATTCTAAGCACATACTTTGATTTTAAAACTGGATAAATGTATTACATATTTCCGTCAAAAGAGAAAAAACAAGTAACATGACTTTTTATTTATATGACTGTGAACTGATCTTTTTTCGTGTTCCTCAACTCCCCTCAAAAGTTCTTCCATTCTTTTCCCATTGTTTGAAATTTCTGAAAATAACCTAGAAAAGACTGATGCTATAGTTTTTTTTTTTTTTTTTGGAAACAGACTCTCTGTCACCCAGGCTGCAGTGCAGTGATTATTTTTATATATTTTAAATAAAA
This sequence comes from Homo sapiens, assembly GCF_000001405.40. Lineage (NCBI taxonomy): Eukaryota > Metazoa > Chordata > Mammalia > Primates > Hominidae > Homo > Homo sapiens. The sequence continues at coordinate 100,025,254 of NC_000007.14, read as the reverse complement.
TGGACCTTTAAAAAAGATTTATGATCCTTTTGAAGATAATTCATGACATACTAAAATGTTTTAAAACCTAGGCTGAAAATAATGACATCTGTTCCCAATACTTTCCTATTAAAAATGTGCTGGACATCTGGAATGCTGATAATTCAATAAATAATGCCTACCAGGTTCATTACGCATAGTTCATTTGCCTTCGTAGTAACATTTAACTCCTGAGATTGGTCTGTAAGTTGTATTTTCCCCAATATTTGGTAATAATGACAACAATGTAGAATAACTAAAAACAAAAAACAAGCATGCAGCTTTTTTTCATTTTTTTTTAAATTTTTAATTAATTCTTTTTTTTTTTTTTTTTTTTTTAAGACAGTCTCGCTCTGTCACCAAGGCTAGAGCACAGTGGTACGATCTCGGCTTACTGCAACCTCCACCTCCTGGGTTCAAGTGATTCTCCTGCCTCAGCCTCCCGAGTAGCTGGGATTACAGGAATGTGCCACCATGCCTGGCTAATTTTCATATTTTTAGTAGAGACAAGGTTTCACCATGTTGGCCAGGCTGGTCTCAAACTCCTGACCTCAAGTGATCTGCCCGCCTCAGCCTCCCAAAGTGCTGGGATTACAGGTGTGAGCTACCGTGCCGAGCCTAATTCTTTTCTGTAAGTAGCTTTTGAGACAGGGTCCTTGCTGTGTTGCCCAGGTTGGAGTAGTGGCATGATTACAGCTCACTGCAGCCTCAACCTCCTGGGCTCAAGCAATCCTCCCACCTCAGCCTCCTGCGTAGCTGGAATCACAGGTGTGCGCCACTATACCTGGCTAATTTTTCTATTTTTTGTAGAGATGGGGTCTCGCTACGTTGCCCAGGACTAACATGCTTCTTCATCACAGGCACTCAGCAGCACAAAGACTCTCGTCCTGAATCATTTCCCTTCCCCTAAATGAAACCTTGCTTCTTACCTCGTGACTGTAAGAGGCGGGGTTTCCGAGACGAATGTTTGAAGTGGGACTGGGTGGCCTCGTGATGAAGGTCAAAGCTCGAGGACTCCTGAACTGGATCCAGAGGCACCATCCCCCTTGCGAGCATCTCAGGTCCATGAACTTGACCTGGGACCTGAAGACAGACAGGTTGGGCTTGTGGGTAAATCACTTTGTAAATGGGAATTAAAATATTTAAAAACAGACCATGAGTATGCCAGTGGATGCAGGAAGAAAGCCAGAACATTTTTAAGACAGAGTAACCACCTAATAACCTAAAGCCTGCCAATACTTCTCCTGGCTCCAGTTTCAACGTCTGTGCCCTGCTCACACATAATAGGTTTCACCTCTTTTTACCTGTTGTCCTGATAAATCAAGCTCCAAGTCTTCTAGAAGGGTCACGGCCTCCTCTCCACTATCGGGGCGGTATTCCTGCAGCCAGACCTGGAGCTCCTTGGGCAGGATGGAAAGAAACTGCTCTAGCACCAGAAGCTCCAGGATCTGTTCCTTGGTGTTTATTTCTGGCCGCAGCCACTGATGACAAAGTTCCTTCAGCCGACTGAGAGCCTCTCGGGGCCCAAAAGTGTTCTGGTAACAGAAGCGCCTGAAGCGTTGGCGGAATATCTCTGGGTCTGGAGGAGGCGTGTCCTGTAGGGTGGAATCCTGCCCCCACATGTGGTCTTCCTCATCTTCCTCTTCCACCTTCACTATTACGATACCATCCTTCTCCTGTGCAGCCTGTGGGGACAGACCCGTGGCTTCCCGTGATTCAGCAGTCATCATTCAGGCTCCAGGAACTGACTTGATCCAAACAGGGTCTGTGCTCACCTTTATGTCCTGGGAGGTTTTATGATGTGTTTCTTTACTATTCCTGAAGTATAAAAAAAAAGTCATTAGTACGTACCTTTACAAAAAGTGATCTGTGCTGCTAACACTTTATAGGAGGCAGCACATCGAGGCACTATCAGAACGCTCCTGAGGCCGGGGGTGGTGGCTCACGCCTGTAATCTCAGCACTTTGGGAGGCCGAGGCAGGCCAATCGCCTGCGGTCAGGAGTTCAAGACCAGCCTGGCCAACATGGTGAAACCCCGTCTCTACTAAAAATACAAAAGTCAGCAGGGCATGGTGGCAGGCGCCTGTAATCCCAGCTACTCGGAAAGCTGAGGCAGGAGAAACGCTTGAACCCAGGAGGTGGAGGTTGTAGTGAGCCGAGATTACGCCACTGCACTTCCTACCTGGGAGACAAGAAGTTAAACTCCGTCAAAAAAAAAAAAATCCTGACAAATCGAGGAAAAAACTGTACAATCTCCACTGTCACTTCATATATCAAGATTTGCAAACAGAAACCTCAAACAGGCCGACTCCACCCTCAGGGTGTTTGCTTGGAGTCAGAGTGATTTACCTGCAGGTTGACAGCAGGTTACGAAATGGAGCATTAACAGTGCCCAGCCCAGAGAGCTGAATGTTAGCAGAGTGCCAGGTGCCAGGCTTAAAGCAGTACACGCACCATCTTCTTTTGTCCCTACAACAGCCCTAGCAGGTCGGCCAAACTGTTAAGTGCTGTTTTACAAATGACATAACTGAGGGTTAGGTTTGCTCAGTAGTAGGTGGCTGCCTACTGGAGTCAATATTCAACCAAATTTGAAGCCCTGGGACCTACTTTTGTACCATCCAGCTACTTTTGCTATTTTTATGAGTGACTTGGGCAGTTAAATTGTGGTTTCCAAAGTACAAGATGATCCGCAAAGGATACAGAAAGAAAATAATTGGAATGTCTGTATCTTAAAAGAGAGAGAAATTAAGCTATAAATTGACACTAATACACTTACTTAGTCTGTGCTGACCTGTCACAGGTGTTGTTCATTTTAGACATTGTGATGTAGACTGGTTTATCTGAGACCAGTTATGTGAAATAATGGATTTCTAAATCTAGCTTTGGCTGGGCGCAGTGGCTCATGCCTATAATCCCAAAACTTTGGGAGGCCAAGGCGTGCGGATCACGAGGTCAGGAGATCGGGACCATCCTGGTCAACATGGTGAAACCCTGTCTCTACTAAAAATAGAAAAATTAGCTGGGCGCGGTGGCGGGCACCTGTAGTCCCAGCTACTTGGGAGGCTGAGGAAGGAGAATCACTTGAACCCAGGAGGCGGAGGTTGCAGTGAGCCGAGATCGCGCCACTGCACTCCATCCTGGCCACAGAGCGAGACTCTGTCATAAAAGAGACAAGCAGCTTTAAAGATTCTTGTGGCCAGATATGGTAGCTCATGCCTATAATTCCAGCCCTTTGGGAGGATGAGGCAGGAGGATGCTTGAAGCCAGAAGTTTGAGACCAGCCTGGGCAACATAGCAAGACCCTGTCCCTATGAAAAAGAAAAAAATTAGCTGGGCATGGGGACTGTGTCTGCAGTCACAGCTACTCAGGAGGCTAAGGTGGGAGGATTGCATGAAACCAGAAGTTTGAGGCTGCAGTCAGCTACGATCACGCCACTGCATTCCAGCCTGGGTGACAGAGCAAAGCCCTATCAGGAAAAGGAAAAAAAAAAAAAAAAAGATTCTTATAGAGAAACTGCAATTACAGGACACACTAATAATATAAACAGATGTGAACAAGAAGAAAATGGCACAGATGAAGCTTCTATCTAGAGTAAGGTTTTAGCCACATTAGGAGGTAAAAACCAATGTCAGTCTAAATCAAAGAAAAAGTCACCAATGAGTAATCAGCTTCTTTAAAGAAAGTGTGAAGAAAGGGCAATTACAGGAACAGCTGTATGAAATGGTTCCATTGTTATGTAATTTAACTGCCAAAAATGATGTCAAGTATCCAGGAAAAACCCATCTATGTTCACATTTTAGAAACTTGGGGCTGGGTGAGGTGGCTCATGCCTGTAATACCAGCACTTTGGGAGGCTGAGGCAGGGAGCAGGGGGCCACCTGCGGTCAGGAGTTCAAGACCAGCTTGGCCATCATCGTGAAACCCCGTCTCTACTAAAAATACAAAAAATTAGCTGGGCATGGTAGCAGGCGCCTGTAATCCCAGCTATTTGGGAGACTGAGGCAGGAGAATCGCTTGAACCCAGGAGGCTGAGGTTGCAGTGAACTGAGATCACGCCATTGCACTCCAGCCTGGGTAACAAAGTGAGACTCCATCTCAAAAAAAAAAAAAAAAAAAAAAGGAAAAAAAAAAGAAACTTGGAAATATTTTCTAACCTGTTTAAAAATCTTTCAAATGAAGAATTTCAGGTGGGTCTTAAGCCTATTTGTTAAAAATATAAAATGCCACCACCTGATTAGTTTGTAAGACTATACCCTGCATTTCAACAACAAAAATTCAGCATGGTTGATAGGTTGGATCAATCACAAGTTACTAAGCAGAACTGACACTGTGATTCTTCCATCTGAAGCTACAAATCTTTCTGAATTTATTCTTTTCACCTCTACAGCCATCAAAACTAAGCATCAAATTGAAGTTTTAGAAACAGACCATTAAACTGCTTTATCATGATGGGTTAAACCGAGTTTTAAACTAGCAAAAGCATTTTTAGTTTTATGGCTCTCACTAAACATATTCTTAATTTTGGTGAAAAAGGGATCATGTACATATAACAGCACAAAAATTATATATACATATATATTGAAACGGAGTCTTGCTCTATCGCCCAGGCTGGAGTGCAATGGCATGATCTCAGCTCACTGCAACATCCGCCTCTCGGGTTCAAGTAATTCTCCTGCCTCAGCCTCCTGAGTAGCTGGGATTACAGGCCATACTTATTTTTTTTAATCTAGTTCCATGAAGTCCAGCTTCCTTTCTTTGGTTCCCTGCCTTCATTTTCTCCCTTCTCTCCCACAATCCACCTTTCAGATTATTCTTTCTAAAACTCTACAGCCTTGCAGTTAATACTTTCCAGTGCCTGGTCCCAATTTTCCCTCAAGCTTCTTTTCCCATCAATCCCCCCATAAACCTTCCCTATGCAACAAAAGCCCTCTCATCAGTATTTCCTATATATGCCTTGTATTTTGACTGCCATCCTTTCCTCACATCACACTCCATGCCTGGGACTTCCCCCCGCAGTCCTCTCTGCCTTTTCAAATCCTACTTAACCTTTAAAGCTAGCTAAAACGCGACTTGCCTCTTATCACTGTTCAAGAACCCTCTCATAACTATAACAGTAAGAGCCAATGTTTACTGAGTGCTTTCTAGGTACCGGGTATTTAAGCATTTTCACTTGACCACATAACAATCTTAGCAGGTAGCTACACTTATCATCTCACTGTATAAAGAACTGAGAGGCTGAGCGCAGCGGCTCATGCCTGTCATCCCAGCACTTTGGGAGGCCAAGGCAGATAGATAACCTGAGGTCAGGAGTTCGAGACCAGCCTGGATAACATGGCAAAACCCCATCTCTACTAAAAATACAAAAATTAGCCAGGTGTGGTGGTGCAATGCCTGTAGTCCCAGCTACTCGGGAGGCTGAGGCAGGAGAGTTGCTTCAACCTGGGAGGCGGAGGCTGCAGTGAGCTGAGATTACACCACTGCACTCCAGTCTGGGCAACAGAGTGAGACTCCATCTCAAAAAAAAACAAAAGAAGAACTGAGATATACTGCCATTAAATAACTTACTCAAGGTCACACAGCAAGTATATGGTAGAGGCAGAATTTGAAATAAAAGTGATTCCCCAATGTAAACTCTTTAACCATTATACAAAATTTATCTTGTACCTGACATGTGGGGTATACAGATCCTAAAATGAAGGCCTATGAACGTGACAATGAAGAATCAATCAGGGCCAGGCACGGTAGCTCACGCCTGTAATCCCAGCACTTTGGGATGCCAAGGAGGGTCGATCACCTGAGCTGAGGAGCTCGGGACCAGCCTGGCCAACATGACGAAACCCCGTCTCTACTAAAAATACAAAAATTAGCTGGATGTGTGGCACATACCTGTAATCTCAGCTACTCGGGAGGCTGAGGCAGGAGAATCACTTGAACCTGGGAGGTGGAGGGTGCAGTGAGCTGAGAACGCGCCACTGCACTCCAGCCTGGGTGACAGAGAGAGACTCCTTCTCAAAGAGAAAAAAAAATCACTCAGGAACGGGCCTTATCTACCACCCAGTTTTCACTGGAGGGTCACTATGTGACTGAAGCCCTTCCTGGGAAAGGGAGGAGACACAGCAGAAGATTCAAGTGGGGACTGTCTACAACATAACCAGGTGGGATCTTCAAACATGGTAACTGAGCAGAACTAGTGTGATAGCGAGCCCAGCCACCAGAAATCCCTACTTTTGTGAAAGTTTTATCCTGCCTTAGCTATTGAGCAGGACACTTCTTGGGTCAGTGCGAAGATGCGACTCTAAGGAGGAAATGAGTCCAGGGGGAAATAGACACAGACATGGGCACATTCCCTCTGCCCACAACTGGGACAGATCCTCCTCCTCACCTTCAGTATCTCTCTGCTCCTACTCTGGGGTGCAGGGAAAAGCCATCACAGCAGTGGAAAGGCTGGGTTTTATTTGAGGTTTCCCAGATGATCTGAGCACATACTCTTCTGTCTCTAAAGGCCCTAATACTCTTCACCAAACATTTGCTAGGTAATTTCTCATGATGCGCCGGGCGCAGTGGCTCATGCCTGTAATCCTAGCACTTTGGGAGGCTGAGGTGGGCGGATCACGAGGTGAGGAGATCGAGACCATCCTGGTAACACGATGAAACCCCGTCTCTACTAAAAATATAAAAAATTAGCTGGGTGTGGTGGCGGGCGCCTGTAGTCCCAGCTACTTGGGAGGCTGAGGCAGGAGAATGGCGTGAACCCGGGAGGCTGCGATTGCGCCACTGCACTCCAGCCTGGGTGACAGAGCGAGACTCTGTCTCAAAAAAAAAAAAAAAATTTCTCATGATGTTTCTTTCTCTGTAATTTTTCTTGCCTTCTTCCTCAACTAGATTATTAAGAGCAGTCCTCTTTGTACTCCTTAGACCACTTAGCATGATTCCTTGCAAGCCTCAGTTTCAAAAATACACTTGACTGAATTGACAACGTTACTATTTTTTAAAAGCCCGATCATTCTACATTCAATGTTGCACTCAAATTTGTTCCATGGACTAGTTGGATGAGTTTCAGGTTAGCATTAAAGCTGCTCCACCCCTTACTAGTTGACGGCCTTAGGCAAGTCAACAAGTTAACCTCTCTATGCGTCAGTTTCCTCATCTGTATAATGGGAATAAAAATCAGCATTTGTCCCATAGAGTTGCCGTGAGGATTAAATGAGGTAATAGATATAAAGCACTTAAAATAGTGCCTGGCATTTAGTAGGCACTACAGAAATGTCTTAATTTTTTTCAATAAGCTTAAAAGATGTAACTGTACATTCCAATTTTCAGCCTGCTTAGAAGATTAAGCAATGGGACAACTCCTGTAATAGTGAAAGCTGCACAGGCAATAACTGAATTCTAGTCTCCCACAAGTAAGTGGCACATCCCTGAGAGAGGTATTTAACTTCTCTGGCATTTTGTATCTTTATCAGTCAAATGGGGGTAGGGTGGGGGTTCCAGATAGTAGGAAACTACCTCTGGGTGAATATGGGCTGAAAAACATACTGACATACCATCCACTTTAAATAAAATTACCTCCAGCAGCTAAGGATACCTCAGTTCTCACCTAGGATAAACAGAAATGATTTTCTTAAACAACGGCTTGAAGTTACAAGCTCAAAGGCTGTGTTCCAAACAGCCCAGTATTTTTCCAGGGCATAGTCTTGAAAATGTAAACAAAGGCTGGGCACACAGTGGCTCACGCCCGTAATCCCAGCACTTTGGGAGGCTGAGGTTGGCGGACTGCCTGAGATCAGGCGTTCGAGACCAGCCTGGCCAACATGGCGAAACTCTGTCTCTACTAAAAATACAAAAATCAGCCAAGCCTTGGGACACATGCCTGTAGTCCCAGCTATTCGGGAGGCGGAGGCAGGAGGATCGCTTGAACTCGGGAGGCAGAGGTTGCAGTAAGCCGAGATCGCACCACTGCACTCCAGCCTGGGCGACAGAGCAAGACTCTGTCTCAAAAAAAAAAAAATTTTTTTTTAAATAAATTGCCCTTTGCCCTTTACACTCATTTTTTTAAAGAGCAATCAAATGTTTTAATATGAAAAAGCTACCTTAAAAGACAGCTAGCTATTCAAAGAATATTGATACTCCCACAGAATGAAAATGTTAGATTTAATATGCTATTCATCTGTATTTTAAATGCTTTTAAATCGAGAATGAGCAAAAGACTAAGTAGCTAGCTTCCTCGTTTGTATTTTAAGAGTGGTGAAAACTGCCTGAAATAATAAACAAGAATCTTATATGTTAATTCAGAGAAGATACAAACCTGGATACACATTCTGGGGCAAATCACCATGGTTTCCTATGTAAAACAGCGATTTCTCCACATTTGTTCAGCATATATACTAACAGTGCTTTGCTGATGTGGTTACAATGAATTCTCCACAATTCAATTCAACAAGTATTTATTGACCGCCTCCAATCCGCCTAGCACTGGCCCGTACAATAAATGCTTTCTTTGGTCCCAGGCCATGGAACAGCCACTCTCTATAATGAAAGTATCTTACTGTGTACAGGGGGCACTGCAGGAAAGGGAGGGGAGGGATGGAGGAGTGTCAAGCTAAACTGTAGTTAATTCTTCAATTACATTGACCAAATCATTTCGAAGTCGGAAGGGCCTTTTGAGAAAATCCAGTTAGTTTTTATTGATGACGAAATTAAGACTTGGTGAGTGTCTCGTCTTATCCAAGGTCACTCAGCTAATCAGTCTCCTAGTGACACAGTGCAATTTCCACAAATTCCCTTCACTTCTCACCCCACTCCATGTCAAACAGAGCAACTATCCAGAATTGAAAAATCCACCTAACGTCCCGGACAGCTCTTTTCCAAAGCCTTCAAAGCATTCCATCAAGCTGAAAGAGTGGGGTGTATATAATCTCTACTAGATCCCAATCACCTATTTATCCACTATGACTAGGCTTCAAATACTCTTTAATCACCGCTCAGTGATGAGGGTGGGAGAAGGAAAGGCAGGTCTGGAAACGTATGCGGCACCTCAAAATGTGTCCATCTCTCATCCTTCCGCTCATTTCACCTCGAGGTCCCGAAGGAACCGGGGGGGGAAAAAGACACCTCACCGGAATCAAAGCAAATGGCGACTAAGGGAGAGCAGAAAAATCAAGACCGGGGTCGGTTCGCTCGCGACCCCGTTTGCAGAAACGTCAAAGGGCGATGACGACACTGCGGGAGAGGGGCCCACAGACGGCTTCTCCCCGGGTCTCCGGGCACCCTCAGCCACTGAAACCCTCGCCCCCTCCCCGCCTGATCCTGGGGGTGGGGCGGGGACGTCTCCCAGGAAGAACGGCGCTTTCTACGGCCGGGCCCGGCCAGGAGGCAGGGGCATGGACTCTCTTCGCACAACAGCGGGGCCGCCTGGAGGGGGTCCCAGGGCCGCAGCTGCGGAGCCCACCCTCGCGCACACACCCTTGCGGCCCCGCCCTCCCACCCCAGAGGCCGGCCCCAAGTCTCACCGTGAGCCCCGGGAGCGGCCTGGGGGCGCTGGGCGAGAAAGGGGAGCTGACTCTGGGGCTCAGGCCGGCCGAAGGGCACCGCACACGGACTTAGGCCCTCCCGACGCCTCGACACAGACACAATGAGTCACAAAGGCCGGAAGCGTGTCACCACCTCGTCTTCCGGGACCGCGCCGCGCTTCCGGGTCCTCTCTAGGAGCGCGGGAGGACTTTGCATCTCGGTTTCCGAATCGCTGGACCAGGCGCCTGCCCTTGAGTTTTCAAGCCTCCAGCTTGGAGGATCAGGTCCCAGTCCGCCCCTAGTTAATGCAGGGACTAACGGGAGCAGGTGGTGGGGGGTTTCAGGCTTTCCCCTACTCAAACTCAAACAGACTCTCCAGCTCAGACACCAGTCCATGTGAAAGTTCGATTTCACCTGTCTTTTTCATCTCAGGCAGTCCTTGTAGTAATTATAGTTATTATCAAGCAATATAGTACTTGGTAATTGTATGTCTGTGGCAAAGGAACTGAAACAAGGATGTAGACTGAGGAAGATCAAAGTGAAGCCAAGGGTGGCTGGTTTCCCAAAGCTGCCACGGTAGCTTCTCTCAGGGCCCTGGAGCTATATGGAGTGGTATTTTCAAATACTTGGCCCGTGGACAAGGGATGTCTTTCCACAAGCAAGCATAGTTATAAGGTTCTGTGCTTTGCTCATGTGGCATATGCTATTATAGCCGTTTAAAAGGAGTTTTCAGAGTAACAACAGACACTTTTACCTTCAAAGTGCTTTCACAACCTACCACAGTTACAGCCTTCATCTTTGCCTTGCAGGGTAAGGCACGCATAAGAGGGGGCCACGTTGTGCAAGGGTGGGGGGGACTACAGGCTTTAATGGTTGTGACTTTCCACTATGTTCCGAGACAAGTTCATGGGAGAAACTCAGTAGCTTGGTTGCATGACTCTTACTGCTTGGAGAGATTTACTTTTTTTTTTTAGATGGAGTCTCGCTCTGTCACCCAGCCTGCAGTGCAGTGGCACCATCTTGGCTCACTGCAACCTCCACCTCCCAGGTTCAAGCGATTCTCCTGCCTTAGCCTCCTGAGTACCTGGGACTACAGGCGCACACCACCATGCCTGGTTAATTTTTGTATTTTTGGTAGAGAACAGGGTTTCACCATATTGGCCAGGATGGTCTCGATCTACTGACCTTGTGATCCACCCGCCTCAGCCTCCCAAAGTGCTGGAATTACAGGCGTGAGCCACCGTGCCCGGCCAGATTTACTTTTTAAAAAATGTTTGAAAACTAAAAAGCAATGACAGGGCCAGACACGATGACTCAAGCCTGTAATCTTAGCACTTCGGGAGGCTGGGACGGGAGGATTCTTGAGCCCAAGAGTTGGAGACCAGCCTAAGCAACGTAATGAGACCCTCTCTCTACAAAAAATACTAAAATTAGCTGGGTGCAGGGTAGTGTGTGCCAGTGGTCCCAGCTGCTTGGGAGGCTGAGGTAGAAGGATAGATTGAGCCCAGGAGGTTGAGGCTGCAGTGAGCTATGATTGTGCCATTGCACCCCAGTCTGGGCCACAGAGCAAGATCCCATCTCAAAAAAGAAAAAAAGGGCCGGGCACGGTGGCTCATGCCTGTAATCCCAGCAGTTTGGGAGGCCAAGGTGGGTGGATCACGAAGTCAAGAGATTGAGATCATCCTGGCCCATATGGTGAAACCCCGTCTCTACTAAAAATACAAAAATTAGCTGGGCGTGGTGGCACACGCCTATAGTCCCAGCTACTTGGGAGGCTGAGGCAGGAGAATCGCTTGAACTCCAGAGGCGGAGGCTGCAGTGAGCCGAGATCGTGCCACTGCTCTCCAGCCTGGGGACAGAGCTAGACTCTGTATCCAAAAAAGAAGCAACAACAGTATCATTAAAGGAAATTTGCAAAATGGAGAAAAATAATTACCGGTAATCTCTCCACCCTAACACAATCCCCATGGCTTTAGTTTACCTTTTTCCTGTTTTCATATACAAATAAATATTTATTGATATTATTTTAAACACTGTTCAAAACCATAGTTGCAGTTGTATTGAAGAGGAGGCTGGTATCCTGGAAGTATCTGCTACATTCATATCATGTGAACACTGTTTTTTAAGGAAGAGAAAATATATTTACTATTCAGTAAGTGGAAATAGATCATCATCAAGGTCTTCATACTCATCGTCTTCACACTGAGTAAGCTGAGGAGGAAGAGGAAGGGTTGCTCTTGCTGTCTCAGGGGTGGCAGAGGCAGGAAGTGATCCACCAGCCTCGGCCTCCCAAAGTGCTAGGATTACAGGTGTGAGTCACTGCACCTGGCCTCTTTTCTTTCTTTTTTTTTGAGAGAGTTTCCCTCAGTTGCCATGTTGGAGTGCAATGGCGTGATCTCAGCTCACTGCAACCTCCGCCTCCTGGGCTCAAGTGATTCTCATGCCTCAGCCTCCCAAGTAGCTAGGATTACAGGTGTGCACTCACCATGCCTGGCTAATTTGTGTATTTTTAGTAGAGATGGGGTTTTACCATGTTGGCCATGCTGGTCTCGAACTCCTGGCCTCAAGTGATCCACCCACCTCAGCCTCTCAAAGTGCTGGGATTACAAGTGTGAGCCACCGCGCCTGGCCTCGACATCTTTGATTACTTCCTAAGGATGGATTCCAAGAAATGAGATTACTGGTCCCACAGATAGTCAGAGGGAATATAGGCAATAACGTTTGTAACCCCAGGGTTCTAGACCTGTCAGCAAACAAGCTCAGCTGACAAGATCAGGTGGTATCCACCCAAGAGTTTTGAAAGGACTCTAAGATGAAAGTGTTGAAAGAATCATGAAACTAATGATTTATGATTACAAAGAGACATTGTGCTTAAAAATTGGCTGGCTGCCCTGAACAAATAAAAGTTCCTGAAGGGCACCCTAGAAACTGTGGTTGCCTAAGTTTGACTTCTGTGTTGTGAAAGCTGGTGGAGTCAATGCTGAAGGGGAGCCCGGGTTTGCGGCTGTGACTGGGTGGCTGCAGCTACTCCTGGGAGGGAGGGTCTCCTGTCCCTCCAACTTGGAAGGAGTGGGGGCTTCCATGTGTTCCCAGCTCCCTCCAGCTCTGTGGAGTGCTGCGATCCCAGCTATGCCTCACTCACTGCAGCCAGCATCATGGCAGTGGCCACTCCAGATGGGGTGCTGCTGCCAAGGCGGGCAGATCACCTGAGGTCAGGAGCTCGGGACCAGCCTGACCAACACGGAGAAACCCCGCCTCTACTAAAAATACAAAATTAGCTGGGCATGGTGGTGCATGCCTGTAATCCCAGCTACTCAGTAGGCTGAGGTAGGAGAATCGCTTGAACCCAGGAGGCAGAGGTTGCGGTGAGCCGAGATTGAACCATTGCACTCCAGCCTGGGCAATAAGAGCGAAACTCTGTCTTAAAAAAAACAAAACAAAACAAAAAAAACAAACCCAAGTCTTATATCTGATTCCAAAGGTCCCATTTTACTGAGTCTTCTTCTTTCTTCTTGACGGAGTTTTTGCTTTTGTCACCGAGGCTGGGATCACTGCAACCTCCGCCTCCCAGGTTCAAGCGATTCTCCTGCCTCAGCCTCCCACGTAGCTGGGATTAAAGGCGTGTGCCACCTGCCTGACTAGTTTTTGTATTTGTAGTAGAGATGGGATTTTGCCATGTTGGCCAGGCTGGTGTCGAACTCCTGACCTCCAGCGATCCGCCCACCTCGGCCTCCCAAAGTGTTGGGATTATAGGCGTGAGCCACCGTGCCCAGCCTGAGTTTTCTTTACTGTCGGCTAGGGCTGTGGCTGGGGAACCTGCTGTGGGAAGGGTACTTTCATCTATGCTTTTCCTCCTCCCCTTCCCTCTCCCTGGGGTGGCAGGAGTGAGTGATCTGACTGTTGGAGACACCTTCCCTCTCTATTTTCCTATTGGAAGCTGTGGCTTCTCTGTTGTGTTGAGCAAAGTGGACGGATAGGGAGAGGGTCAAAAATCTCTTACTTAACTGACTATTCTCTCCTGTTGGTTGTTGCTCTTCCCTCGGTAACACAGTGTTCCAGCTACTTAAGCAGCAAAACAAATTATTCAACAATTTCGTGGGTGAAAGCAATGACAACATTGTTTATTTTGCTCCTAAATCTTCCATTTGGTGGAGGGATCCACATGGATGGCTCATCTATGCTCCACCTGGCTCCTCTGGGGGGCCTCAAAGGTTGGACCATCTGAAGGCTCGCCAGCTCCTAAGATTGGTGATTGGTCTGGCTGTCAGCGGAGATCTTAGCTGGGGCAGTGGATCTGAACATGTGCAGGTGGTCTCTTCATGTGCTCTGGGCTTCCTCACAGGATGGTGGCTGGGGTCCAAGGACAAGTATCCAGAGAGAGAGAGAGGAGGAAGGAAGGAAGGAAGGAAGGAAAGGGAAGGGAAGGGAAGGAAGGAAGGAAGGAAGGAAGGAAGAGCAGGTGAGCGGGCAGGCAGGTAGGGAGGGAGGGAGGAAAGGAAGGAAGGAAGGCAGGGAGGGAGGGAGGGAAAGAAGGAAAGGGGAGGGAGGGAAAGAAGGAAAGAAAGGGAGGGAGGGAGGGAGTGAAGGAAGGAAGGAAAGGAAAGGGAAGGGAATGGAAGGGAGGGAAGGAAGGAGGTACGGGAAGGAAGGAAGTGGAGTGGGTGACAGAGAGACAGAGGGGACAGGTGAATGAAGGCCACATGTCCTTTATAACCTAATCTTAGAAGCACTCAGCATCCCTTTCACTGCATTCAATGCCTTGAGGCAGTCATAAAGTCACACCTAGTTTCAGGGGAAGGGAAAATATGTTCCCCCCTCTTTTCTTCTTTTTTTTATGACACGGGGTCTCACTCTTGTCACCCAGGCTGGAGTACAATCATGACTCGCTGCAGCCTCGACCTCCTGGGCTCAAGTGATCCTCCACCCTCATCTTCCCGTGTAGCTGGGACTACAGGCATGAGCAACTATGCCCGGCTAATGTTTAAATTTTTTTTGTAGAGATGGGGGTTTCACTATGTTGCCCAGGCTGGTCTCAAACTCCTGGGTTCAAGCAATCCTTCCACCTCAGCCTCTTGAGTAGCTGGGAGTACAGGTGCACGCCACCACACCCAGCTAATTTTATTTTATTTTTTGTTAGAGATGGGGTCTCACTATGTTGCCTAAGCTGGTCTTAAACTCCTGGGCTAAAGGGATACTCCTGCCTTGGCCTCCCAAAGTGCTGGTTTTACAGGCACCATGCCTGGCGATGCCACCTTTTTTTTTTTTTTTGAGACTAAGTCTCACTTTTGTCGCCCAGGCTAGAGCGCAGTAACGCGATCTTGGCTCACTGCAACCTCCACCTCCCGGGTTCAAGCAATCCTCCTGCCTCAGCCTCCTGAGTAGCTGGGATTACAGGTGCCTGCCACTGTGCCCGGCTAATTTTTGTATTTTTAGTAGAGACGGCCATGTTGGCCAGGCTGGTCTTGAACTCCTGACCTCAGGTGATCTGCCCACCTTGGCCTCCTAAAGGGCTGGGATTACAGGCGTGAGCCATGGCACCCAGCCAGATGCCACCTTTTGATGGGAAGTGATGTGGTTCTGGAATTGCATGTGGGACCAAAAACGCTGCCAAGGTCACTTTTGGAAAACACAGTCTACCGCTACTGTGCGTCAGCCACACAAACGTTGGCTTGTGGTGTTCAGGGATGAAATCCTCAGGGGGCCTTGGGGGCCTGCTTACTACTCAGTCCCCTGTCCCAGTCGATCTGCCTTCTGCCCCTAGCAGGGCACTGCACAACCTCCTTTTGAGGAGATTCTTGGGTGGGGGCACCAGTTGGACAACTCAAGTCCAGCTACCTGCTCCTGGGTCCATTTGATCTGTGACAAACTCAGGCACCCTTGGCCACTCAAATGGCTGGAACGTGGACCTCCTGCGGTGCTCCTGCCCCTCCCTGGCCACCTTCCCCTCTTAGTGAATGGAACGTGGACCTCCTGTGGTGCTCCTGCCCCTCCCTGGCCACCTTCCCCTCTTAGTGGCTTTGTTGAATCACCCGCCACCTGCCTAGGCACGAGAGTCTCCTATTTAAAATAATGCTCAACTAGAGGTTGAGGGTTTTTTTGTTTTTGTTTTTGTTTTTGAGTCTTGCCCTGTCGCCAGGCTGGAGTGCAGTGGCGTGATCTCGGCTCACTGCAATTTCCGCCTCCTGGGTTCAAGTGATTCTCCTGCCTCAGCCTCCTGAGTAGCTGGGACTACAGGCCTGTGCTTCCACACCTAGCTAATTTTTGTATTTTTAGTAGAGATGGGGTTTCACCATGTTGGCCAGGATGGTCTTGATCTCCTGACCTTGTGATCTGCCTGCCTCGGCCTCCCAAAGTGCTGGGATTACAGGTGTGAGCCACTGTGCCTGGCCGAGGATGAGGTTTTTTGTAGATATGGAGTCTCCCTGGTGACTGGGATTCCTGCCCGCCCTGCCCCCTGCTCTTTTTTTTTTTTTTTTTGAGATGGAGTCTCCCTCTGTTGTGCAGGCTGGAGTGCAGAGTGCAGTGGTGCAATCTCAGCTCACTCCAACCTCTGCTTCCCGGTTCAAGTGATTCTCCTGCCTCAGCCTCCCCAGTAGCTGGGGTTACAGGTGCATGCCACTACGCCCAGCTAATTTTTTGTATTTTCAGTAGATATGAGACTTCTCCATGTTGGCCAGGCTGGTCTTGAACTCCTGGCCTCAAGTGATCTGCCCACCTCAGCCTCCCAAAGTGCTGGGATCACAGGTGAGAGACACCGCACCCAGCCTCTGTCCCCAGGTTTTGAAGACATTCTCACTTGTCTTCATGGTGAGGGGGCAAGGGAACCAGTCATGGAGGAGGAGAGGGAAGCCCCCACCAATAGGCAGAAGGCAAAGTCCTTTCTCTTTGGCTTCTACCAAGTCCTTTCTCTCTTTCTTGCTGCTTTCGTCCAGACTTGAGGAGCAGAAAAACTGGCTGAGCAAGCAAAGCTCGCGAGCGTTTCTGCCTGTCACGTAGGTGGCATCTGGGATCTTTGATGTGCCGTGCTGTGGGCTGGGAGTGTCCTCCTGAAGTTTTTCCTTCTTTGTTCTCAGCTATGGACTCCAGCCACGGACAACAGAGTCCTAGCCCACGTCCAGTCACATGACTGCAAAAGCACCTGCGTCTGGATACGGATGTTTATGAGAACATTGGTGCCTAATCAAATCAAATCAAAACAAACCAAACAGCCCCTAGCCTTGTGGCCTCATTCCCAAGTCAGCCCAAGCCATATCCTTCCTAGCTATGGTGTATAGTAGAGGGGCGCAGGACTCAGATGGTCTTGGTTCTCATCTTGTCTGTACCATGTACTCTTGGTCTAGTTACTTGAACTTTTGGAGCCTCAGTTTCTCTAAGTGTAAAATGAGGATTCAAACAGCACCTACCTCATTGGGATGTCATGAGGCTTGCATGATGGAGTTGATTCATGTAAATCAGCAGTTGCAGGGTCTGGCATTGGACACAGATGAATTTAGGGCTGTGGGCTGTTGACTGACCCTTGGGCTTGAGTGACATGTGTGGCTCCATCCTGAAGCTCTTTTCTAGCAGTGCTGAGGTGGGAGGAGGGACTTGACTCTGCAGGTGGGGCTTGGACAGTGGACCAAATTGAGGATTAGCTAAAATGGGGCCAGGGCAGAAGCAGCTTTCCATAAGACATGCCCACCAGAGTGCCATGTCAGTTTACCGTTGCCATGGCAACACCCGGGAGTTACCACCCCTTTCCATGGCAATGAGCTGACAACCTAGAAGTTACTACCTCTTCCCTAGTAATTTCTGCACTAACTGCCCCTTAATCTACACGTAATTAAAAGTAGGTAGGCCAGGTGTGGTGGCTCACACTCACACCTGTAATTCCAGCACTTTGGGAGGCCGAGATAGGTGGATCACTTGAGGTCAGGAGTTCGAGACCAGCCTGGCCAACATGGTGAAACCCCATTTCTACTAAAAATACAAAAATCAGCCGGGTGTGGTGGTGCACGCCTGCATTCCCAGCCACTCCGGAGGCTGAGGAATGAGAATCGGTTAAGCCCAGGAGGCAGACGTTGCAGTGAGCCAATATCGCGCCACTGTACACTGTACTCCGGCCTGGGCAACAGAGGGAGACTCTGTCTCAAACAAAACAAAACAAAACAAAACCCCAAAAAACAAAAAATAATCTATGGTGGTGCTGAATGTAGACAGAGAAGAGCCAGTGTGGTTGTTCACGTCTGTAATCCCAGCTACTCGGGAGGCTGAGGTGGGAGGAGGGCTTGAGCCCAGGAGTTTAAGACCAGCTTGGGCAACACAGTGAGACTCCATCTCAAAAAAAAAACAAACAAACGAAACAAAAACAAAAACAAAAAACCAGTGACTGTAGAGAGAGAATAAAGTGGTTGGGGGAAAAGAAGTCAGGGCTTCAAAGTAGAAAGAGTACTGAAAACTTATAAATAGCACTTTATCAGGAAGGTAATGAAAGACCTGAATGTAGGTTGGTTAAAAGCATGATAGCAGGAAGAATCCAGGCACATTGAAGATGAAGACAGAAAAAAACAAACAAGCCACATTTAGCAATTTCAGCAGGAAATGAACACAGATCCTACGGGGAGGCGAAGTTAACTTGTAAATGAGACTCTGTATGAAGGTACCTCTATATACATTTGCGTAAAACTAGTTTAAAAGCTGCAAAACACAGTCACACAGTTGTTACAGAAACGTGATCACTAAAGAATAAATTGGGGTTGGGGCAGGGCATGGTGGCTAACGCCTGTGATCCCAGCATTTTGAGAGGCTGAGGCAGGTGGATCGCTTGAGGTCAGGAGTTCGAGACCAGCCTGGCCAACATGGCGAAACCCTGTCTCTACTAAAATACAAAATAATTAGCCACGCGTGGTGGCACATGCCTGTAATTTCAGCTACTTGGGAGGCTGAGGAACAAGAATCACTTGAACCCCGGAGGAGGAGAGATTGTGCCACTGCGCTTTAGCCTGGGCAACAGAGTGAGACTCTGTCTCAAAATAAATAAAATACAGGCTGGGCGCAGTGGCCCATGCCTGTAATTGCAGCACTTTGGGAGGCCAAGGTGGGTGGATCACTTGAGGTCAGGAGTTCGAGACCAGGTTGGTTAACATGGTGAAACCCTCTCTCTACTAAAAATATTTTAAAAATTAGCCAGGTGTGGTGGTGCGCACCTGTAATCCCAGTTACTCAGGAGGCTGAGGCAGAAGGATCACTTGAACCTGGGAGGTGGAGGTTGCAATGAGCCGAGATTGCGCCACTGCACTCCAGCCTGGGGAACAAGAGCAAAAACTCTGTCTAAAAAAAAAAAAAAAAAAAAAGGGCCAGGCATGGTGGCTCATGCCTGTAATCTCAGCACTTCGAGAGGCTGAGGTGGGCGGGCGGATCATGAGGTCAAGCGATTGAGATCATCCTGGCCAACATGATGAAACCCAGTCTCTACTAAAAATACAAAAATTAGCTGGGTGTGGTGGCGGGCGCCTGTAGTCCCAGCTACTTGGGAGGCTGAGGCAGGAGAATCGCTTGAATCTGGGGGGTAGAGGTTGCAGTGAGCCAAGATCATGCCACTGCACTCCAGCCTGGCGACAGAGCGAGACTCCATCTCAAAAAAAAATATATATATGTGTGTGTGTGTGTGTGTGTGTGTGTGTGTGTGTGTGTGTGTGTAAACAATAAATACATAAATTGAGGAGAAGGCAGGGGAACCAGGATTTGACAGTGACAAGAAAGAAAAGCCCAGGAGGACCTGGTGGCTGAGCCAGATGCTGGGGCTGGACTAAGGGTGATGGGAGCAGAGCTGGGACCTTTGGGTGGCAGAGAAGTTCTAATCAGTGAAACTGGGCAAAGCTATTTGGATGGAGCAGTAGAGTTGGGGTTAAGAGACAGAGACAGGCCGGGCCTGGTGGCTCACACCTGTAATCCCAACAGTTTGGGAGGCCAATGTGGGAGGATCATTGAGACCAGGAGTTTGAGACCAGCCTGGGTAACATACTGAGGCCTTGTCTCTACAAAAAATTTAAAAAATTAGCCAGGTGTGGTGGTGCGTGCCTGTGGTCCTAGCTACTCAGGAGGCTGAGGTGGGAGGATCGCTCGAGCTCAGTAGACTGAGGCTGCAGTGAGACTAGATCGTGCCACTGTACTCCAGCCTGGGCCACAGAGTGAGACCCTGTCTCAAAACAAAACAAAACAAACAAACAAACAACAAAAAAAAGAGGCAGAGAGACAAAGGCGGCGAAGAAGATGGAATGATGATGCCTTTCGGGTAGGTTTGGTGTTTTGGGTTGTAAAAGGGAGGATAAAGAAGTAGGAGAAAGTAGAAAGAACACTAATTGGGACTCAGGTAATGGCTTCAGGTAGATTGTACAGGTTTGAATGCGGGGAGACAAAGCCCACGAGGAGACAAGAGGAAACAAACTTGGAGGAAAGTTTCTGTGATTCTAAACACGTTCCCTCTCTTATCTCCATGATTTCAGCTAGTGGTGGGATGCTCTGTGTATGTTTCATGCAGTTTCACATAGTTGGGGGCTCAGTCTCTCCACATAAGGCATTTTATTTCTTTTCTCTTTTTTTTCTTTTTTTGAGACGGAGTTTCATTCTTGTTGCCCAGGCTGGTGCGCAATGGGGCAATCTCAGCTCACTGCAACCTCCGCCTCCCAGGTTCAAGTGATTCTCCTGCTCAGCCTCCCAAGTAGCTGGGATTACAGGTGCCTGCCACCACACCCAGCTAATTTTTATATTTTTAATAGAGACAGGGTTTCGCCATGTTGGCCAGGCTGGTCTCGAACTCCTGACCTCGGTGATCCACCCGCCTCAGCCTCCCTAAAGTGCTGGGATTACAGGTCTGCGCCACTGCGCCTGGCCTCTCCACGTAAGGCTTTGAGTGGCGTACTGGGAACGCCCCGCTGGTGGTGTCCTTGGGTGGACTGCAGGGCCCTCTAAGTGCCCCTTGAGGCTGACCACTTCGGCTTCCAGCATGTCTGAGATGAGATGTGACACTCTCTCCTGGGAGCCACCTGCAAGGTGATTATGTATTGGAACAAGCTCTCTTCTTGCCTTATTTTACAGCCCAATGGAGAGGAAGTAGGGGTCAGAGTAGTAGGGGTGTAAAATTTGGAGTCACTCTTGTTGGGCGTGTGGTTTGTGCAAGTGACCCGACCTCTCTAAGTCTTGACTCCCTCATCTGTAAAATAGGGATGGTTTTGGCAAATAGCTACCCACTTAGCTACTCTGAGGACGGTATGACATTGTGGAGGTGGCAATGCTTTGTAAACTGCAGAGGACTTTTAGGTGCCAGCCATCGCCATGTTTTAAATGCGGAGAACTGCATTTCTCACCACCTCGCAAAATAAAACTTCACAGTTTATTTGGGTTGGGTATAATTACCGGGCGAAAAATGTAAAAATAACAATGTTTTAGAAATTTCCCCAAAGAAGAAACAGTATTGGCTGGGGCTGCCTTCCCAGGGGCCCTGGAATCCTGAGGGTGCCTGACCTGCAAATGCCCAGCGCTTAGCAGGAGAACAGCCAGATGGCCCTGCTAGTTCCCTCTCTGTGCAAACATCTCTCACCCAGCCGAGTCAACAACCCTCCCTGGGTCAAGAGGCTCCTCCATGCTGCTTCTGTGTGGTGTAGCCTAGAAACTGGGCGGCTGGGGCACAGGGCTCTGGACTTTGGTTATGTGTTTAATCTAGGTCCCTGAGCTACAGGGTCATCTGTTTTGGCTCCTTCTCTGCTTATGTAAACAGGGCTGGTGGGCCCATCAGTACAGCCAGGCCCCGCTCTCACCCCCTCCTCCTGTAAACACATTACAAAGAATCTTTGTAACTGCCCAGGAAGAGCAGCTCTGCTCAGGGGAAGAGAGCCTGCATCCGGAGGGGGTGAGACTCGGGGTGGAGATGGATGGGGGAAGAGTAGGCAGGAGGGGCAAAGGTGGGGCAGGAGTGGTGCTTGCCAATACCTCCTGTACTATGTGGTACAGAAAAGCCAGCTTTGCTCAAAGTCTGGCCGTGATAGGAGGGGGCCTGTTGTCTGCAGCAGAAACCAAGGTGGTAGGAAGGGTGGTGTTAGAAAAGGGGAGAACTGGGGTGGGGCATGGTGGCTCACACCTGTAATCCCAGCAATTTGTGAGGCTGAGGCGGGAGGATTGCTTGAGGCCAGGAGTTTGAGATCAGCCTGAGCAACATGGGAAGATTCTGTGTCTACAAAAAATACAAAAATTAGCTGAGCGTGGTGGCATGTGCCTATAGTCCTAGCTACTTGGGAGACCGAGGCAGGAGGATCGCTTGAGGCCAAGAGTTGGAGGCTATAATGAGGTACGATCACACCACTGCACTCCATCCTGGGTGTCAGAGCGAGATCCTGTCTCTAAAAAAAGAAAGAAAGAAAAGGGGAGAATCTTTATTTCCTAACATCCTGCAGCCCTGACACTTTTCTTACCTTAGCAATTCAAACATGGTTAAAAAAAAAAAAAAGGAGGGGGTGCCAAGTGCGGTACTTCACACCTGCAATCCCAGCACTTTGGGATGCTGAGGCGGGTGGATCACCTGAGGTCAGGAGTTTGAGACAAGCCTGACCTACATGGTGAAACCCTGTCTCTACTAAAAAAATACAAAAAATTAACCGGGCCTGGTGGTGGGCACCTGTAATCCCAGCTACTCTGGAGGCTGAGGCGGGAGAATCGCTTGAGCTGGGAGGCGGAGGTTGCAGTGAGTCGAGATGGTGCCATTGCACTCCAGTCTGGGCAATAAGAGAGAAACTCTTTCTCAAAAAAAAAAAAAAAAAAAAGAACTAGGCCAGGTGTGGTGGCTCACGCCTGTAATCCCAGCACTTTGGGAGGCTGAGGTAGGTGGATCACCCGAGGTCAGGCGAGACCAGCCTGGCCAACATGGTGAGACCTTGTCTCTGCTAAAAATACAAAAATTAGCCAGGCATGATGGTATGCGCCTGTAATCCCAGCTACTTGGGAGGCTGAGGCAGGAGAATTGCTTGAACCCTGGAGGTGGAGGTTGCAGTGAGGTGACAGGGCGCCATTGCACTCTAGCCTGTGCGACAAGAGCAAAACTCCATCTCAAAATAAATAAATAAATACATACATACATACATACATACATAAATAAATACAATAAAAAGAACTAAAGCCTCCTTTTCAAGTAGTACAGGTTAGAAGCAAGAATATTAGCTGGAGAGTCAAGAAAACAAATTGTATTCCTGCTCCTACCCCTAATGAGCTGTGTGCCCTTTGGATGATGCCTTAACATCTTGGAGTTTCCTTGTCTAGATAAATCAGAATGATAATATTTGCCATTTTTTGAACACCCTTGATATGACAGGGATTTTTACCTGCTATTTTATTAATCTACACAAATACCCAATGAGGTAGGGTGGGTTATCCCCATTTTAGAGATAAAGACATTAAGACTTAGCTAGGAGAACTGACTTGCTTAAAAATATGTATGTGTAAGTAGCAGGAACAGCTCTTTTGTATTCCAAACCCCCATTCTGCCCCTGCAACTAAGAAAGGTGGGGGCGGGGTGGTGGCTCAAACCTGTAATCCCAGCATTTTGGGAGGCCGAGGCAGGAGGATCACTTGAGCCAGGAGTTCAAGACCAGCCTGGGCAACGAAGCAAGACCCTGGTTTTTTTTTTTTTTTTTTTTTTGAGACAAAGTTTTGCTTTTGTTGCTCAGGCTATAGTGCAATCGCATAATCTTGGCTCACTGCAGCCTCTACCTCCTGGGTTCAAGTGATTCTCTTGCCTCAGCCTCCTAAGTAGCTGGGATTGCAGGCATGTACCACCACGCCTGGCTAATTTTTGTATTTTTAGTAGAGATGGGGTTTCACCATGTTGGTCAGGCTGGTCTTGAACTCCTGACCTCAGGTGATCCACCCGCCTCAGCCACCCAAAGTGCTGGGATTACAGGCATGAGCCACTGCGCCCAGCCAGCAAGATCCTGTTTCTACAAAATATAAAAAATTAGCCAGGTGTGGTGGCATGCACCTGTAGTCCCAGCTACTTGGGAGACTGAGGCAGGAGGATCACTTGAACCCAAAGGCAAAAAAAAAAAAAAAAAAAAAAAAGAAGAAAAAGAAAAAAAAAACTATTTTTATTGCTTAGGGACAAAGTTTCTGACTTCCATAAACTCAAGATCAGCTGGCACGGTGGCTCATGCCTGTAATCCCAGCACTTTGGAAGGCCGAGGCGGGCGGATCACTTGGGGTCAAGAGTTTGATACCAGCCTAACCAACATAGTAAAACCCTGTCTCTACTAAAAATACAAAAATTAGCCAGGGGTGATGGTGGTCGCCTGTAATCCCAGCTACTTGTGAGGCTGAGGCAGGAGAATCGCTTGAACCGGGGAGGCAGAGGTTGTAGTGAGCCAAGATTGCAACACTGTACTCCAGCCTGGGCAACAGAGTGAGACTCTGTCTCAAAAAAAAAAAAAAAAAAAAAAAAAAGCTCAAGGTCTGGAGTCAAAGCCTCTACCTCTCCCAGATATCTCCTCCCACTGTATTTATCACCTTGGTTAAAATCCAGGGAAGGGAACAATCAGCAACTTGTTCCACTCGGGGTAGAACTTGGCAGGAACTCTCGAAGTTGCTGTTACTACCTTTCCATTGCAAGGCAATTCATAAATGTCTAAATTTCCATAGTACATCTTGGAGGCTGCATGAGGGAGAAAGAGCCAGCAACCCTTATGCCTACAGACAAAAATTAGTTTTTTTTTTTTTTTTGCTATGGGGTCTCACTCTGTCACCCAGGGTTGAGGGCAGTGGCACGATCTTGGCTTACTGTAACCTCTGCTTCCTGGGTTCAAGCGATCCTCCCACCTCCTACAGGTGTGAGCCACTGTGCCCTGCCTATCTGGCCCTTTATAGAAAAATGTTTGCCATCTCCTGTTCTAGATAAAAGTAGCCATCTGAGCAGGGATGAGGGAGGGTCTCACCATTCGGGAGGTAAATATCTATTTAATCCTCTTGTTTTCTCTGTAGCGTCCACACCCTCAACTGTGCCCGGTATTCCTCAGGCCAGCGGGGTCTGATTGCTGGCCTGAGGGGTGTGGGATCTCAGACCCACCATGGATGGGCAGCCCTAAACTTCCTTCTCCCACCTTCAATGGTTAAGTCTTTACTTCTGTTGGTATAGAGTGGTGGCTGGGCTTGGACTTTTCAGGAAGGAGACTGGAAGGTGTTCCTCTGGAGAAACTGACCCAGGGCTAAGAGCTACAGATACTGGCCGGGCATGGTGGCTCACGCCTGACATCCCAGGACTTTGGGAGGCCGAGGCAGGTAGATCACCTGAGGTCAGGAGTTCGAGGTCAGCCTGGCCATCATGGTGAAACGCCGTTTCTAATAAAAATAGAAAACTTAGCCGAGTGTGGCGGCAGGCGCCTGTAATCCCAGCTCCTCGGGAGGCTGAGACAGGAGAATCGCTTGAATCTGGGAGGCAAAGGTTGCAGTGAGCCGAGATCGTGCCACTGCACTCCAGCCGGGTAACAGAGTGAGACTCTGTCTCAAAAAAAAAAAAAAAGGTCACTTTATACCACACTTTGCTCTTGTTAATCAGACTCTGCAAATAGCAAGTGACTGAACCCTGCGATTCAGTTACAACAAAGACATTTGAATGGACAGAGAAGATGTTTGAGGAAAGCTCCTACCTTTTTTTTTTCTTTTTTTTTGACTGAGTCTTCCTCCATCACCCAGACTGGAGTGCAGTGATGTGATCACGCTCACTGCAGCCTCAAACTCCTGGGCTCAGGCAATCCTCCCATCTCAGCCTCCTGAGTAGCTGGGACTACAGGCGTGTGCCACTATACCCAGGGAATTTTTGTATATTTTCTTGGTAAGGACGAGGTTTTGCCATGTTGCCCAGGGTGGTCTGGAACTCCCGGGCTCAAGCCATCCTCCTGCACTGGTCTACCAAAGTGCTAAGACTACAGGCGTGAGCCACCACACCTGGCCAGTGCTAACCTCTTTAATGAGGATTGTTATTGCTTTTTCTTGAAGTTTTGATTGCAAATATATATAGTTTTCAGTAGTTTGCCCAACTCTATTAATTTTGGTCTTGTTTTGCGTGCCAGACAGGGGCTTTCAAACAGAACAATACAGTTCATAAGGAACACAGGTTTAATAATTGCTCAGAGGAAAAAAGACCTACCTGGTACCCTCTCCACAAAGACAAATCCAAAGACACAAAAGAAAGGGAGGGCCGGGCATGGTGGCTCATACCTGTAATCCCAGCACTTTGGGAGGCCAAGGCTTGAGCCCAGGAGGTCGAGGCTGCTGTCAGCCGAGACCATCACGCCACTGCACTCCATTCTGGGCAAAACAGCCAGACCCTGTCTCAAAAAAAAAAAAAAGTGATTTACAAAGTATATTTATTTTTTAAAAGATACATTATCATGCTTGCTTTCACTCAGATAAAAATGCTACAAGATATTTTATGGGTATAGTAAGAGACAGTATGATGCCCTATTCAAATTTTGTGAAAATTGAATAGGTTGCTATCATTTCTACATACATCTTTCTTAACACTTTCTGGAATTTACTCCTCTTCCTCTTTCCACATTGCTTACTGTACAGAGAAGGAGGCTCCATAATGGGAAGGGATACTATCACATTTTTAATGATTATTAACAGTAAAAACAATGATAAACCTCCGACGTATTAATACTACCTGCCACACACACTGTGGTGGATGCTTTCTACAAATTAACCTAATCCATTCCTCCCTATTACAAGATATTATTGCTATGCCCCTAGAAACAAGGGATTTGAAAGTCAGAAAGGTTAAATAAATTGGCCAATAAGTGGCAGTCAGTTCTCCTGCTATACTATTTCTAGAAAACAAACCTTTATTTTTTAAGGGGCTTGGCTATTT
This sequence comes from Homo sapiens, assembly GCF_000001405.40. Classification (NCBI taxonomy): domain Eukaryota; kingdom Metazoa; phylum Chordata; class Mammalia; order Primates; family Hominidae; genus Homo; species Homo sapiens. The sequence goes on along the minus strand of NC_000007.14, from coordinate 99,998,840 downwards.
TGAGCAGAAGTGATCTGTGGTCACACAGATCTTAATCACCACTCCCCGACAGAGAATAAACATTTATCAGGATGGGGCCGGGGAAGGTGGCTCACGCCTGTAATCCCAGCAATTTGGGAGGCCGAAGTGGGAGGATCACTGAGGTCAGGAGTTCGAGACCAGCCTGGCCAACATAGCGAAACCCTGTCTCTATTAAAAATACAAAAATTAGCTGGGCTTGGTGGCAGGCGCCTGTAATTCTAGCTACTGGGGAGGCTGAGGCAGGAGAATCGCTTGAACCCGGGAGACGGAGGTTGCAGTGAGCCGAGATCGTGCCACTGCACTCCAGCCTGGGCAACAGAGCAAGACCCTGTCCCCCATCCCAAAAAACCAAAAACAACCATTTATCTGGATGGTGTCGAAATATTTACCACTTCCCCTGCACTTCTGACTTTTCGAACTTTGTGCTTTTGCCTGAGTTCCATCTGGAATGTTCTTCTTGGATGGTGGAGCATGTCGTCCACCTAACCAATTCCTACCTCTCCTTTGAATACACACCACTTAGTGGAAGTCTTCCCTGATCCCTGCCGACAAGCTTTTCAACTGCATCTCTCTCTTAAGCTAACCCAAGTCAGTACCGGCACCCTTGCTGGAATGTCCCATTTTGGGAAAGGCAGTATTTCTTGTATGAATCTTCATTTGCTCTCTACTGGGGGTAAGTGCACGTTAGAGAATAATGAAAACTTCAAGTCAAGGGATGCAGAGTGCGTTTACCAGTTCAACAACCTGGACTTTCTACCAGGCCATTTTCAAACTGAGCTGCCACGGACAGCAGCATGGACTTTGGTGCTAGCGGGGTCGGCCTGAAATCTGCAGCCTGCATGCTCCAAGGATGCCTGAAAAGAAGGGTCGAACCATGGGCCGCTCCCAGGACCCACCCTTTTAGTCTTCCCAGCTGGCTCAGGAAACAAAGGGGGGCCGGAGAGAGGCGGCGCCCAGGGCGCAACAGCCGGAGACTGGCGCTGCGTGCCTGGGGACAGAGGCCTCGTGCTAGGAGCCCCAAGCAACTACACACCTAGCCGCTGGCAAGAACAAACAGCAGTGACAGCAACAAACAGAACCGACAGCCGCAGACCGCCGTCGCTGCGGCCCACAAAGGCCGGAAGTGTGGCGGGTGCCGGCGGCCGAGGCGCCCTCTCTAGGACTTCGGAGGGCCCGCATCTCGGTGGTTCCCTATACTGGAAGACCCCCGATTCCCAGGGCGTGTACCCTACGACGGGGGCCTCAAAATGAGTCAAAAGGGAGAAAAGCCTGGGCGCAGTGACTCGTACCTGTAATCCCAGTCCTTTGGGAGGCCGAGGTGGGAGGATCGCTTGAGGCCAGGAGTTCGAGACTGGCCTGGGCAACAGAGAGAGACCTGGTCTCTACCAAGAATTAATAAAATGAGCCGGGTGTGGTGGGGCACACCTGTAGCCCCAGCTATTCGGGAGGCTTAAGTGGAAGGATCACTTGAGCCCTGGAGTCAGAGGCTGCAGTGAGCTTTGCTTGCACCATTGCACTCCAGCCTGGGAAACACAGTGAGACCCCATCTCAAAAAGGAAAAAAAAGGAAAGAAGAGAGGGAAGGAGAGAGGGAGGAAGGACAGAGGGAGGGAGGAGGGAGAGAGGGAAGGAAGGAAGAGAGGAAGGAAGAAAGGAAGGAAGGAAAGAAGGAAGGAAGGAAGGAAGAAGGAATCGAATTCAGCGGCTCACCTGTGGAAGAGGAAATCCATTTACAATGCATCCAGGCCTGAGTTTCAGCTGAGGGGTTGGAGCATGGCTGATTATCATCCTGGCTTCCCCCAGAGACCAAGGAAACTGAGGCCTGGAGCAAGTTCTTGCTTGCTCAGGGTCTCACAGTGATCCGGGTCAGAAGCCAGGACTTGTGGGACCACGATTTGTGCCCTTTGCACTGCCTGGACTGCCTCTCATCATAAATGAATACGGATAAAATTCGTTATGCTTTCAAAGTGGTAGGAAACACATGACAGATCAAAGCAGACAAAATAGTGTGCAAGACTTTTGAGAAGACGCCTCACACTCGTCGGGATGGCTACAGTTTAAATATCCCTTATCTGAAATGCTTGGGACCGGAAATGTTTCAGATTTCAGAATTTTTTTTTGACTTTGGAATATTTGCTTTACTGGTTGAGCAGCCCTAATCCCAAAATCCTAAGTCTGAAATGCTCTAATGAGCATTTTCTCTAAGTGCCATGATGGCCCTCAAGTTCTGGTTTTGTAACTTTTGGAGCTCAGATATTTGGATTAGGGATACTCTCCCTGTACTAAAAACAAACAAACAAACAAACACAAAAAACCACCACCACCACCAACAAAACAAAACAAAATAGCAGGTGTTTGGTGAGGATGTGGACAAATTGGAATCTTTGTGCATTGCTGGTGGGAACATAACATGGTGCAGCCCCCGTGAGAAATAGTACAGCGCTTCTTCAATAAAATTAAAAATAGAATTGGCTGGTGTGGTGGCTCCCGCCTGTAATCCCAGCACTTTGGGAGGTGAAGGCAGGCGGATCATTTGAGATCAGGAGTTCCAGACCAGCCTGACCAACATGGCAAAACCCTGTCTCTACTAAAAATACAAAAAAAAATCAGCTGGGCGTGGTGGCTCACGCCTGTAATCCCAGCTACTCGGGAGGCTGAGGCAGGACAGTTGCTTGAACCTGTGAGGGGGAGGTTGCAGTGAGCAAAGATGGTGCCACTGCACTCCAGCCTGGGCGACAGAGCTAGATTCTGTCAAAATGAAATGAAATGAAATGAAATAAAATAAAATAAAATAATCTCTGAAGGCTAAAGAGAGAAATTGGGTCAGCTGAAGAGTTTACAGATTTGCAGAGAATAGAGGCAAGGAAGCTTTGTGAACTACTTTTAGGTTGTGAAACTTGGTCTTGATTCAGCCCCCACATGGTCTTCATATACAAAGCTTCTTTGCAGAGGAAGCTCTTTGGAGAAAGATAACTGGTGAGATAGAAAGCACAGCCAAGAGATAACAAGGGAGACTTCTCTGGAGAATTTTGTGGATGAAGAGGAAAAACAAATCCATAAGGTCATGGGGATAATGAGTTATTTGAAATCAGAAAGAGTGATTAACATGGAGGCGGGGCGCAGTGGCTCATGCCTGTAATCCCAGCGCTTTGGGAGGCTGAGGCAGGCGGATTGCCTGAGGTCAGAAGTTCGAGACCAGTCTGGCCAACATGGTGAAACCCCATCTCTACTAAAAATACAAAAAAATTAGCCGGGCGTGGTGGTGTGCACCTGTAATCTCAGCTACTCGGGAGGCTGAGACAGGGGAATTGCTTGAACCAGGGAGGTGGAGGTTGCAGTGAGCCGAGATTTCGCCACTACACTCCAGCCTGGGCAACAGGGCGAGACTCCATCTCAAAAAAAAAAAAAAAAAAAAAAAAAAAGCAAACCAAACCAAAGCACACAAACAAATAAACAAACAAAAAACATAAGGCAATTCTCTACAGGTGTTTTACTGCTAGAAGATCATGCTCCTCATTTCCTAAAGACTCACAGAGAACAGAAGACTGGTTGCATGAGAAGTGAATAACAAGAGGTTATAGTGCTTATTTGGGTTGGGGGCAAACATGACATTTCAATATTAACTTGTTTATTTATTTATTTTTCGGTTATACATCATTGCTGGTATATGTACTTTATTTTATTTTTTAGAGATGGGGGGTCTCGCTATGTTGACCAGGCTGGTCTCGAACTCCTGGCATCAAGCCATCCACCCATCTTGGCCTCCCAAAGTGTTGGTATTACAGGTGTGAGCCGCTGTGCCCAGGCTAACTCGTTTTTTTTCTTTGGTCCAGCAAGGCTTGTGAATGTGTCTGGGAACGACGTAAAATCTGGCTTGAAAAAAAAACTCTCAACTCAAAGCTCCAAGACAGAGCTGAGATGCTTTTGAAGGAGACAGCCTCATTGGTCTCCTTGTCGGAGAGGCCCCAACTTATCAGTAAATATTGGTTAACATCTATCATCTGGTGGGACTAAGCATGGAACCAATTGCCCTTGCACAGAAGGCCACGTATTGTAGTATTCAACATAGATGGAATGACCAGGAAAGGCAAAACCACAGATATAAAAAGTAGATTAAGGCCAGGCGCGGTGGCTCACCCCTGTAATCCTAGCACGTTGGGAGGCCAAGATGGGCGGATCACCCACCAGCCTGGTCTATATGGTGAAACCCCGTCTCTACTAAAAATACAAAAATTAGCCGGGCATGTTGGTGCGCGCCTGTAATCCCAGCTACTCGGCAGACTGAGGCAGGAGAATCGCTTGAACCCAGGAGGCGGGAGGCGGAGGTTACAGTGAGCCGAGATGGCACCACTGCACTCCAGCCTGGCGACGGAGCAAGAAAAAAAAAATAAATAAAAAATTGCTAAGATTGTTATTAAATCCGCTGGGAGAGTCTTTCATCATGTTAGCAGGATCATTGTGTCCTCTGGTGGCAATAACACGCGACTGCAACTGACTTGCCTGTGCAGAAAAATCTTTCCTGAATCCTGAAAGCTGCATTCTGTTCTATTAGCTTAAGAAGGAAATCTGACACTGATCCGCACGGTGTGTTTTATGATCCTGCACATAAAGATTAGGTGCTCAAGGATGCAGAGGAGCCCACTGCTCCCAGAGCAGGTGCCTGAGCCTAGGAGGCATCTGACCAGAGTCTCTGTCGCCCAAGCTGGAGTGCAGTGGTGCGATCTCGGCTCACTGCAACCTCTGCCTCCAGGGTTCAAGCGATTCTCCTGTCTCAGCCTCCCAAGTAGTTGGGATTATAGGCACGCACCACCATGCATGCCTGTAATTTTTTGTATTTTTAGTAGAGACGGGGTTTCACCATGTTGGCCAGACTGGTCTCAGACACTTGACCTCAGGTGATCTGCCCGCCTCGACCCCCAGAGGGCTGATATTACAGCGTGAGCCACCGTGCCTGGCCGAACGACAGGATTTCAAGCCTGAACTCGAGAGGTAGCCCAGACTGGGGATCTGCACTGGGAAGTCATCCGCAAGGACGTGGTGGCTGGAGCTATAGACAAAGGGAAAGTTATCCAGGGAGAGTGAGGGTGTGGAATGGGGAGAGAGAGGGCCCGCAACACAGTCCTAAGGAACACCAGCACTTTTTTTTTTTTTTTTTTTTTTTGAGACGGAGTCACCCAGGCTGGAGTGCAGTGGCATGATCTCGGCTCTTTGCAACCTCCACCTCCCAGGTTCAAGCAATTCTCCTGCCTCAGCCTCTCAAGTAGCTGGGATTACAGACGCCCACCACCATGCCCAGAATTTTTGTAGTTTTAGTAGACACGGGTTTCACCATGTTGGCCTGGCTGGTCTTGAACTCCTGACCTCAAGTGATCCACCTGCCTAGGCCTCCCAAAATGCTGGGATTACAGGCATGAGCCACCGTGTCTGGCCCAGTTATCGCTTTCTGAGAGAGGAGTTTCTCCAAAGTTTTCAGTTTGACATAATCAATATAACCATCCTGCGTATTAGGGGATGGCTGGTTCTTCACTCCTTCAGCATCTTTGGTTAACCGGTACCTCGACTTGGCCATATCCACAGGTGGGGGAGGTCAGGAGATGTCACCCCTAGTCACTGGGGCTGTGGGGAACATGGTCTCTGAAATGGAACAAGGCTGACCAGGCCGATGGATGGCTCACAGTGTCTGCTGGAGGTTCCTTTTGCTGCTCAGGGCCAGGGCGTGGCTGGAGGAAGAGGCCCCACCCAGGAAGTTCCGCAGGGGCTTACACAGTCTTCCCAGACCCAGAAGCACAATCTCCAAAAGAGTGAACAAGAGACGGAACCCACTGACCCCAAACATGGCTTTTAGAAAGATGATCTTCTCCGAGGGGTGGGAAAAGGTGCAAGTTAATCTATACGGGCAAGGCTCTTGGCCACATGCAAAGGAGCTGGGCATCTGGAACCCATACAGGTGGTACTGCAACCCCGGCGCTGTCCCCTCCAGGACCAGCTGAGCTCCCAGCTGAGCCACATAAGCTCAGAGCAGCCTGAGGCTTCCAGCCCCTGGGGTATCTCTGCTGCTCTCCCCTCCCTGGATCAGGGTGTCCTCTTCCTCCGTCCCCTTTCATGATTCTTCCCAGTGCCAGATCACGTGATACAGAGTGAAACCCATGTAGAGGACGCTAGGTACAGCCACCAAGATGACCTGGAAGACCCAGAAACGCAGCGGGGAGAGCGGGTGGAAGGCATCGAAGCAGGCAGCCTTGCAGCCCGGCTGCTGGGTGTGACACACGAATTCACTCTGCTCATCGCCATAGACTCCAGGCCCACTGGCAGCCAGCAGCACAAGGCGGAATCCCAGGAGCACGGGAAACAGGAGGCGCCCCACGGGGGTGGAGTGCCAGCTCTCCTCCGCCAGCAGCCACCACCTCAGGAACCTGCCACACATCCTGTTAGGGAGTTTTAAAAAAAGATTATTACACGTTATTGATTTTTTGTTTTTAAAGACCTCTGTTGCCCAGGCTGGAGTACAATGGTGTGATCATAGCTCACTGCAGCTTCCAACTGTTGGGCTCAAGCAATCGTCCTGCCTCGGCTTCCTGAGTAGCTGGGACTACAGGTGCATGACACCACGCCCAGCTAAGTTTTAATGTTTTTATAGATATGGGGTCTTGCTATGTTTCCCAGTCTGGTCTCAAACTCCTGACTTCAAGCAATCCTCCTGCCTCGGCCTCCCAAAGTGCTGGGATTACAGGTGTGAACCATTGCACCAGGTTATGAGTGATTTATTTTTTATTTTTTGAGACAGAGTCTTGCTCTGTCGCCTAGGGTGTAGTGTAGTGTCGCGATCTCTGCTCACTGCAACCTCTGCCTCCCGGCTTCAAGAGATTTTCCTGCCTCAGCCTTCTGAGTAGCTGGGATTATAGGCGTGCACCACCACAGCTGGCTAATTTTGTGTATTTTTAGTAGAGATGGGGTTTCACCATGTTGGCCAGGCTGGTCTTGAACTCCTGACCTCAGGTGATCCACCTGCCTTGGCCTCCCAAAGTGTTGGAATTACAGGCGTGAGCCACTGTGCCGGGCCATGTATTGATTTATGACTTTGCCTGTAACTTCTGCTTCTCTGCCTCTAAAAACCCTTACCTACAAGCCATTGGGGAATTTAGGTCTTACACTTGAGCTGGCTGATTCTCCTTGCTTGGCACCCTGCAATAAATGCCTCAGTTTCTCTCACTGGAATCCACATGTCAGTGTTTGCAGCACCCGGTGGTTGGACCCAAGTTCGATGAGGTAACAGACGTCCACTGGGTGTGCTGTAATCCCGCGGAGGTTTTCCTCCATAATAAAAGGCAGGAATTGGCTGGGCGCCGTGGTTCATGCCTGTAATCCCAGCACTTTGGGAGGTCGAGGCGAGTGGATCATCTGAGGTCAGGAGTTGGAGACCAGCCTGGCCAACATGATGAAACCCCGTCTCTACTAAAAATACAAAAAATTAGCTGGGTGTGGTGGCGGGCGCCTGTAATCTCAGCTACATGGGAGGCTGAAGCAGGAGAATCGCTTGAACCCAGGAGTTGGAAGTTGCAGTGAGCCGAGATCGCGCCACTGCACTCCAGCCTGGGCAACAAGAGTGAAATTCCCTCTTAAAAAAAAAAAAGACGGCGAGAATTGTGTGAGTTGTGCGAGGAAGACCGGATGACCGTTATCTCATGGCCTTTGCATCCAGGCTTTGAGCCAAATTCTCAAGGACTGGATCCTAACACTTGGCTGCAACTATTTCCTTGACCACTAGGGGGCAGGCAAAAGCCATAGCGAATCCGGCCTAGCGCTGATTGGAACCTGCTTGAGAAAAAGACCTCTTTGTTTAAGCCGGCGGTCCCCAATCTCTTTGGCACTAGGGACCGGCTCCGTAGAAGACAGTTTTTCCACGGACTGGGGAGGGGAATGGTTTTGGGATGATTCCAGTGCATCCCGTTTATTGTGCACTTTATTTCTATTATTATTACATCGTAATATATAATGAAATAATTCTACAACTCGCCACGGTGTAGAATCAGTGGGAGCCCTGAGCTTGTTTTCTTGCAACTAGATGGTCCCATCTGGGGTTGATGGGAGACAGTGACAGATCATCAGGCGTTAGATCTCATAAGGAGCGGGCAGCCTACATACCTTTCTTGCACAGTTCACAATAGGGTTCGTGCTTCTGTGAGAGTCTAATGCTGCTGCCGATCTGACAGGAGGTGAGCTCAGGCGGTAATTGGAGCAATGGTCGGGGGGTGGGGGAGCAGCTGTAAATACAGATGAAGCTTCGACCCTGCAGCTCACCTTCTGCTGCGTGGTTCGGCTCCTAACTGGCTATGAACGGGTACCGGGAGTTGGGGACCCCTGCCTTAGACTATCTTGTCTCTCTCTGGTGGACTCTCCTGGGGATAGTTCCCAGGTAGGCTGGAGGAATGATGCACACTGAATCAGGCAAAAGACATCAATCAGATATAGCAAGGTATACATATGTTAAGGTCCTCTTCAATTTCTCTGAGCTTTGCTTTTTCAAACTTCTTTCCCAGTAGAATTCACTGTCCCAGCCAAAAGGTTCTTCGTGGTCGTCAGAAATATTTAGTGCTTTCTATTGCCTTTGCTTACGTATTTATTGATTCATCCAGAAATTATGTATTAATTACCTATTGTATTAATATGTGTATTTATTTATTTATTTTTGAGACACGGTCTTGCTCTGTTGCTCAGGCTGGAGTGCAATAGTACAATCATAGCTCACAGCAGCCTTGACCTCCCATGCTCAAGTGATCTTCCTGCCTCAGCCTCCCAAGTAGCTGGGACTACAAGTGTGTGCCACCATGCCCAGATAATTTTTTATTTTTTTAAATGTAGAGACAGGGTCTTGCTATGTTGCCCAGACTGATCTGGAACTCCTGGCTCAAGCAATCCTCCCACTTTGGCATCCCAAAGAGCTGAGATTACAGGCATGAGCCACTGTGCCCGGACCTATTGTATATTTGATTCTCTGGTAGGCACTGGAGACTCAAAAGAACAGGGAATGTAAAATCCCATTCTGCATGGAAATCTTTTGACCTCGACTTGGCAAGCTGTCTTAGGCCTCCACATCTCTCTGAAATCCGAATTGCTCCAGGAAGTTTTCCCTGAGTATCTCAGTAGCCCTGTGTCCCTCTCCTCCTGCCCCACACCTGCCCAGGACTTGAATCCTGTGGCTTCTCTCTCCTCCTTTATCATCATCCATGTCTCCTGTTATAGATGAGGTCACATCTCCTATTCCAATTTTCCTTAGCCCTGGTCTGATCATGTGGATTTTGGTTTCTTCGTTGATCTTAAATGTTTAACTTTCACCTTTTATTTGCTCCAAGTGTCCTCATATTCACATTTCACATGCTATATTTTTTCCTCTTGATTATTTGCATTTTCTTTTTTTGAGACAGAGTCTTGCACTGTCGCCCAGGCTGGAGTGCAGTGGCGAGATCTCAGCTCACTGCAACCCCTGCCTCCTGGGTTCACGTGATCCTCCTGCCTCAGCCTCCCCCGTAGCTGGGATTACAGGCACACATCACCAAACCCAGCTATTCTCCTGCCTCAGCCTCCCAAGTAGCTGAAATTATAGGCACACACCACCACACCCGGCTAATTTTTTGTGTTTTCAGTGAAGACGGGGTTTCACTATGTTGGCCAGGCTGGTCTTGATCCTTGACCTCGTGATCCGCCCGCCTGGGCCTCCCAAAGTGCTGAGATTATAGGCGTGAGCCACCGCGCCTGGCGACTATTTGCATTTTCTTTCCTGAACTTGGCTACTGTTCATATAGGATGTTTTTGCCCTGGAAGGGAGAAAGGTGGATTTCATGTAGACTTTAAAAAAAAAAGTAATTTCTCAGCTTTGATTTTCAAATTGGAGTCGAAGAGTTAAAACAAAAAATTGTAGCCTTCAAATTTAGGCTTTCATGAAAGATAAGATGATTAACTCAGAATTCCAAAGACTGGGAATGATTCTTCTATGGAACCCAGCTTGGAGGATGGATTTTGGAATAATCCAGAGTGGGAGGCTGAGTATAGGATGTAAAGAAAGTTCTTGTCGCTAGACACAGTGGCTCACGCCTGTAATGCCAGCATTTTGGGAGGCCGAGGCAGGCAGATCACCTGAGGTCAGGAGTTCGAGACGAGCCTTGCCAACATGGTGAAACCCTGTCTCTACTAAAAATAGAAAAATTAGCCGGGCGTAGTGGCTGATGCCTGTAATCCCAGCTACTTGGGAGGCTGAGGCAGGAGAATCGTTGGAACCCGGGAGGCGGAGTTTGCAGTAAGCCAAGATTGCAACACTGCAATCCAGGCTGGGCAACAGAGCAAGACTCCATCTCAAAAAAAAAAAAAAAAAAAAAAAAAAGAAAAAGGAAGAAAAAAAGGAAAGTTCTTTTCCCACAGGAAGGAAAAGCACAGACACAGGCAGGTGAGGCTTCATGAGAAGGTCAAGGTGAGAGCTCTGCTGTGTGTTTGGGGTTGATACCTGTGCATGGCAGTTGGCGACTCATTTGAGGAAACTCACTCTCAGGGACTCAGAGGGAGTCTGAGAACCTCAGGGCCAATTCCCGCTTCATTGAGCTGTACCCTGGAGAGCTGAGAGCTCTCAAATAAGCTTTGGCTGGTGGGCCAAGGCGAACATGGTGTGGAGATGTGGAGCAGCTGGAGTGGAGGGCTGGGTCTCCCAGGAAGCCAAGAAGTGTGGGGAAACTGAGGCACAGAAGAGGCTTGGCTGTGTGAAAGAGCTTGCAGGGTTCTAGCACCTCACAGCCAGAGTGGCCATGGCCACGCCTGTGGATGTCAGCAGGGGACACCTGAACAATCCCTAAGGGACAGCGGGTCCGGGCCATGCTTGGGATTGCCCAAGTCAGGGTGCCCAGGAACCATGGCCTCCAAGGGAAACCAAGAGTTTCAGATGAATTCAGTGCTTGGGAGCAGGACCAATGAGAAAATCACATCACATTTCTATAGCATTTTACAGTTAATACTGTTCTCTGTCGTGCTTGACAAAGAGAGATGATTATTTATTAGTTTCCACAGATTAGACAATGGCGGGGGGTGGTTCAAGGTGAGATGGTTTTTGGGTCCGAGTCAGCTCAGGACAGGCATCCCAGTCTTCGGTCTCCAAATCCACCTCCTGTCTGTCCCCCCACACTGCTCCTTGGGCCTTGAGGATCCATTGACCGTGATTTCGGTGGTTCAGCTCCCACATCAGGCAGGAAGGGCAGCTACTGGGGCTGAGATCCCACATTGCCTCCAGCCCTTGCTTCCTACCTGGCCTCCCCGGGCACCACGAGGGGCTGGGCCAGGCTGCTGTGCTGCACGTGGCAGGAGTAGGGGGCTGTGTCCTGCGGGGGCACATGCACCAACAACCAGGTCAGGTAAGTGCCGTTTCCACCGTGAAGAACATCTCCCCGTAACTCAGGCTCCTGCACCTCGCCGGCCCGAGTCCAGTGCACATCAATTTTCCCTGGGTAGAAGTCGTAGGCCAGGCACTTCAGTTTCTTCTTTTCTCCTGGGGCCTGGTGGCTGGTGACCACCACAGAGGGAGGATCTGTGGAGGGATAGAGTGTGACACTGCAGGTTTGAGGTCGACTTCTCCCGGCCCAGGTCTCTTCTCACCCCTACCCCTGGATGTCAGCAATCAGCAGAGCTCTAAGCTCTGTATCTGCCCGCCCCACTGCCCCCTGCCCTGGGACACTTTCCAGAAGATCAGGGAAGGCTGAGGCTTTCCCTGATCCTTCTCTGTTGGATCATGGAATGTCCTGGCTCCCCTCTCGCCCATTCTCCACCCCACCCATGTATTGACTCTGATAAGTTGTGAATGCTCTGTGCACTTTCCCATGTTTTCCCACATCTGAGTGGGCTTTGGAGTTCTGTCCCCCAATCTCAGTCCAGCTGCTTGGTTCAGCCCATGCCTCTATCCAGCAACCGCTTCCCTGCAGCACTGCACAATCCTGAGTCTCACTATGTCTGCAATCCAAGTCTCAGCTTGCAGCCATCGATTCCATTCACACTGGCTCGCTGTTGTCTTTCTGGGGCTGACATTTTACACACCTCCCTTCTCTCCACCACCCAGATGGGAGGCATCATTGTAGAGAGAAACAACGATGGCATTTGGAATCTGAAATCTGGAATTCAAGTCCTAGCTCTTCCTTTTTTTTTTTCTTTTTTTTTTTTTTGAGACTGAGTCTCACACTATTGCCCAGGCTAAAGTGCAGTGGCGCGATCTTGGCTCATTGCAATCTAGTCCTCCTGGGTTCAAGCAATTTTCATGCCTCAGCCTCCCGAGTAGCTGGGATTACAGGCGCCTGCCACCACGCCAGGCTAATTTCTGTATTTTTGGTAGAGACGAGGTTTCATCATGTTGGCCAGGCTGGTCTCGAACTCCTAACCTCAAGTGATCCACCCACCTTGGACTCACTCCCAAAGTGTTGGGATTACAGGCGTGAGCCAGCATGCCTGGCTGCAGCTCTGCCTCTTACACACAGTGTTACCCTCACCTCTGTCACCTCCAGCTCCTCATCTCTCAATGGGTGATATTTAGGGAAGCCTACCAGTGAATCAGTGGCTTTCCTGGCCCATTCTGCCTGAAATTTTGATGTCCTCCTAGGAAAGGAATGAATCCTGGAAGTTGAAAACTGGGGTTCTACGTGACTTACATGGATAGAGGAGATTGGCCTAAGATGCTCTCTGAGCTCCCAGCCTGAGATCACCTTGGTTTTTCCCAGCTTAGCACTGGATAGCAGGAAGCAGTGAGTACCTTGCCGGTCCAGGATATTTTCGCTGTATTTCAGGTATTTCCGCAGAGTTGCAGGGCACTCCTCCTCCAGGTAAGCCTTGGCCCGCTGCACGTAGACTGGTTCTGCCTCCTACTTCTGCTTGGTGTTCTGGGCTTCCGGGACCAAGGGGACTCAGGCTGGGATTTCTTTGTTGAATTCAATGTAGTCCTTTCCATCATAGGCATTCTTCCAGAATGCTCCAGTGCTTCTGTTATTCTGGATCTCACAACCAAACCTTTCCTGCAAGGCATGAGACCCTGAAACCTCCCCTGACCCCACAGGAAGCCAGTCAGCCTAGTGCCAACTGAATAACTCTTAGTCCTGCACTCTTCACAACTCAATAGGAGGAAAGGCTTTTGCAATCTAAGCATGCAGTTCCGTAATCATGGCATATGATTTTATCTGGACGTACAGTTGACACAGAGTGGCAAAGGCTATATGGATTGGCATTTCGGGCCAATTTGAGATGAAATATGCATTCCTCCCAGCCAGGGAAGTTAAGAGAGCTACAGGCCGTGGGCAGATTTCTGTCTCTTCTGTAGCATCTCTTTTTATTTGTTTGAACTTACGGGGAGTATTTAGGAACCTGTCACAACCACACCAAAGTACATTTCCGAATTTGATAGAAATTATTTGTGATTCCATATGAGGAAAGGAAGGCTCTCCTTTTCTCTCAGTTCTAGGTGGAGTTCATATCATCACCTAAATCAACCTAATCTGTCTGACTATTTCTTTGTTTCTTTTTTTTGAGACAGAGTCTTACTCTGCTGCCCAGGCTGGAGTGCAGTGTCATGATCTTGGCTCACTGCAACCTCCATCTCCCGGGTTCAAGCAATTCTCCTGCCTCAGTCTGCTGAGTAGCTGGAATTCCAGGTGCGCAACACCACACGAGGCTAATTTTTGTATATTTAGTATAGATGGGGTTTCGCCATGTTGGCCAGGCTGGTCTTGAACTCCTGACCTCAGGTGATCTGACTGCCTTGGTGTCCCAAAGTGCTGGGATTACAGATGCGAGCCACTGCGCCTGGCCTGATCACTTCTTTCTTCCTTTCTGGTGTTTGATATCTTTATCCCAAATCTCTAAAGTCCCAACCTTCTTGCCCATTAGCAACAACTCTCAGAAATGGACCTCATAGGGCAGAGGACACAGCCTCTTCATTCTGATTATAAAAACAGGTGTTTACCTAGCACAGGTTGGTGCTGTTGGCATAGACTCTCACAGCTCTCAAGCTGTCTGGGCTCAAGTCCCAGGTCTCTTCCCGCCCCAACCTGGTGTGTTGTGTGAACTGGAGCCAGTCACCTCCTTGTGCCTTTATTTCCTCACCCCTGAAACAGCAGTGCCAAAAGCACGGTTTCAGGGGGTTATTCTGAGCATTATATATGCTCATAAATGGGCCTGGCACAAAGTAAGTGCTCAGTAAATGTCAGCTACTCTTATTTTCTAATACCCTGTGTTCATCTCTTCATCCTCCTTCCTCGTAATTATCCACTTTGCCATTTCTATTCCTGTCCATCAATGCTTCCCCCAGTGTCTTTTCTGATCACCTGTGCCCCCTCCTCTCCTATGGCTAACACACAGCCTGGGTCATTTTCCTTACCAAGACCTCCCATCCCTCATCCTTCAAACGTCTGCTTATCTCTTGCCTCCTTTGGGAAACCTTCAGATCCCATGTAGCACCTTGGGCATTTTTGTACTTAGAAGCCCATCTTTTGATACCCACTCCATGATAATTTAACACCAGCAGTTCACCAGGCCTGGGGTTGGCTGCCTTGGGGCTGGCAGTGTGGTTTGGGAGAAAGAACGCTGGGCCGGGGGCAGGGGGACCGTCTCTGCACGGGCTCTGCCACCAGCTCCTCCGACCACAGTGCAGGTGGCCCTTCCTGGGTCTGCATCTTATGGTGAGGAGGAACTTTAGGGCTGCAGGGATCTCTAACAGCCTGTGGTTTTGAATGCAGCACTTCCTGAGCCCCCAGCATGGGCTACGGTGTGTGCTGGGTGCTTTTCTCTGTTGATTCCACAAATTTCAATTGAGCCAATATTGGCTGTACCCTGTGCTAGGTGATGGAGCTGCAAGGGAGATCAGGACAGACTGTGACATCCTTCATAGAACAGACATAGTTAAATATTACAGACTTGTTTGGAGATAGGTCTCAGTGCTCCAATGTTTGCAGATTTCGACCAGATATTTTGGGAACATTTCACTGTCAACAGGTAGGACTGGCAGAGCCACCAGGTGAGCCCAGGTCTGAGTGACTTTGAGAGTGGCTCATTCTCCAGGCAACCTCCCTGGACAGGGGTGAGTCTGATGCCTTCTCATGGGGAGATCAGCCTCTGATGGGTGGGGAGTGGAGGTGAGAGGTCAGAGGTGCCTAGATAGGAAGTGACTCTGCCATCACTTCCTGTGTGACCTGAGACCTGGGATGAGGATGGGGCAATCGATGGGGAAGGGGACAACACTGTGCTGTGGGGGGGGTGGGATGCGGACATGTCTGTGTTTCTGCTGTGTCTCCTGTTCCTCCCCTGGGATTGGGACTATTTCCATCCTGCTGACCCCTTGCCACTCACACCTGGGGGGCTGCCTCTTGGGTTAGACCTTCCACCCCCGCGGTCTGTTGTTCACTGACCGTTACCGTCGTTGTAATACTCCATGATGTTGTTCAGGGTCTCCATAAAGATGTCCTCCCTGGCCTTCTGAACTTGGCTCTGCTTCTCCCAGTCCTCTACTCCTTCCGCATGTCTCCATGGTCCCAGGGGCTCAGCCTTCCTGTCTTCACTGTTGTAGTGGAAGAAGGCATGGCCATTGAGGAAGACAGTGCCCTGCAGCCTGTGGGTGCCTTTGCCAGACCTGGACAGCCCAGTGTAGAGATAGGTCAGAGAGTAATGACCTGCAAAAGAAAAGACTCTGAGGGCTGGGGTCCATGCAAGGGTGTCCCATTGTGGGGCTGCAGAGGGCCAGGAGGGGAGGCCTGGCCACTGGCCTCTTCCTCCCCAGCTCTCTCCTCTGCCATCAGCTTCACACCATTGGAGCCTCACTCAAGGAAACAGGCTCTACTTTCATGCTGGGGATGATATTTCAGAGACCATTCTGTTTCTTCACTACAGAGTTTAATCTGCTTGGCACAGAAGAAGTTAACATTTCTCAGCCTCCTTATAGATAGATTGGAACCATGTGACTGAGTTTTGTCAAACAAGAATGTGAGTGGAAGTGACTGATGTCTTTCTTCTGGTCCAAGGCTCTACCATCTGGCTTGCCCCTACGGTCTCTTATCCCTTTCGTTGACTGTGGAGGCCACAGGATGAAACAGAAGAGTCCCAAGATGCAAACAGCCTGGATCCCTGAGTCACCCTGTGGAGGAGAGGAACCTTGCCCAATCTGCATTGAACTTGACATGAGAAATAAACATTTCTAGTCTAACCGGACAAATACATATAGTTAGAAAGTGTAGGAAGGTGAATTTACTAGAAAACTCAAGAAGTGACCCAGAATGGATCAGCATAGGGTAAGGCTAGGATACCTCTCAGAATTCCTGGCATTGTATCTTGCAGTTTGGTACAAGATGGAAGCTGAGAGAGTGGGACATTTCCACAATTAGTTCCATAGTTAATTTAGAATATAATTTACATGAGTGTTAGTAATGTTGGAAGTCATATGGCAGATTTCTAATTTAAGTACTGAAGTCATTCTTGCTCATGAGTTTCTGAATGTGATTAGCCTTTAAATCAGACCTTGAGTAAAACAGATTACCCTCTACAGTGTGGATGGGCCTCATCCAATCAGTGGAAGGCATCAAGAGAAAAGGCTGAGGTCCCCCAGAGAAGAAAGAATTCTGCCTCTAGACTACCCTTGGACTCAGGACCGCAACACCAACTCTTTGCTTGGTCTCTAGCCTGCTGGCTTGCTTTGCTGGTTTAGGACTTTTAGCCCTCAGAATTGTGTGAGCCACAAGAAATATTAAATAAAACTCCTCCCTTTCTCTGTTTTGTATATACATACACGTATATATGTATATTATACATATACACATATATTTAGTGTACATATGAATATACAATGTATATTCATATATACATACGTGAGTGTTTATACAATGTATATTAGTTTTGTTTCTCTGGAGAACCCCGAATAATTCATATTTGGGTGCAGAATGGGATTAATATTATAAATGTGATTATTATAAAACTAACGTGAAACACCTATTTTGACAATTTGTAAATGTCATGAATTTTATTTTATTTTATTTATTTATTTATTTTTTTGAGACAGAGTCTCGCTCTGTTGCCCAGGCTGGAGTGCAGTGGCGCGATCTCTGCTCACTGCAAGCTCCATCTCTCGGGTTCACACCATTCTCCTGCCTCAGCATCCCGAGTAGCTGAGACTACAGGCCCCCGCCATTACGCCCGGCTAATTTTTTGTATATTTAGTAGAGACGGGGTTTCACCGTGTTAGCCAGGATGGTCTCGATCTCCTGACCTCGTGATCCACCCACCTCGGCCTCCCAAAGTGCTGGGATTACAGGCGTGAGCCACCGCGCCCGGCATGAATTTTAAACTCACACAACTGAGAAGCCATTCACTTCCATGTCTTTATCCTGCACATTCTCATGCCACAAACAGCCTCCTTCCCCTCTCCTATAAATGAATCTTGATCTCCCCAAGCTCCCACTGTCTTCTCTTCCGGCCACTCGCTTTCCAGACCCACTGCAGTGGTGTCTGAGTGTGGGGTGAGGGCACGGGTTTCCTTCTAGCACCATCCCTCCAGCCAACCTGCCTTCCCACTTTCCCCTTGGGGGCTGTTCTCTCTTTTCCTCAGCGTCAGGCAGGTGTACCCAGCCATCGGAAGGAGGGAAGGAACAGGAGCAGAAGCAGCTCCAGGCCTGTGGTTCCTGCTCCGTCCTGGCTCTCCACCCCAAGCAGGTCGCTTGGTCTTTGGAGTCTTTGTTTTCACTGTAAACTAAGGGGTTTTAGATTCAGATTCCTGAAGGTCTTATTTTGGGTGAGGGCAGAGGCTCCCTGAATGCTCCTGGAAGTGTGTGAGCTGAGGGAGTTGACAGCCTTGGACACCTGTTCCTGCCATATGCCAGGGAATCCCAGCTGCATCCAGCCCTTCTCCCAGCCACATGTCCTGTTCCTCACCTCCTTCCAGTCCTCTCCAGCACCCATCCCTTGCTTTCCCCACTCACCATCTCGGGTCTCCTGGAGGACAGCAGGACCCAGAAGCAGCAGCAGAGACAGCAGGACAGACACCATTCTTACCATTGTGTCTGCTTGGAAGGTTCTGGGCAGGAGGCACAGGTATTATCCTGGGTCCTGGGGCCATGCCCAGGGGAGGTGAATCTACAGGCCAATGGGAGTACCAGGCCGGGCTCCTCCCCTGACAGTAAGAAAGAAGTATGCACAAGCCAGGCTGGGCAGAGGTTGTGATCAGTGAGTCTACACACAGGATATGCAAATTTAGAGCTGAGACAGTTGATCTCTGGACTGAGGATTTGTGTGTGCCTGGGGCGGAAGGATGCCAGTGTGTGGGAGGTGTGTGTGATGGGTGGCAGGTGCCTGGGATGTGTCGCCCTTCCAGTCTATTATGACACCCTCTGGGGTCACTTGGGTGTTGTCAGACCACACTTCATCTCTGCCTTCTGGAAAAACTCTCAACATGTCCAAGACACGGACATGGGTAGACCCCCGCTGGGGTGGGACCCTCACTCTCCCACATCCGATCCTGCCAGAGCTGTCTGGAGGACATTCCCATTCCCATCTCTCCCTCTTTCCTTTAGGTGCCTGTGGAATCCCAGCCTTCCATGATGGAAGCAGAAATAGCCGCATCCTCCTTTTGCAGCCTCCCTGGCAATAGAACGAGCAGGTGTGCACAGGGTTTATGCTCAGCAAGTCGAAGCTACTGCCTTGGATATCAGGTCAAGTGTTAGGGAAACAAAGAGGAGGGCACAGTGGACAATGTTTTCTGGTGGTCTTGGCAGGGGTTGCAACTGCCAGCTCCCGGGGCAGTGGGGCTGCAGTAGCTGCGGGGGGCGTCTTGAGCTTCAGTCCCCCGGGATGTTGTAGATCCCGTGCTGTGGCCTCTGCTGCCCCCTGCTGGCAGCTTCTGTATATTTACTGGGCCGGTTGCAGGTGTGATTTTGACTGTTGGGCTCCTCTGGAATTCTGAGCCTGGGTTCTCCATCCTTTCTGTGGATTCTGAGAGCTAACCAATAAATACGTTTATTTTCTGCTTAAGGTCAGAACTGCATTACGTTTCCAATAACAAATACTCCTGGCGGATACAGAGATTGGTACAAGGATTGTTTCCAGGCAGTATTTACTCAGGGAAATGGAGGGCTGGGAAGCTGAGGTTGGTTACTGGGCCAGATTGGGGCTGCGCAGTGAAAACACAAGAGTCTTGGGGGATTCTGGCAGGCCTGGTGTGCAGTGATAACTTCAACAGTTGGCTGAGGTATCTGTTATGGTAGATTGGTGTAGGGACCAGCCCCACAGGGTCGGAGGGTTTTTCTCCCCGTGTGCAGAGACGAGAGAGTGTAGAAATAAAGACACAAGACAAAGAGATAAAAGAAAAGACAGCTGGGCCCCGGGGACCACTACCACCAAGACGTGGAGACCGGTAGTGGCCCCGAATGTCTGGCTGCGCTGTTATTTATTGGATACAAAGCAAAAGGGGCAGGGTAAAGAGTGTGAGTCATCTCCAATGATAGGTAAGGTCACGTGGGTCATGTGTCCACTGGACAGGGGGCCCTTCCCTGCCTGGCAGCCAAGGCAGAGAGAAAGAGGAAGAGAGAGAGACAGCTTATGCCATTATTTCTGCTTATCAGAGACTTAGTACTTTCACTAATTTGCTATTGTTATCTAAAAGGCAGAGCCAGGTGTACAGGATGGAACATGAAGGCGGACTAGGAGCGTGACCACTGAAGCACAGCATCACAGGGAGACGGTTAGGCCTCTGGATAACTGCGGGCGGGCCTGACTGATGTCAGGCCCTCCACAAGAGGTGGAGGAGTAGAGTCTTCTCTAAACTCCCCCAAGGAAAGGGAGACTCCCTTTCCCGGTCAGCTAAGTAGCGGGTGTTTTCCTTGACACTGAGGCTACCGCTAGACCACCGTCCGCTCGGCAAGGGGCGTCTTCCCAGACACTGGCGTTACTGCTAGACCAAGGAGCCCTTCTGGTGGCCCTGTCTGGGCATAACAGAAGGCTCGCACTCTTGTCTTCTGGTCACTTCTCACTATGTCCCCTCAGCTCCTATCTCTGTATGGCCTGGTTTTTCTTAGGTTATGATTATGCAGCGAAGATTATTATAATATTGGAATAAATTATAATATTGGAGGATTATTATAATATTATAATATTGGAATAATAAATTTGGAAAAAACTAATGATTAATGATATTGATATATAATCATATCTATGATCTAGATCTAGTATAACTCTTGTTGTTTTATATATTTTATTATACTGGAACAACTCATGCCCTCGGTCTCTTGGCTTGGCACCTGGATGGCTTGCCGCCCACATCTCCCCCCTTTTTATTAACTAGGATCGCCATCGCCATCATTGCTTGTCGTTGACTTCGGATTTGTTTTCGGACTCCTTGGAGGCATCTGCAGGCTAAAAGGAGACAACGTAAGCATACCAATATTAATAATGCCAGTGACAACAATGATCCTCCAAGGGGTTTGATCTATTTAAAGGGATTAAGATCAGATAATTGTTTAGTTATGCCTTCAAAAATGTCTGAGCCAGGAACAGTGGATAAATGAGCTTGTGAATCCTCGAAAATTTGCTCTTTAAGTTTTGAAATATCCAAGGTTAAGTTATCATCCCAGGCTTTTAAATGTCTTGAGACATTTTCCCAGCTATGTTGATATTTATTATAAGCATAAGGCATTATGCAATAATCAGAAGTATTCCAATCACTCTGTAATTGCATACGGTGTTCCAAATTCATATCTCCCAGCCAGATTACACTTTGGCGGAGATCATTAATTTGATTAGCTAATTTTTGATCAATTTGAGCCTGAGAATTCCAAAGTCTGGAGGAGTTTTTCTGCCATGCTTCAATTCAACATATTGAACGGTTTGAACAGAATTGTGGATGGCAACTCCAGCAGTTGCTGCTGTTGCAGTAACCGCAATTAGTCCTGCAATGATGGCAATAAGAGTAAAAATAAATCTCTTTGTTCTTTTGCGGATACCTTTAAGAACTTCATTGACTATGTGAATAGAGGGGGAAGACTCCCATGGACGATGTAAAGAAACTGGTATCCATACCCCCTCCCTAGCCCTTACCAAGAGAGTACTTGTAGTGGGATTAAAAGTAGCATCAATGCACGTGAACAGCTTACAGTTATCACATTCTATAGTTTGTGTATTGGGAATGATAATTATATTTCCAACCAACAGCATGTAAGGGGGTTTGACATAGCTCCTGATGGGTATCACCCGTTCAGATATGAGGGTGATGTTGAATGTGGGTGTTTTGGTATTAGTGTGAAGGAGTTGATAGGTAGTGTTCCATATCCTTATTCCTGTCATAGCTGCAGCTAATTTTCATAGTTGAGGATGTTCTGGGGTAACAAAGGGATGAATCATTTTTGGTCTAGGAGGAGTAATGCCTGCATCCATCCATTTAAATAGGTAAGGGGACACCCATTGTCTCAGCCTGTATGACTGCCATCCATCCTCTACATAATCTAACAAATAATTAAACTCTGAGCATGAGGTATTTTTGCTGGAGCAATCTTGCCAATAATGCCCTTTTGGAGCCCAATCAATAACAATACCTGCGGCTAGACTTTGGAGCACAACGGCCTTAGGAGCATTACAATTATTCCATAAAATTGAAGTCACTATAAAAGGTCCCTTTGTAGGTTTCTTTAACCAAAAGAGAGGCTGGGCACAGTTGCTCACACTAGTAAACCCAGCACTTTGGGAGACCGAGGCGGGCAGATCACGAGGTCAGGAGTTCAAAACCAGCTTGGCCAACATGGTGAAACCCCTGCCTCAGCTTCCTGAGTGCTGGGATTATAGGCATGTGCCACCACGCGCAGCTAATTCTTGTATTTTTTCAGTAGAGACGAGGTTTCATCATGTTGCCCAGGCTGGTCTCGAGTACCTGACCTCAACCTGAGGTGATCCAACCACCTCAGCCTCCCAAAGTGCTGGGATTACAAGCATGAGTCACCGCACCCGGGCCCCAGTCACTTTAGAATAGCATGTTGCTTTGTATTCGGAGGGTCTCTCTGCAAATAGCCCATCAACACTGAGCGTGCCTGGAAAGACCTGGTTTTCAAATAACTGGCTTCGTCTGTGTAAAACGAGTCTTGTTGTATGCATTAAAAATTATCTTGGCTGGGCGTGGTGGCTCACGCCTTTAATCCCAGCATTTTGGGAGGCTCGTTCTGTTGCCAGGGAGGCTGCAAAAGGAGGATGCGGCTATTTCTGCTTCCATCATGGAAGGCTGGGATTCCACAGGCACAGAAAGGAAGGAGGGAGAGATGGGAATGTGACTGTCCTCCAGACACAGCCTCTGGCAGGATCGGATGTGGGAGAGTGAGGGTCCCACCCCAGCTGGGGTCTACCCAGGTCCATGTCTTGGACATGTTGAGAGTTTTTCTGGAAGGCAGGGATACAGTGTGGTCCAAAAACACACAAATGCCCCTACTGGCCCAGGGGTTGTCACAATAGACTGGAAGGGTGACACATCCCAGGCGCTTGCCACCCATCACACGCACCTCCTACCCACTGGCATCCTTCCACCCCAGGCACACACAAAGCCTCAGTCCAGAGATCAACTCTGGACTCAGCTCTGAATTTGCATATCCTGTGTGTAGATTCATTCTTCATAACCTCTGCCCAGCCTAGCTTGTGTATCATTTTTTTTTCTCTATTAGGGGAGGAGCCCGTCCTGGCACTCCCATTGGCCTGTAGATTCACCTCCCCTGGGCAGGGCCCCAGGACCCAGGATAATATCTGTGCCTCCTGCCCAGAACCCTCCAAGCAGACACAATGGTAAGAATGGTGCCTGTCCTGCTGTCTCTGCTGCTGCTTCTGGGTCCTGCTGTCCCCCAGGAGAACCAAGATGGTGAGTGGGGAAAGCAAGGGATGGGTGCTGGAGAGGACTGGAAGGAGGTGAGGAACAGGACATGTGGCTGGGAGACAGGCTGGATGCAGCTGGGATACCCTGGCATACGGCAGGAATGGGTGCCCAAGGCTGTCAACTCCCTCAGCTCACACACTTCCAGGAGCATTCAGGGAGCCTCTGCGCTGGCCCGAAATAAGACCTTCAGGAATCTGAATCTAAAACCCCTAGTTTACAGTGAAAACAAAGACTCCAAAGACCAAGCGACCTGCTTGGGGTAGACAGTCAGGACGGAGTAGGAACCATATGCCTGGAGCTGCTTCTGCTCCTGTTCCTTCCCTCCTTCCGATGGCTGGGTACACCTGCCTGACGCTGAGGGAAAGAGAGAGCAGCCCCAAGGGGAAAGTGGGAAGGCAGGTTGGCTGGAGGGATGGTGCTAGAAGGAAACCCGTGCCCAAATCCCACACTCAGACACCACTGCAGTGGGTCTGGAAGGCGAGTGGCTGGAAGAGAAGAGAGTGGGAGCTCCGGGAGATCAAGAGTCACTCCTAGGATAAGGGAAGGAGGCTGTTTGTGGCATGAGAATGTGCAGGATAAAGACATGGAAGCGAATGGCTTCTCAGTTGTGTGAGTTTAAAATTCATGACATTTACAAATTGTCAGAAAAGGTGTTATATGTTTGTTATATAACAATCACTTTGGAATGTTAATCTGATTCTGTGCCAAAATCTGAATTACTCAGGGTTCTCCAGAGAAACAGAACTAATAGGTGGTACACATATACATATATATGTACGTACACATACATACATACACTGTATACACATGGATACACACACACATAGGAAGAGATTTACATATATGTATACAAAAGAGAGAGAGAGTAGAGATTTATTTTAAGAAATTGACTCACACTATTGGGAGGAGTAACAAGTCCTAAATCTTCAGAGCCGGCCAGCAGGCTGGAGACCCAGGGAAGAGTTGATGTCTTAGTCTTGATTCCAAGGGCAGACTGTAGGCAGAATTCTTTCCTCTTTAGGGGACATCTGAGGCTTTTTCTCTTAAGGCCTTCAACTGATTGGATGAAGCCCACCACTATGGAGAGTAATCCACTTTACTCAAGGTCTACTGATTTTTTTGTAAATTAAAAAAAAAACTGTGGGTGCATAGTATGTGTATATATTTATGGGGTACATGAGAGGTTTTGATTCAGGCATGCAATGTGAAATAATCACATCATCAAAAATGAGGTATCCATCCCTTCAAGCTTTTATCGTTTGTGTTACAGACAATCCAATTATACTTTTTTGGTTATTTTAGTTTTTAAAAGTATTTGATTATTTATTTATTTATTTATTTTTGAGACAGAGTCTCACTCTGTCACCCAGGCAGGAGTGCAGTGGCATGATCTCGGCTCACTGCAACCTCCGCCTCCCAGGTTCAAGCAATTTTCCTGCCTCAGTCTCCTGAGTAGCTAGGACTACAGGCACCTGCCACCACACCTGGCTAATTTTTTTGTATTTTTAGTAGAGACGGGTTTCATCATGTTGGCCAGGCTAGTCTTGATATCCTGACCTCGTGATCTGCCCGCCTTGGTCTCCCAAAGTGCCGGGATTACAGGTGTCAGCAACTGCGCCTGGCCTCTCTTTTGGTTATTTAAAAGTGTACAATTAAATTATGATTATTATTATTATTTTTGAGATGGATTCTTGTTCTGTCACCCAGGCTGGAGTGCAGTGGCGTGATCTTGGCTTACTGCAAACCTCCGCCTGTTGGGTTCAAGCAATTATCTTGCCTCGGGTGTACACTGCCACACACGGCTAACTTATGTATTTTTAATAGAGATAGGGTTTCACCATGTTGGCTAGACTGGTCTTGACCTCTTGACCTCAAGTGATCCACTCACTTCAGCCTCCCAGAGTGCTGGAATTACAGGCACGAGCCACCACACCTGGCCCCAGTTAAATTATTATTGACTATAGTCACCCTGTTGTGCTATCAAATAGTAGGTCTTATTCATTCTTCTTTTTTTTTTTTTTTTTGTGACAGAGTTGCCCAGGCTGGAATGCAGTGGTGCAATCTTGGCTCACTGCAACCTCTGCCTCCCGGGCTTAAGCGATTCTCCTGCCTCAGCCTTCTGAGTCGCTGGGACTACAGGTGTGTGCCACCACGCCCGGCTAATTTATGTATTTTTAGTAGAGATGGGGTTTCACCATGTTGGCCAGGCTGGTTTCGAACTCCTGACCTCAAGTGACCCACCTGCCTCAGCTTCCCAAAGTGTTGGAATTACAGGCATGAGCCACCACACCTGGCCCCAGTTAAATTATTATTCACTGGAGTCACTTTGTTGTGCTATCAAATAGTTTTCTAACTATTTTTTTTGTACCCATTAACCACCCTCCCAATTTCCCCCCAACCCTGCCACTACCCTTCCCAGCCTTTGGTAACCATCCTTCTACTCTCTATGTCCATGAATTCAATTGTAGGGTCTACTGATTTAAAGGCTAATCACATTTAGACACTCAGGAGCAAGAATAATTTTAGTAATTGAACTAGGATTCTGCCATATGACCTCCAACATCATTAGCACCTGTGTAAATTGTATCATAAAATAATTATGGAACTATTATGGAAATGTCCCTCTCTCCCAGATCCCACCTTGTACCAAAATGCAAGGTACAACCCCGGGAATTCTGAGCTCCATCCTAGTCTTACCCTGTGCTAATTCAGTCTGGGTCATTTCTTGAATTTTCTGGTAAATTCTCCTTTCTACCCTTTCTAACTATATGTATTTGTCAGGTTAAGCTAGAAGTGTTAATTTTTTTTTTTTTGAGATGGAGCCTTGCTTTGTCACCTAGGCTGAAGTGCAGTGGCATGATCTCAGCTCACTGCAAGCTCCGCCTCCCGGGTTCATGCCATTCTCCTGCCTCAGCCTCCTGAGTAGCTGGGACTACAGGCACCCGCCACCATGCTTGGCTAATTTTTTGAATTCTTAGTAGAGACGGGGTTTCACCATGTTAGCCAGGATGGTCTCGATCTCCTGACCTCGTGATCCACCCGCCTCGGCCCCCTAAAGTGCTGGGATTACAGGCGTGAGCCACTGAGCCCGGACGAAATGTTAATTTGTTTTTTTTGAGACGGAGTCTCACTCTGTCATCCAAGCTGGAGTGCAGTGGCATGATCTTGGCTTGTTGCAACCTCTGCCTCTCTGGTTCAAGTGATTTTCCTGCCTCAGCCTCCAGCATGACTGGGATTACAGGCCCGCACCACCATGCCCAGCTAATTTTTGTATTTTTTAATAGAGATGGGGTTTCACCATGTTGGCCAGGCTGGTCTTCAACTCCTGATCTCAAGTAATCTGCCTGCCTTGGCCTCCCAAAGTCCTGGGATTACAGGCATGAGCCACGGAGCCCAGCCTAGAAATGTTAATTTCTAACGCATGTCAGATTCCATGCACACTGGGCAAGGTTCCATTCCTCCATGGGGTGACTCAGGGATCCAGGCCAATTGCATATTGAGACTCTTTCATATTATCCTGTGGCCTTCAAAGTCGTCACCTCTAGGGATGAGAAACAAAAGGGACAAGCCAGCTGGTAGGGTCTTGGACAAGAAGAAAGACATCACTTCTGCTCACATTCTCTTTTGACAAAACTCAGTCACATGGTCCCAATATATCTTCGAGGTGGCTGAGTAATGTTATCTTCCTATGTGTCAAGCAGAGGAAATAATGTAGTGAAGACACAGGATGGTCTCTGAAATATCATCTCAGGCATGAAAGTAGAGCATATTCACTTGAGTGAGCCTCCAGTGGTGTGAAGTTGATGGCAGGAGAAAGAGCTGGGGAAGAAAAGGCCAGTGGCAGGTCTCCCCTCCTAGCCCTATGCAGCCCCACAGTGGGACCCTTGCATGGACCTCAACCATCAGAATCTTTTCTTTTGCAGGTCGTTACTCTCTGACCTATATCTACACTGGGCTGTCCAAGCATGTTGAAGACGTCCCCGCGTTTCAGGCCCTTGGCTCACTCAATGACCTCCAGTTCTTTAGATACAACAGTAAAGACAGGAAGTCTCAGCCCATGGGACTCTGGAGACAGGTGGAAGGAATGGAGGATTGGAAGCAGGACAGCCAACTTCAGAAGGCCAGGGAGGACATCTTTATGGAGACCCTGAAAGACATCGTGGAGTATTACAACGACAGTAACGGTCAGTGAATAACAGACCACAGGGGTGGAAGGTCTAACCCAAGAGGCAGCCCCCCCAGTGTGAGTGGCAAGGGATCAGCAGGATGGAAATAGTCCCAATCCCAGGGGAAGAACAGGAGACACAGCAGAAACACAGACATGTCCACATCCCACCCACCCCACAGCACAGGTGCTCCCCGCTTCCCCATCAATTGCCCCATCCTCATCCCAGGCCTCAGGTCACACAGGAAGTGATGGCAGAGTCACTTCCTATCCAGGCACCTATGACCTCTCACCTCCACACCCCACCCATCGGAGGCTGATACCCCCGTGAGAAGGCATCAGACTCACCCCTGTCCAGGGAGGTTGCCTGGAGAGTGAGCCACTCTCAAAGTCACTCAGACCTGGGCTCACCTGGTGGTTCTGCCAGTCCTAGCTGTTGACAGTGAAACGTTCCCAAAATATCTGGTTGAAATCTGCAAACATTGGAGCACTGAGACCTACCTCCAAACAAGTCTGTAATATTTAACTATGTCTGTTCTATGAAGGATGTCACAGTCTGTCCTGATCTCCCTTGCAGCTCCATCACCTAGCACAG
Organism: Homo sapiens; assembly: GCF_000001405.40. NCBI lineage: Eukaryota > Metazoa > Chordata > Mammalia > Primates > Hominidae > Homo > Homo sapiens. The sequence goes on along the minus strand of NC_000007.14, from coordinate 99,971,169 downwards.
GGTACAGCCAATATTGGCTCAATTGAAATTTGTGGAATCAACAGAGAAAAGCACCCAGCACACACCGTAGCCCATGCTGGGGGCTCAGGAAGTGCTGGATTCAAAACTGTGGGCTGTTAGAGTTCCTTGGAGCCCTAAAGTTCCTCCTTACCATACGATGCAGACCCAGGAAGGGCCACCTGCGCTATGGTCAGAGGAGCTGGTGGCAGAGCCCGTGCAGAGATGGTCCCTGTGCCCCCGGCCCAGTGCTCTTTCTCCTAAACCACACTGCCAGCCCCAAGGCAGCCAACCTCAGGTCTGGTGAACTGCTGGTGTTAAATTATCATAGAGTGGGTGTCAAAAGATGGGCTACTAAGTACAAAAATGCCCAAGGTGCTACATGGGATCTGAAGATTTTCAAAAGGAGGCAAGAAAGAGATAGGCAGATGTTTCAAGGATGTGGGGTGGGGGAGGTCTTGGTAAGGAAAATGGCCCAGGCTGTGTGTCAGCAATAGGAGAGGAGGGGGCACAGGTGATCAGAAAAGACACTGGGGGAAGCATTGATGGACAGGAATAGAAATGGCAAAGTGGATAATTAAGAGGAAGGAGGATGAGGAGATGAACACAGGGTATTAGAAAATAATAGAAGGCAGGGCTTGGTGGCTCACTCTTGTAATCCCAGCACTTTGGGAGGCTGAGGCAGGCAGATCACCTAAGGTCAGGAGTTCGAGACCAGCCCGGCCAACATGGTGAAACCCTGTCTCTACTAATAATACAAAAATAGCCTGGCATGGTGGCACACGTCTGTGGTCCCAGCTACTCAGGAGGCTGAGGCAGGAGAATTGCTTGAACCCAGGAGGCAGAGGTTACAGTGAGCCAAAATCCTACCATTGCACTACAGCCTGGGTGACAAGAGTGAAACGTTGTCTAAAAACAAAAAACAAAAAACAAAAAAAGGAAATAATAGTAGCTGACATTTACTGAGCACTTACTTTGTGCCAGGCCCATCTATGAGCATATATAATGCTCAGAATAGCCCCCTAAAACAGTGCTCTTGGCATTGCCATTTCAGAGGTGAGGAAATAGAGGCACAGGGAGTTGAGTGGCTCCAGTTCAGGCAACACACCAGGTGGGGGTGGGGGGCTGGGGAGAGACCTGGGACGTGAGCCCAGACAGCTTGAGAGCTTTCAGAGTCTATGCCAACAGCACCAACCAGTGCTGGGTAAACACCTGCTTTTATCATCAGAACAAAGAGGCTGTGTCCCCTGCCCTATGAGGTCCATTTCTGAGAGTTGTGGCTAATGGGCAAGAAGGTTGGGGCTTTAGAGATTTGGGATAAAGATATCAAACACCAGAAAGGTAGAAAGAAGTGATCAGATTAGGGTTACTTAGGTGATGATATGAACTCTTCCTAGAACTGAGAGAAAAAGAGAGCCTTCCTTTACTCATATGAAATCACAAATAATTTCTATCCAATTTGGAAGTACACTTTGGTGTAGTTGTGACAGCTTCCTCAGGACTCAGCATAAATTCAAACAAATAATTGTCCTTAGAAGAGATGCTATAGAAGAGATAGAAATATATTCATATTCTGTAGCTTTTTTTTTTTTGAGATGGAGTTTTGCTCTTGTCACCCAAGCTGGAGTGCAGTGATGCAATCTCAGCTCACTGCAAACTTTGCCTCCTGGGTTCAAGGGATTCTCCTGCCTCAGCCTCCCGATAACTGGGACTACAGGCTACAGGCATGTGTCACTACTCCTGGTTAATTTTTTTTTTTTTTTTAAGACTGAGTCTTGCTCTGTCTTTCAGGCTGATGTACAATGGCTCCATCTCGGCTCACTACAACTTCTGTCCCCCAGGTTCAAGCGATTCTCCTGCCTCAGCCTCATGAGTAGCTGGGATTACAGGCATGTGCCAGCACACCCAGCAAATTTTTGTATTTTTAGTAGAGATGAGGTCTTACCATGTTGGCCAGGCTGGTCTCAAACTCCTGACCTCAGGTGATCCTTTGGCCTCAGCCTCCCTAACTGCTGGGATTACAGGCATGAGCCACTGCGTCCAGCCTAATTTTATATTTTTGGTAGAGATGGGGTTTCACCATATTGGCCAGGCTGGTCTCGAACTCATGACCTAAGGTGATCCATCCTCCTCAGCCTCTCAAAGTGCTGGGATTACAAGTGTGAGCCACTGGGCCTGGTGCTTTTTTTTTTTTTTTTTTTTTTTTTTTTGAGATAGGGTCTCACTCTGTCACCCAGGCTGAAATGCAGTAGTGTGATTTTGGCTCATTGCAGCCTTGACTTCCCAGGCTGAAGTGATCCTCCCACCTCAGCCTCCTGAGTAGCTGGGGCTACAGGCATGCACCACCATGCTGCGCTAATTTTTATATTTTTTGTAGTGGTGGGATTTCGCCATATCACCCTGGCTGGTCTGGAACCCCTGGGCTCAAGCGATCCACTCGCTTCAGCTTCTCAAAGTGCTGGGATTACAGGCATGAGCCACAGCGCCCAGGCTGTAGCTCTCTTAAGGAGGAACATATCTCATCTGAGACAAACCTGAAATGCCAAACCAAACTGAGTTAGCCCCTCTCTGTCTGTTGTATATATTGGAGTAATAACCTATTTGTCTTGATAAAGGGATTGCATGCTTGAATTGCAAAAACCTTTATTTCTTTTGGGTTGCCCAATGTGCAAGACTAAGAGTTATTTTGATAAATTTCTCACCAGGCTGACTGTCTCTCTGTGGGGTCGGGGGAGTTTTCAGGGTCTCACGTATTGCAGGGAAGGTTTGGTTGTGAGATCGAGAATAACAGAAGCAGCGGAGCATTCTGGAAATATTACTATGATGGAAAGGACTACATTGAATTCAACAAAGAAATCCCAGCCTGGGTCCCCTTCGACCCAGCAGCCCAGATAACCAAGCAGAAGTGGGAGGCAGAACCAGTCTACGTGCAGCGGGCCAAGGCTTACCTGGAGGAGGAGTGCCCTGCGACTCTGCGGAAATACCTGAAATACAGCAAAAATATCCTGGACCGGCAAGGTACTCACTGCTTCCTGCTCCCCAGTACTGAGCCCAGAATAAAAGACGATCTCAGGCTAGGAGCTCAGGCAACATCTTAGTCCGGTCTCATCTGTTCCTGGATGTCCCTCAGACCCCCAGCTTTCATCTTTTAGGATTTATTCCTTCCCTGGGATAATATAATTTGTGGTCCAAAAAGAACATCATCAAAATTTCAGGCAGAATGGGCCAGGAAGGCCATTCTTTCTTGATGAGTGTCCCCAAATCATCTCCAATTAACAGACAAGGAGCTTGAGGTTAGGGAGGTGAGGGTAACACTGTCTGTAAGAGGCAGAGCTGGGACTCAAATTCCAGATTTCAGATTCCAAATCCCATCGTTTTTTATCTCTACAATGATGCCTCCCATCTGGGTGGTGGAGAGAAGGGAGGCGTGTAAAATGTCAGCCCCAGAAGGACAAGAGCAAGCCAGTGTGAGCGGAATTGATGGCTGCAAGCTGAGACTTGGATTGGAGACGTAGTGAGACTCAGGATTGTGCAGTGCTGCAGGGAAGTGGTTGCTGGATAGAGGCATGGGCTGAACCAAGCAGCTGGACTGAGACTGGGGGACAGAACTCCAAAGCCCACTGAGATGTGGGAAAACATGGAGAAGCACACGGAGCATTCACAACTTATTGCCGTCAGAGTCAATACATGGGTGAGGTGGGGATTGGGCAAGAGGGAAAGCGTCAGCCTTCCCTGATATTCTGGAAAGTCTCCCGGGGCTGGGGGTGGGCAGGTACAGAGCTTCGAGCTCTGCTGATCGCTGACATCCAGGGGTGGGGGTAGGAAGAGACCTGGGCCGGGAGAAGTCCACCTCAAGCCTGCAGTGTCACACTCTATCCCTCCACAGATCCTCCCTCTGTGGTGGTCACCAGCCACCAGGCCCCAGGAGAAAAGAAGAAACTGAAGTGCCTGGCCTACGACTTCTACCCAGGGAAAATTGATGTGCACTGGACTCGGGCCGGCGAGGTGCAGGAGCCTGAGTTACGGGGAGATGTTCTTCACAATGGAAATGGCACTTACCAGTCCTGGGTGGTGGTGGCAGTGCCCCCGCAGGACACAGCCCCCTACTCCTGCCACGTGCAGCACAGCAGCCTGGCCCAGCCCCTCGTGGTGCCCTGGGAGGCCAGCTAGGAAGCAAGGGTTGGAGGCAATGTGGGATCTCAGACCCAGTAGCTGCCCTTCCTGCCTGATGTGGGAGCTGAACCACAGAAATCACAGTCAATGGATCCACAAGGCCTGAGGAGCAGTGTGGGGGGACAGACAGGAGGTGGATTTGGAGACCGAAGACTGGGATGCCTGTCTTGAGTAGACTTGGACCCAAAAAATCATCTCACCTTGAGCCCACCCCCACCCCATTGTCTAATCTGTAGAAGCTAATAAATAATCATCCCTCCTTGCCTAGCATAACAGAGAATCCTTTTTTTAACGGTGATGCGCTGTAGAAATGTGACTAGATTTTCTCATTGGTTCTGCCCTCAAGCACTGAATTCATCTGAAACTCTTGGTTTCCCCTGGAGGCCATGGTTCCTGGGCACCTTGACCTGGGCAATCCCAAGTGTGGCCTGAACCCCCTTTCCCTTGGGGATTGTTCAGGTGTCCCTAGACGCCTTGTGGTATTGTACCTAATACCCATGAAGGGAGAGGATGATATTACTTGCCAGTGTACACCCCCCTGTGATATTGTTCATAATGTCCAGAGTGAAGAAAGATGATATTACTCCCAATATCACAGAAGGTGTACACCCCCCCTTGATATTGTTCCTAATACCCAGTTGGGGAGGGGAGAATATCTCTCCCAATATACAAGGGGTGTTTAAACTCTCTGTGATATTGTTCCTAATATTCAGGGGGGACAAGGATGATATTACCCAAATATTGCAGGGGTTGTACACCCCCCCTTTGATATTGTTCCTAATATCCAGGGGTGGAGAGGATATTACTCCCAATATTGCAGGGGTCTACATCCTCCCCCCGTGACATTGTTCTTAATAACCAAAAGGTGAGAAGCTGACATTACTCCCAATACCACAGGGGGTGTACACCCCCTATGAGATATTGTTCTTAATATCCAGGAGGGGAGAAAATGATATTACTCTCAATAGCGCAGGGAATTTACATCCCCCGTCGTAATCTTGTTCTTAATATTCAGGAAGGGAGAGGATGATACGACTCCCAGTATCGCAGGGGGTGTGCACCCCCCCGTGATTTTTTTGCTAATATCCAGGGTGGGAGTGGATAATACGCAGGAAGTGTACAGGTCTCTGTGATATTTTTCCTAATATCCAGGGGGGAGAGGAAGATATTACTTTTAATAGTGTACGGGGGGTGTACACCCCTCTGTGATAGTGTTCCTAACATCTTGGGAGGGAGAGGATGATATTACTCCCAATATCGCAGGGGGTGAAAACTTTTTTTTGATATTTTTCCTAATATCCAGGGGTGGAGACGATGAAATTACTCCCAATATCACAGAAGGTGTACACTCCTTTTGTCATATTGTTCCTGATATCCAGGGTAGGAGAGGATGATATTACTTCTAATATCGCAGGAAGTGCATACGCCCTTGTGATATTGTTCCTAACATCCAAAGGAAGAGAGAATAGTATTACTTCCAATATCGCAGGGGGTGTACAGCCCCCCTTGTGATATTGTTCCTAATATCCAAGATGGAGAAATTTCTATTATTCTCAATATCACAAAGGATGTACACCACCACCGTAATATTGTTTGTAATTTCCAGGGAGGGGAGAGGATAATATTACTCCCAATATCCCAAGGGTTGTACACCCCTCTGTGATATTTTTCATAATATTTAGGGGTGAAGAGGATGATATAAATGCAAATATCACAGGGGGTGGTCACTGTCTTGTGATATTGTTCGAAATATCCAAGAGGGGAGAGGATGAAATTACTCCCAATATCTCAGCGGGGGTACACCCCTCTGTGACATTCCTTGTAGTATTCAGGGGAAGAGAGGATAATATTACTCCCAATGTCGCTTTGGGTATTCATTCCCCTGTGATATTGTTTGTAATATCCAGGAAAGGAGACGATGACATTACTTTTAAAATCTAAGGGGTGTACACACCTCTGTGATATGGTTCATAATATCCAGGGGAAGAGAGGATAATATTACTCCCAATATCACAGGGGGTGTACACCCGCCTGTAATATTGTTCGTAATATTCAGGGTGGAAGAGGATGAAATTACTCCCAATATCGCAGTGGGTGTGTACCCCACTGTGATATTGTTTGTAGTATCCAGTCAAGGGGAGGATGATATTACTCCCAATACCGCAGGAGATGTACACCACTCTGTGATATTGTTCGCAGTATCCAGAGGGGGAGTGGGTAATATTATTCCCAATATCGCAGTAGGTGTACACTTCCCTGTGATATTGTCTGTAATATCCAGGGAAAAAAGAATGATATTACTCCCAAAATTTCAGGGAATGTACACCCTCCTGTGATATTGTGCATAATATGCAAGGGGGAAGAGGATGATATTACAGCAAATATCACAGGGGGTGTACAAGCCCCTGTGTTATAGTTTGTAATATCCAGAAGGGGAGAGGATAATATTACTTCCAAATCACAGGGGGTGTACACCCCCCTGTGATATTGTCCGTAATATCCAGGGGGGAGAGGATGATATTATTCCGAATATCGCAGGGGTGTACACTCTGCTGTGGTATTGTTCGCAATATCCGGGGAGGAGGATGATATCAATCCCAAGATGGTAAACACCCTGTGTGTACACCACCCTGTGATATTGTCCATAATATCCGGGGAAGGGGGGAGAAAATAATATTACTCCCAGTATCGCAGGGAATGTACACTCCCCTGTGATATTGTTTGTAATATGCGGGGGGGAGGGGAGAATATGATACTACTTCCAATATCGCAGGGGGTGTAAACCCCCCTGTAATATTGTTCGTAATATTCTGGGAGGGGAGAGGATGATATTACTCTCAATATTGCAGGGGGTATACACCACCCTCTGTGATATTGTTCTTAATATCCAGAGGAGGAGAGGATGATATTATTCCCAATATCACAGGGAGTGTACTCTCCCTTTGGGATATTGTTCCTAATATCCATGGGAAGAGAGGATAATATTACTCCCAATATCGCAGGGAATGTATATCCCCCCCTTTGATATAGTTTCTAATATCCAATTTGGGAGAGGATATTAATCCTAATATCGCATGGGGTGTACACGCTCCCTGTGATATTGTTCCTAATGTTCAGGTTGGGAGAGGATGAGGTTGTACACCGCCTGAGATATTGGGAGTAGTGTCATCCTCTCTTCCCGTTGATATTAGGAAGAATTTCACAGGAGGGGTGTACATCTTCTGTGCTTTTGGGAGTAATATCATCTTCTCCTTCCCTGGGTATTAGGAGCAATATCTCGGGGGGGTGTACATACTCTGCAATATTGGGAGTCATATCGTGTTCTCTCACCCTGGACAGTAGGAACAATATCACAGGAGGGGTGTACACCCCCTGCGATATTAAGAGTAGTATCATTTTCAGGCCGGGTGCGGTGGCTCACGTCTGTAATCCCTGCACTTTTGGAGGCAGAGGCGGGAGGATCACGAGGTCAGGAGATTGAGACCATTCTGGTAAACACGGTGAAACCCCGGCTCTACTAAAAATATAAAAAATTAGCTGGGCGAGGGGGTGGGCGCCTGTAGTCCCAGCTACTCGGGAGGCTGAGGCAGGAAAATGGTGTGAACCAGGGGGGCGGAGCCTGCAGTGAGCCGAGATCGCACCACTGCACTCCAGCTGGGGCGACAGCGAGACTCCGTCTCAAAAAAAAAAAAAAAAGTAGTATCATTTTCCCTTCCTGGATATTAGAAACAATATCACATTTGGGGTGTAAAACCCCTGCTATATTGGAAGTAATATCATCCTCTCTTTTCATGGTTATTAGGAACAATATCACAGGGGTGTATACACCTTCTGCGATATTGGGAGTAATATCATCCTTTCCCCACCTGGATGTTAGGAAGAATATTGCAGGCGGAGGGTACACCCCCTGCGATATTGCCAGTAATATCATCTTATTCCTTCCTGAATATTAAAAATAATATCTCTGGGGGGGTGTACACCCCCTTCAATATTGGGGGTAATATCATTCTCTTTCCCCCGGGATATTGGAAAGAATATCACGGGGTGGTGGTGTACACCCCCTGCGATATTGGTAGTAGTATCAACCTCTCACCCCTAAATATTAGGAACAACATCACAAAGGGGGTGTACACCCCCTGAGTTATTGGGAGTAATGTCATTGTCTATCCCCTGGATATTAGGAAAATTAACACAGGAGGTGTGTACACCTCCTGCAATATTGGGAGTAATATCAACCTTTCCCCACCAGGATATTAGGAACAATATCATGTGGGGGTGTACACCTCTTTCCATATTGAAAGTAATATCATCCTCTTTTTTCCTGGATATTAGAAACAATATCACAGGAGGTTGTACACCTCCTGCGATATTGAGAGTAATATCATCCTCTCTCCTTCTGGATATTAAAAACAATATCACAGGCAGGGTGTACACCCCCTGCAATATTGGGAGTAATATCATCCTCTCTCCACTTGGATATTAAGAACAATGTCACAGGGGGTATGTACCCCCCCTGCGATATTGAAAGTAATATCATCTTCTCTTTACCTAAATATTAGGAACAATGTCACAGGGAGGGTGTATACCCCCTGCGATATTGACCATAATATCATGCTCTTTCTTCTTGGATATTAGGACCAATATCACAAGGGGGGTGTACACCCTCTGCAATATTGGGAGTACTATTATCCTCTCCCCACCTGGATATTAGGAACAATATCACAGAGAAGGTGTACACCCTCTTCGATATTGGGTGTAATATCATCCTCTCCCTACTTGGAACAATATCACGGCATTGGGGGGAGGCTGTACACTTTCTGCGGTATTGACAGTCACATCATCCTCTCACCCCCTGGATATTAGGAACAATGTCACAGAAGGTGTGTACACGCCCTACGATATTGGTAGTAATATCCTCTCTCCACCTGGATATTAAAAACAATGTCACAGGGGGTATGTACACCCCCTGCGATATTGGGGGTAAAGCAACCTTTCCTTCTTTGGATATTACATAAAATATCACAGAAAGGGTGTACACCTCCCGCGATATTGGGAGTAATATCATCCTCTCCCCACTTGGATATTAGAAACAACATGATGGGGGTTGTACACTTCCTCCGATATTGGGAATAATATAATCCTCTTTTGCCCTCGATATTAGGAAAAATATTACATTAAGGGTGTACACCCCCTTCGATATTGGGAGTAATATTATCCTCTACCCCCCCGATATTAGGAACAATATTACCAGAGAAGTGTACACCCCCTGAGACATTGGGATAATATCCTCTCCCCGCCTGGATTTTAGGAACAATATCACAGTGGGGGTGTATACCCCCTGCGATATTAAGAGTAATATTATCACAGGGAGGTGTACACTTTTTGAGATATTGGGAGTAACATCATCCTCTCGCCCCCGAATATTAGAAACAATATTACGGAGTGGGGATACACTCCCTGCGACATTGGGAGAAATATCATCCTCTTCCCTCTGAATATTAGGAACAAAATCACAGAGGGTTGTATATTCCTTGCGATATTGGCAGTAATATCCTCTCTGCCCCTGGATATTAGGAACAATATCACAGAAGGGGTGTATCCCCCTTCGACATTGGGAGTAATATCATCCTCTCTGCCGCTGGATATTAAAAACAATATTAAAGGGGGGTGTAAAACCCCTGCGATATTAAGGTAATATCATCCTCTCCCCCCCCGGATATTAGGAACAATATCACAGGGGGAGTGTACACCCCCTGCTATATTGAGAGAAATATCATACTCTCCTCAAATGGATATTAGGAGTAATATCACAGGGATGGGGTGTACACGTTCTGCTATATTGGGAGTAATATCATCCTCTCCCTACCTGGATATTAAATACAATATCACAGGGGGTGTTACCCCCCCTGCAATATTGGGAGTAATATCATCCTCTCCCATTCTGAATATTAGGAACAATATCACAGTGGGGGTTGTACACCCCCTGTGATATTGGCAGTAATGTCATTCTCTCCCGCTTTGAATATTAGGAACAGCATCACGGAGGTTGCACACAACCTGCAATATTGGGAGTAATGTCATTTTCTCTTCCACCTGGACATAAGAACAAATATTACAGGGAGGAATACACCTTCTGCGATATTGGAGCAATATCATCCTCATTTCCCCTGGATATTAGGAAAGATATTACAGTGGGGGGTGGACACCCCTGCGACATTGGGAGTAATATTATCCTCTGCCCCGTTGGATATTAGAAAAAACATCACAAAGGAAGTGTACACCCCCTGCTATATTGGGAGTAATATCATCCTCTCCCCCCTGGATATTAGAAACAATATCAAGGGGGAGAGTACACCACCTTCGATATTGGGAGTAATATCATCCTTTGCCCTTCTCGATATTAGGAACAATATCGCAGTGTGGTGTACACTGCCTGCGATATTGGAAGTAGTATCATACTCTTCCTCCCTCGATATTATGAACAACATCACAGGGTTGTGTACCCCCCTGCAATATTGGGTTTAATATTGTCCTCTCTTTCCCTAGATATTACTAACAATATTACCAGGGAGTGTACACACAGGGTGTTTAAAATATTAAACTTGATGTCATCCTCTCCCCCCCGGATATGGCAAGCAATATCACATGGAGGTGTACACCCCCTGTGATATTCGAAGTAATATAATCCTCTCCCTCCCTGGATATTACAAAAAATATCACAGCGGAATGTACACCCCCTGCGATATGGGGAGTAATATCTTCCATTTCCTCCATAAATATTATGGACAATATCACAGGGGCATGTGAACCACCCGTGATGTGGGAAATAATGTCATCCTCTCCCCTTCTGAATATTACAAACAATATTACAGGGGGGTGTACACACCTTGTGATATAGGAAATAATATTATTTTCTCCCCCTCTGGATATTACAAACAATATCACGGAGAGGTAATATCATCCTCTCCCCCACTGGATATTATGAACAATAGCACAAGGGGATGTACACCCCCTGTGATATGGGGAGTAATATCATGCCTTCCCCCCTGCATATTAGGAACAATATAATAGGGGGGTGTACATCTTCTGCGATATGGGGAGTAATATCTTCCTCTCCCTCCCTAAGTATTACAAACAATATCACAGGGGGATGTCCACTCCCTGTGATATGGGAAGTAATGTCATCCTCTCCCCTTCTAAATATTACAAACAATATTACAGGGGGGTGTACACACCTTGCGATATATGAAATAATATTATTTTCTCCCCCTCTGGATACTATGAACAATATGAAAGTGGGATGTATACCCCCTGCGATATGGGGAGTAATATCATTCTCTCCCCTCCTGGATATTACGAACAATATTACAATCGGGTGTACACCCTCTACGATATGAAGAGCAGTAATCTCCTCTCCCCCTTGGATATTAGGAACAATATTACAGGGGATGTACACCCCCTGCGATATTGGGAGTAATATCATCCCCTCCCCTCCTGGATATTACGAACAATATCACAGACGGTGTACACACAGGGTGTTTACCATATTGGGAGTAATATCATCTCCCTTCCAGGAGATTACGAACAAAATCACAACGGGGTGTTTACCCCCTGTGATATTGGGAGTAATATTATCCTCTTCCCTCCTGGATATTATGAACAATATTACAGAAGGGTGTACACCCTCTGCGATATTGGGAGTAACATCACTCTCTCCCTTTCTGAATATAATGAACAATATCACAGGGAAGTAACATCATCCTCTTCCCCCCTGGATGTTACGAACAATATCACAGGAAGGTGTACACTCCTTGCAATATGGGGAGTAATATCATCCTCTTTCCCCTGGGTATTACCAACAATATCACAGGAGGGTTTACACCATCAGCGATATAAGAAGTAATGTCACCCTCTCCCTCCAGGGATATTATGAACAATATCACGGGGGGGTGTGCCCCCTCTGCCATATAAGGAGTAATGTTATCCTCTCATTCCCTGGATATTACAAACAATATCACAGGGGGATGTACATACCCTGCGATATGGGGAGTAATATTATCCTCTCCCCACTGAATATTATGAACATTATCACGGGGCAGTGTACACCCTCTGCCATATGGGAAGTTACATCATCCTGACCCTCATTGGATATTTTGGAGAATATGACTTGTGGGTGTGACCATCCTGCAATATGGGCAGTAATATCATCCTCTCCCCTTCTGGATATTACAAACAATATCACAGGAGGGTGTATACTGCCTGCGATATCGGGAGTAATATTATCCTCCCTCCTAGAATATCACAGAGGAGTGTACACTCCCTGCGATATTGGGAGTAATATCACCCTCTCCCCTCCTGGATATTACGAACAATATCACAGATGGTGTACACACAGGGTGTTTACCATATTGGGAGTAATATCATCTCCCTTCCTGGATATTATGAAGAATATTACAGGGGGGTGTACACCTCCCTGTTTATGGGAGTAATATCATTCTCTTCCCCTTGGATATTAGAAACAATATCACAGGTGGGTGTACAACCCCTGCGATATGGGGAGTAATATTATATTCTTTCTCCCTGGATATTATGAACAATATCACAGAAGGGTGCACACCCCCGGTGAAATGGGGAGTAATAGCATCCTCTCCCCTCCTGGATATTACGAATAATATTATAGGAGGGTCTATATCCTCTGCCATATGGGGAGCAATATCATTTCTTCCCCTCTGGATATTACAAACAATATTACAGGGGGTTGTACACACCCTGCGATATAAGGAGTAATATCATTCTCTCCCCACCTGGATATTACGAACAATATCACAGAGGGGTGTACACCTTCTATGATATAAGGAGTAAAATCATCTTTTTTTCCCTGTGGATATTAGGAACAATGTCACAGACAGTGTACACACACAGTGCTTACGATATCGAAAATAGTATCATCTCCCCCCTGAATATTACAAACAATGTCACGGGGGGGTCCATCCCCTGTGATATTGGGAGTAATATCATCTTTTCCTCCCCTAAATATTAAAAACAATATCACAGGGGAATGTATACCTCCTGCGATATTGAAAGTAGTATCCTCCTCTCCCCCACTTGGTATTAGGAACAATATTACAGGAGAAGTATACACCCCCTGCGATATTGGGAGTAATATCGTCCTCTTGCCCCTGGATATTAGGGACAATATCACAGGGGGGTATACATCTCCTGCAATATTGGGAGCAATATCATCCTCTTCCTCCCTGGATATTACAAACAATATCACAGGGGGTGTACACACCCTGCGATATGTGGAATAATGTCATCCTCTCTATTCTGGATGCTACGGGCAATATCACAGGGGATTGTACCTCCCCTCTTCTAATATCATCCGCTCTTCTGTTGAATATTATGAACAATATAACATCTGGTGTACAAAGTGACATGCTATTTTAAGGTGGCTGAGAAATTATTAAAGGAGATCATTTTTCTCTCTGCCCCTGAAAATTATAAATGATATCACAGGGGAGTGTATGTTCCCTGAGATATTGGGAGTAATATTATCATCTCTGCCCCTTAATATTACGAACAATATCAGCGGGCGTATTACGAACAATTTTATGAACAATATCACACCCCCTGTGATATTGCTCATAATATTCACAGGAAGGGAGGATGATATTACTCCCAGTATTGCAGGGGGTGTACATTCCCCTATGATATTGCTTTTACTATTTAGGGGAGGAGAAGATGATATTACTCCCAATATCGCAGGGGATGAACCTCCCCCCGTGATATTGTTTGTAATATTCAGGCGGGAGAGAATAATATTCTTTTTTTCCCTTAATATTATGAACAGTATCACAAGGGCGTGTACACCCCCTGCAATATTGGGAGTAATATCATTGTTTCTCCTCATGTATATTTCAAAAAATATCATGGGGGGTGTACACTCCCGTGATATTTGGAGTAATATCACCCTCTTTCCCCTTGGATATTATGAAAAATATCACAGGGGGGGCTGTACACCCCCCTGGGATATTGGAAGTAGTATCATCCTCTTCCCCTCTGGAGATTAGGAACAATATCATAGGGGAGTGTACACCTCCTGTGACATTGGGAGTAATATCATCCTCTCTTCTGTTAAATGTTATGAACAGTATAACATGGGGTGTACAAAGTGACATGCTATTCTAAGGTGACTGAGAAATTATTAAAAGAGATCATTTTTGGCAATGAGACTCTTTGGGTTGGGGCCTCTTCAATTTGCACTTGGATTTGGTCCTACCTGTGGGAGAATCTAACAGTGGTCCTCCTTTGGGGGAGCAAGCAGTGACTGTCGAAGGAACCACATTGGGTTCTCTGGACTCCTTTATCATCCCTGATGCCTAGTCTATGCTCATGGCCCAGCCCTACCCCCAGGTCACCTCCCTTGTCAGGCTCCTGTGTCCCCCACACCCACTTGCTGTTTCATGCTGACCTGGTTAGAAACACTCTTTTTTTTTTTTTTTTGAGATGGAGTCTTGCTCTCTCACCCAGGCTGGAGTGCAGTGGCGTGATCTTGGCTTACTGGAACCTCCATCTTCTGGGTTCAAGTGATTCTCCTGCCTCAGCTTTGTGAGTAGCTGGGATTACAGGTGTCTGCCACCATGCCAAGCTAATTTTTGTATTTTTAGTAGAGATGGGGTTTCACCATGTTGGCCAGGCTGGTCTCAAACTCCTGACCTCAGGTGATCCACCAGCCTCAGCCTACAAAAGTGCTGGGATTACAGTAGTGACCGACCTCCCCTGGCAGAAACATTCTTTTGACCGCCTCTTGGCAAGCTCTTAGGTCTTCACATCTCTGATACATCATTCCCTACGGGGGTTTTTCTCTGGGTGACTCAGTGGCTCTGTGCCCCTCTCCCCAACCCTGACACCTGTCCAGGACTTCAGTTTTCTGAGGTTTCCTCCCCCTTGTCCACCCCACTCCTCTTTCCTGTTACAGATGAGGCCAGATCCCATTTTTAATGTTCTTTAGCCCTGACCTGCTCACACGAGCTTTTGGTTTCCTTATTGACCTAAGCTGTTGATTCTTTATCCTTTTATTTGTTGAGGGTGTCATCCTTTTTGAATTGAAAAATACAGTTGCTGTATTTTTCCCTCTTGATTGAGCTTTCTTCCCTGGGGCTCTATATGTTCAGATAGAACTTTTTGCCCCAGAAGAGGAAATGCGGATTTCATTAGTCTGAAGAAGTAATTTCTCAGCTTTGATTTCCAAGTTGAACCCAAAGCATTAAGAAAAAAAAAAAAAAGCGGGTGGTGGGGAAGGATAACTTCAAATTTAGGCTTTCCAAAAAGATGAGATGTTTGACTTAGAATTCTGAAGGCTGGGAATGATTTCCTTAAGGAGCCCAGCTTGGAGGATGGACTTTGGAATAATCCAGAGTGGGAGGCTGAGGACAGGATGTAAGGAAAGTTCTGTGCCACGGGAAGGAAAAGCACAGACACAGGCAGGTGAGGTTTCATGAGAAGGTCAAGGTGAGAGCTCTGCTGTGTCTTTTGCGGTTGAAACCTGTGCATGGCGGTTGGTGACTCATTTGAGGAAACTCACTCCCTGGGACTTGGAGGGGATCTGACAACCCCAGGGCCAATTCCTGTATCCTTGAGCTGTGCCCTGGAGAGCTGAGGGTTCTCAAACAAGCTCTGGATGTGTGAGCCAAGACCAACATGGTGTGGAGATGCGGAGCGGCTGGAGTGAAGGGCCGGGTCTCCCAGGAAGCCAAGGAGTGTGGGGAAACTGAGGCACAGAAGACGCTTGGGTTTGTGTAAAAGAGTTTTCAGGCCGGGCGCTGTGGCTCACGCCTGTAATCCCAGCACTTTGGGAGGCTGAGGTGGGTGGATCACCTGAGGTCAGGCGTTCAAGACCAGCCTGGCCAACATGGTGAACTAAACACACTAAACACACAAAACACACTAAAACACACAAAAATTTCTACTAAACACACAAAAATCAGCCGGGTGTGGTGGCGGGCGCCTGTAATCTCAGCTACTCAGGAGGCTGAGGCAGGAGAATTGCTTGAACCTGGGAGGCGGAGGTTGCAGTGAGCCGAGATTGCACCACCGCACTCCAGCCTGGGTGACACAGCAAGACTCCATCTCAAAAATAAATAAATAAATAAATAAATAAATAAATAAATAAATAAATAAATAGAGTTTGCAGAATTCTGAGTAGCTCTGTGCCCCATTGCTCCCCCTCCACATCTGGCCAAGACTTGGATCTTCTGAGGTTTCCTCCCCTTCTTCTACCCCTACCCATCTCTCCTGTCATGACGCCAGAGCTCACATTCAAATCTTCCTTTGCCCTGGCCTGCTCATGTTGCCCTTTGCTTTTTTTAAAAAAATTGAAATGTTCCTCCTGTCATGTGCTATTCTTTATTTGCTCAAAGTATTCGACATTACTGTGAAATGTCACTGGCTGGGCAATTTCCTCCTGAGCGCTTTGGCTTATCTTCTCTGACTAAATGGAATAAACCTGTTCAAATCAGTATTTTTACATATTGCTCATCCAATATTGTACAGGAAAAATACTAATATGGGGCCAGGTGTGGTGGCTCACGTCTGTAATCCTAGCACTTTGGGAGGCCAAGGCAGGCAGATTACGAGGTCAGGAGATCAAGACCATCCTGGCTAACATGGTGAAACCCTGACTCTACTAAAAGTACAAAAAAAAAAAAAAGGGAAAATACTAATATGGGGCTAGGCATGGTTGTTCATACCTGTAATGCCAGTGCTTTGGAAGGCTGAAGTGGGAGGATCACTTGAGTCCAGGAGTTCGAGACCAGCTGGGCAACATATTGAGACCCCTGTCTCTACGAAAACCAAAAAAAAAAAAAAAAAAAAAATGAGCCAGGCATAGTGGTGCATGCCTGTAGTCCTTGCTACCGAGTAGGCTAAGGAGGAAGGATTGCTTGAGCTCAGGAGTTCGAGGCTGCAGTGAGCTATGATTTCGCCACTGCACTCCAGCCTGCAATGGCCTGAATTTCCTGTTCAGATCTTTTATGAACCAAATACTACACAACTGTAGTCATGATCTTCTTGGCTGGAGAGAGGCTGGCTGTCACCCAGGGCCACAGGGTGATTAGGTAGAATGAAAAGAGAGTCACCAACTCAAGACAGTAGCACAGTGTCCTTGTGGTTTTGGCTGGTGTAGTCTAAAATCTGAATTATGCAAAGTGTATTTGATCTTGCATCACATCAGGAAAAAGCCCAGTAATCTATTTCATCATGGGGTGTGGAGAAGTTGCTGGAACCATTTCTAGACACAGATTTTGGTTCTCCAGAGGCCAGCAAGTTAGCTTCACTAAGCTTCGGGGCCCACAGTGGGAAGAGATGTCCTGCTGAGGCTCAGCGTTGACTTCACTCTTGTGGAGCAAAGCTGTAGGAACTAAGGGCTTTATGCTAATTAAAAGATGAGGCCAGGTGCAGTGGCTCATACCTGTAATGGGGTCTTGCTATATTGCCCAGGCTGGTCTCGAACTCCTGGGTTCAAGCCATCCTCCCACCTCAGCCTCCTGAATCACTGGGATTAAAAGTGTGAGCCACTGTGCCCAGCCTCCCTTTTAATAGAACTGGTGCTTAATCCACAGCTCTCCTGTCAGCCCACAGTTCTTGAATTTTGGCCTCTTTTATGTCCACATGAATGTAAATATACTTCAGAATTTCCACCCAGAATCTTTGGAATCTAATTTCTTCAATCATTTTACTTTAGAGTCATTTTTAGGGTAAGTGAATCTGCCTGGTTTTCAACTTGACACCCTCTCTAAACGTGAATGAGTTCAAATCATATTCGTTCCTGAGGAATCACACTCAAGCATAGTACAAATCTGTGGGATATGCCATTACAACTCTAGGAATCATGTTCTCAAGGTAAAAGCCTTTAAGAAAAGCTGTCTTGACATATCATGTAAGCATGACAATGGAATACTAAACCAACATAGCTGAGATTTTCCTTATGTCCTATGCTTTTAAATGATCAACCCTACAGTCCTGGAACCAACCTTTATGGTTATCAATACCTCCATTATTTTAAACTATCTCAGGTATCATATTCCTTCTTTTTTTTTTTTTTTTGAGACGGAGCCTCTCACTGTCACCCAGGCTGGAGTGCAGTGGCGCAATCTCGGCTCATTGCAAGCTCCACCTCCAATGGAATACTAAATCAACATAGCTGAGATTTTCCTTATGTCCTATGCTTTTAAATGATCAACCCTACAGTCCTGGAACCAACCTTTATGGTTATCAATACCTCCATTATTTTAAACTATCTCAGGTATCATATTCCTTCTTTTTTTTTTTTTTTTTGAGACGGAGCCTCTCACTGTCACCCAGGCTGGAGTGCAGGGGCGCAATCTCGGCTCATTGCAAGCTCCACCTCCAATGGAATACTAAATCAACATAGCTGAGATTTTCCTTATGTCCTATGCTTTTAAATGATCAACCCTACAGTCCTGGAACCAACCTTTATGGTTATCAATACCTCCATTATTTTAAACTATCTCAGGTATCATATTCCTTCTTTTTTTTTTTTTTTTGAGACGGAGCCTCTCACTGTCACCCAGGCTGGAGTGCAGTGGCGCAATCTCGGCTCATTGCAAGCTCCACCTCCTGGGTTCACGCCATTCTCCTGCCTCAGCCTCCCGAGTAGCTGGGACTACAGGCACCCGCCACGACCCCCGGCTAATTTTTTGTATTTTTAGTAGTGCCGGGGTTTCACCATGTTAACCAGGATGGTCTCGATCTCCTGACCTCGTGATCCACCCGCCTCGGCCTCCCAAAGTGCTAGGTTTACAGGTGTGAGCCACCATGCCTAGCTTTCCTTCTTATATGTATCAAAACTCATACTGAAAAATGAGTTCTGGGTTACAAAAGAGGGTTTATTTTTTGCACCTGCCTTTGAATCAGTCCTTAAGCTTAACCTTTAACTTCCAAGGAACTACTTTTTTTTTTTTTTTTTTTTAGATAGAGTCTCGCTCTGTCACCCAGGCTGGAGTGCAATGATGCAATCTCGGCTCACTGCAACCTTCGTCTCTTGGGTTCAAGTGATTCTCCTGTCTCAGCCTCCTGAGTAGCTGGGATTGCAGGCATGTGCCACCATGCCCTGCTAACTTTTGTATTTTTTGTAGAGACAGGGTTTCTCCATGCTGGTCAGGCTGGTCACGAACTCCTGACCTCAGGTGATCCACCTGCCTCAGCCTCCCAAAGTGCTGGGATTACAGGCATGAGCCACCGTGCCAGGCCCCATCCCTGGTTATTCTTATTCAGTAAAATTTGCAACCTCCTAGGAAGAAAGGATTTTGAAAACAAAACTCTTTTTTAAAACTTTTATTTTAGGTTTGGGGGTACGTGTGAAGATTTGTTACATAGGTAAACATGTGTCATCGTGGTTTGTTGTATATATTATTTCATCACCCAGGTATTAAGCCCAGTACCCAACAGTTGTCTTTTCTGCTCCTCTCCCTCCTCCCACCCTCAAGCAGACCCCAGTGTCTGTTGTTTCCTTCTTTGTGTTCATAAGTTCTCATCATTTAGCTCCCACTTATAAGTGAGAACGTGTGGTATTTGGTGTTCTGTTGCTGCATTAGTTTGCTAAGGATTATAGACTCCAGCTTCATCCATATTCCCTCAAAAGACATGATCTTGTTCTTTTTTATGGCTGCATAATATTTCATGGTGTATATGTACCACAGTTTCTTTAGCCAATCTGTCACTGATGGGCATTTAAGTTGGTTCCATGTCTTCACTGTTGGGAGCAAGCCCCCCAAAATCTGGCCATAATCTGGCCCCAAGACTGGTCATAAACAAAATCTCTGCAGCACTGTAACATGTTCATAATGGCCCTAACGCCCAAGCTGGAAGGTTGTGGGTTTACAGGAATGAAGGAATGAGGGCAAGGAACACTTGGCCTGCCCAGGGCGGAAAACCGCTTAAACGCATTCTCAAGCTGCAAACAATAGCATGAGCGATCTGTGTCTTAAGGACGTGTTCCTGCTGCAGTTAACTAGCCCAACCTATTCCTTTAATTTGGCCCATCCCTTTGTTTCTCATAATGGATACTTTTAGTTAATTTAATATCTACAGAAACAATGATAATAACTGGTTTGCTGTTACTAAATATGTGGGTAAATCTCTGTTTG
Source organism: Homo sapiens (assembly GCF_000001405.40). Lineage (NCBI taxonomy): Eukaryota > Metazoa > Chordata > Mammalia > Primates > Hominidae > Homo > Homo sapiens. The sequence goes on along the minus strand of NC_000007.14, from coordinate 99,950,833 downwards.
GGGCTCTCAGTTCTGAAGGCTGTGAGACCCCTGATTTCCCACTTCACACCTCTATATTTCTGTGTGTGCATCTTTAACTCCTCTAGCGCCGCTGGGTTAGGGTCTCCCCAACCGAGCTGGTCTCGGCACTTCAGTATTGTAAATAGTGCTGCAATGAACACTCATGTGGATGTGTCTTTGTTTTTTTTTTTTTTGGAGACGGAGTCTAGCTCTGTCACCCGGGCTGGAGTACAGTGGTGCAATCTTGGCTCACTACAACCTCTGCCACCTGGGTTTAAATGATTCTCCTGCCTGGGCCTCCTGAGTAGCTGGGATTACAGGTGTGAGCCACTGTGCCCAGCTAACTTTTGTATTTTTAGTAGAGCCCAGGGTTTCATCATGTTGGCCAGGCTGGTCTTGAACTCCTGACCTCAGGTGATCTGCCTGCCTTGGCATCCCAAAGTGCTGGGATTACAGGCATGAGCTACCACGCCTGGCCCATGTGTCTTTATGGTAGAATGCTTTATGTTCCTCTGGGTATATACTCAGTAATGGGATTGCTGGGTCGAATGGTAGTTCTGCTTTTAGCTCTTTGAGGAATCGCCATATTGCTTCCCACAATGATTGAACTAATTTACATTCCCAGCAACAATGTGAAAATGTTCCCTTTTCTCTGCAACCTTGCCAGCATCTGTCATTTTTTGACTTTTTAATAATAGCCATTCTGACTGGTATGAGATGGTATCTCATTGTGGTTTTGATTTGCATTTCCCTAATGACCAGTGATGTTGAGTTTTTTCATATGTCTGTTGGCCGCCTGTATGTCTTCTTTTGGGAACTGTCTGTTCCTCTCCTTTGCCCACTTTTTCATGGGGTTGTTTGTTTTTCTCTCATAAATTTGTTTAAGTTCCTTATAGATGCTAGCTATTAGACCTTTGTCAGATGCACAGTTTGCAAATAAAACAAAACTCTTAATGTCTTCACTTGCCAGATATTTGTGCTTAGGTTGGTGTTTGAGTCTTAGGAGTAATATCATGTTTTGCCACAAGAAGGAGCCTATGAGTGGGCTGGAAGAGAAAAATCAGATTTGCAGCCGCTGAAGTCAGTAAACAGTTTCTTTGGATATATTGTAAATAGTAAGAGAACCAGACATGACATTCATAAGTATTCCAAAACCAAGTAAAATTATTTTAAAGCTCTAACGTTTTGCAACTTTTCTTCCCGTCTTAAGAGTTCATCTGCCCAGTCTAATGATTGTAGAATTCTTACTTCTAGTCTTTTTTTTTTTTTTTTGAGATGGAGTTTCACTCTTGCTGCCCAGGCTGGAGTGCAATGGTGCTATCTTGGCTCACTGCAACCTTCGCCTCCTGGGTTCAAGCCATTCTCCTGCCTCAGCTTCCCGAGCAGCCACAATTTCAGGGATGCGCCACCACACCCGGCTAATTTTGTATTTTTAGTAGAGTTGGGGTTTCTCCATGTTGGTCAGGCTGGTCTCGAACTTCTGACCTCAGGTGATCTGCCCACCTTGGCCTCCTAAAGCGCTGGGATTACAGGAGTGAGCCACTGTGCCTGGCCATCATTTATCTTACTTTTAGCATCCTCATCCCAAATTCCTGGTGTCCCCATCCCTACCATCCATTTGTAATAATTCTCCATTGTTTTCCTCTCCTTGAATCCCACTTTCTGAGATCAGTGCAACCTGGGCTTAGAGCTTCAACCTCCTCCATCTGATTTTTTAAAAGAGTAACTCCTAATAAGGATTTTACCCAATATAGTGAGCATTATGATTAATGACCCTGACTCTACAAAAAATAATTTAAAAAAATTAGTCAGGTGTGGTGGCGCATGCCTGTAGTCCCAGATACTCAGGGTGAGGTGGGAGGATTGCTTGAGTCCAGGAGTTTGAGATCACGGTGAGCTGTACTGCATCATCACATTCCAGCCTGGGCAACAGAGTGAGACCCTGTTTCTAAAACAATTAAGGTAAAATAAAAGAAATAACATGCACCTGGTACACAGTACTTAATAAATCCCGTCTACTGTAAATACCTAGTGCCCATCATCCCTGTAACTCATAACTTCTTCTTTCCCAGTTCCCCGTGCTTTAATCACTCCTGCTTAGGAGACAGTCCAGGCTACCTTCTTATCTCTCTTCCTGGAGCCAGATTCTCAGCATTTTGTTCTCTAATTCCACCCTTTACCCCTTATTGCATGCCTTGGTATCAGCACTTCACCTGGTCTGAGGAACCAGCATCTAGTCTTGCCCTGTGTCTGGTAGTCCATATGGCCTGTATGTATCACTTAGTCTGAGTCAGTTTCCACGTGTGTCAGCTGGATTAGTAGCTCCTTAGGGTTCCGTGTAGTTCTCACAGTCTGTGGCAAGGAAAACAACAATTTGTGAGTAGCTAGCATGGACTGCAAACTATGGGCTCTATTTACCAAGCAAGTTCTAAATGCTGAACATTGTCTTTGGCAAAGGGGTTTCAGGGAAGATCAAGAGGCACATCTTCCCTGCCCTCAGGAAACTCATATAGGCTGGTTTTGCTACACTGAATTCTCACAACTCATTGATGCAATGCAGCCTAGAATTAAGTTACTTGCTCATTGTCAAGCAGGTAGTGACTAGCAGAGCCACCATCCTGATTCTTTCTTAGTTTCTTTTTTTTTTTTTTGAGTTAGGGTCTCGCTCTGTCACTCAGGCTGGAGTGCAGTGGTGCCATCATAGCTCACTGCAGTCTCACTCCTGGGCTCAAGCGATCTTCCTGCCTCAGCCTCCTAAGCAGCAGGGACTGCAGGTGCACACCACCATGCCCAGCTAATTTTTAAATTTTTGTAGAGGTGGGAATCTTGCTCTTTTGCCCAGTCCGGTCTGGAACTCCTGGCCTCAAGCATCCTCCTGCCTTGGCTTCTCAAAGCACTGGAATTACAAGCATGAGCCACCATGTCCAGCCCTAAGTCTGATACCTTCTAAGAGGGATCATCCTCAGATGAGTTGGGTGTGGAGGTGAGAGGTCAGGGGTGCCTGGATAAGAAGTGACTCTGCTATCACTTCCTGTGTGAGCTGAGGCCTGGAGAGAAGATGAGAGAATGATGGGGAAGGAGGAAGCAGATGTGTTGTGGGGTTGGGAAATGGGGAAATGTCTGTGCATTTCTACTTTTACCTTTGATCTCTCCTTCAGGGCTTTGATATTTTCTTCCTGCTAATCCTCCTTTTCACACCTGCTTGGGGCTGCCCCATGAGCTTGTGAAAACAGCATGTTTCTACCTTCCAACCACAGTCCTCAGTGCATTGGCCCTCTCTCTCCTTGGCAGAGTCTACGATGTTTTTCAAGGTTACCATGAAGATTTCTTTCTTTTTTATTTAATTTTAATTTTATTTTTTTTTGAGATGGAGTTTCGCTCTTGTTGCTCAGGCTGGAGTGCAATGGCACGATCTCAGCTCACTGCAACCTCTGCCTCCCGGGTTCAAGCGATTCTCCTGCTTCAGCCTCCCAAGTAGCTGGGATTACAGGCATGTGCCACCATACCTGGCTAATTTTGTGTTTTTAGTACAGACAAGGTTTTTCCATGTTGGTCAGGCTGGTCTTGAACTCCTGACCTCAGGTAAGCCACCTGCCTTGGCCTCCCAAAGTGCTGGGATTACAGGCAGGAGCCACTGTGCTTGGCTTTATTTTATTTTTTAAGTTCCTGGGTACAAGTGTAGGATGTACAGGTTTGTTACATAGGTAAACGTGTGCCATGGTGGTTTGCTGCACGTATCAACCCATCACCTAGGTGTTAAACCCTGCATGCATTAGCTCTTTTTCCTAATGCTCTCCCCTAACCTACATCCTCCCCTGACAGGACCCAGTGTGTGTTGTTCCCCTCCCTGTGTCCATGTGTTCTCATTGTTCAGCTCCCAGTTATAAGTGAGAACATGCAGTGTTTGGTTTTCTATTCCTGCGTTAGTTTGCTGGGGATAATGGTTTTCCAGCTTCATCCATGTCCCTGCAAAGGACATGATCTCATTATTTTTTATGACTGCATAGTATTCCATGGTGTATATGTAGCATATTTTCTTTATTCAGTCTATCATCGATGAGCACTTGGGTTGATTCCATGTCTTTGCTATTGTGAATAGTGCTGCAATGAACATATATGTGCATGTATCTTTATAATAGAATTATTTATATTCCTTTGAGGTATATACCCAGTAATGGAATTGCTGGGTCAAATGGAATTTCTGGTTCTAAATCTTTGAGGAATCGCCACACTGTCTTCCACAATGGTTGAATTAATTCACATTCCCACAAGATTTCTTTCCTGACTTTCTGAACTTGGATCTTCTCCTATCCTCCATCCCCACCACCTGGCTCCAGGATCCCAGAGACTCAGCCTTCCTGCATTCAAAACCATAGTGGAAGAAGGCCTGATTGCTGGGGTGGGCAGTGGCCTGAAACCTGGGGAGGACTTCACTGGGCCTAAACATTCTGGTGTAGAGAAAGTCACTAAGTAAGGACTTGTGAAAATGTAGAGGACTTTGCGGTGGGGGTGAACTGCAGAGTCCTACTGTGGGGCAGCAAGAAGTCAAGAAGGAGGACCTGGCAACTGGGGTCAAGAGCTGCCCACATGCTCTTCATGTCCAGCCTTTTTTCTCCTGTCAGCTTTCTAGTGTTGCATGCTCATATGGGCAGAAAGACTTGCCATTATATGCTAGAAAGCACATGGTGGAGGCTGGGCGCGGTGGCTCACTCCTGTAATCCCAGCACTTCAGGAGGCTGAGGTGGGTGGATCACCTGAGGTCAGGAGTTTGAGACCAGCCTGGCCAACATGGTGAAACCCCATCTCTACTAAAATACAAAAAATTAGCTGGGCGTGGTGGCAGGCACCTGTAATCCCAGCTACTCGGGAGGCTGAGGCGGGAGAATCACTTGAACCTGGGAGGCAGAGGTTGCAGTGAGCTGAGATGGCACCACTGCACTCCAGCCTGGGTGACAGAGCTAGACTCTGTCTCCAAAATAAAAAAAAAAAAAAGAAAGAAAGAAAGTACAGGAAGGAGAATTTATTAGAAAATTCAGGCAGCCTGGGCAACATAGTGAGACCACGGCGCTACAAAAGAATACAAAAAAAAAAAAAAAAAAAAAGGCTGGGCGCAGTGGCTCAAGCCTGTAATCCCAGCACTGTGGGAGGCTGAGGAGGGTGGATCATGAGGTCAGGAGATCGAGACCATCCTGGCTAACACAGTGAAACCCCATCTCTACTAAAAATACAAAAAAAAAATTAGCTAGGCATGGTGGTGGGCGCCTGTAGTCCTAGCTACTCGGGAGGCTGAGGCAGGAGAATGACGTCAACCTGGGAGCGGAGCTTGCAGTGAGCTGAGATCACGCCACTGGACTCCAGCCTGGGTGACAGAGCTAGACTCCGTCTCAAAACAAACAAACAAACAAAAAAAAACCACACAAAAAAACAAAAAAAATTAGCCAAGCATGGTGGTGTACACCTGTTGTCCCAGCTACTCAGGAGGCTGAGGTGGGAGGATCACTTGAGCCTGGAGGTTGAGGTTGCAGTGACCTAAGATCGTGCTACTGCACTCCAGCCTGGATGATAAAGTGAGACCCTGTTTCACAAAGAAAAAGAAAAAGAGTTAAAAAAATCCAGGCATGAACAGGAAGGGATGAGCATGGAATAAAACCAGGATGCTGCCTCCGTACCACCAGTTCTTTGATTTCAACTTGTTGCTCAGTTGAATCATTGCCATACTGGTGAGAAAGAAATGTATTTGCTGACTGTTGGTCAATATTACAGATTTAAAACCTGTGCACTCTTAAGACCTCACCAGTTTATAGTTTTGTTTCTTCCAGATTTCTGCGGAAAGATGGGCCCAAGGCTGGCTTTGCTCCCTTTTCTCTAGGTCACACAGTATCCTAGGCCCTGTGCTGTTATATTTGACTCTGTGGAAGATGCTTTGTTTTCAGTTCTGAGCCTTTTCTTCTGCTGATTCCTTCTCAACCTTTGTTCCTTGTGTCGCTCACCCTCCCCCAAACCAGGTAGATGCACCCAGGTGTGGAAAAGAGGGAGGGAGAAGAAAGATCCCTTCTGTCATTGATACAGGAGCTAGAAAAAAATTATTTAGGCAGATAGTGAGGGTAAGAGAGTCCGTGGTAAGATTTCCCTTTAATGAAAAGCAGCCCCCAAATAATTTCTTTTCTAACAATAAGCAGCCTGAAAAATTAAGCTGCAAGCATAGATAAGCAAGCTAAAAGCTTGCATAGGTAAATGCCAACAGCTGTGCCAATAGAAAAGGGACACCTGGAAGCCAGGTATATTCAACATGGAGGTGCCCTCTTCCCTTTCCTTTGTCAACACGCTTGCAGTAAAAAAGCAGGCAACGTGGTGATGGCCAAGTAGAGACCCCATCTGCATAATAAAAGGTTAAGGTGAGATGGCCAACTTGTTGGTGCGCTATGCAAATGGCACACCTGGTCTGACTAATCTCTCGGGCCCTATGTAAATCAGACACTGCCTCCTCAAGCTTGTCTATAAAACCCCCCCCCCGTGCATTTCACCACAAAACCGGAAGACCCACTCGGAAGTCCCTCTCTCTCTGCAGGAGAGAGAGCTTTTCTTTTTTCTCTTTCTTTTGCCTATTAAACCTCCAATCTTAAACTCCTCCTTGTGCGTCTCCACCTTCTTGATTTCCTTGGCGTGAGGCAATGAATCTTGGGTATTACTCCAGACAAATGACGCCACTTCATCATCGTTCTTGGGGCACAGAGGTGCTGAGCTTCCACATTTCTCTTCGCTCCCTACTCTTGGGTGAGCCCTTCACCCTGGGTACCCTGTTGCCCCAGGCCTTGGCACGTGTTGTCAACGTATGGCTGTGGGAGGAGGCTGGTCTTGTCTGGTGGGAAGGAGAGAGACAAAGAGGGCATTGTTGATAGAAGAAGTGGAATGAGAGCTCCCTTTACCCTTGGGGGCTTCTTTTCTGGCATTAATCCTCAGAAAATAATTGTGAAAGAGAAGTTTGTCTTTGTGCTTTAGGGTGCTGTCAGAAGCTTAGAAATAATTAGGCAGAATCCCCATCCCCCCAATCCCCATCACCAACTTTAGTCTCCTCCCCCGATACCCACACTGACCCAGGGTTAGGGACATTTATAAATGGAGCCATTGAGGACTCAGGAGAAACTCATGCAACTGAAAAATGTCCCCTATTTCCTGGGTCCTAGGCAGCTCCCCACTTTCCACTCCCACTTCAGACATTTAGACAAGGACTTTGGTCACTCTGGCTAGACCATCTGTGTAACCCAGAATGGTGGGGTCACAACTCTTGGTTTCCAAGGATATAATCACATGTTGTGAGCAAAAATGTGCTGAACACACCTGACTCTGTGGCTTCTTCTTGAGAAGTGATTTTGCAGAGCGGGGAAGGGTCGACTCTGGAAACGTTTCATTTGTCTATTGGCCATTTGGATTTCTTCTGTGAAGTGCCTTTTCATGACTATCATCTATATTCTCTTAAGTTTGTCCTTGTTATTGATTTGTAGTTCTTTATATATCCCTGATAACAAGGCTTGCTTTTTCATGCTCTTTATATATATTTTTAAAAGCAGCTTTAGCAAAGTGTAACATACAAAAATCTGCACATAAAATGTAAAATGTGATGTTTTGACATATATATATATGCACTGAAACCATCCCTATTAATTCCATTGTGATCAAAGACATATATTGTATCACTTAAATCCTTTTACATGTATCCAGGCTTATTTTATGGTGTAGAACATGATCTATCTTGGTAGATGTTCTGTGTGCTCTTGACAAGAATGTATTGTTGCGTAGAATGTTCTATTGTCAATTTTGTTGATTAGGTCAATTTGGCTTATAGTATTGTTCAAGCCTTCTATTTGTTTACTGATTTTCTGTCTACTTGTCCTATCAATTTTTGAGAGATGGGTGTTGGCTCCTTAACTATTTTGTGAATTTGTCTATTTCTCCATGTATTTCTATTAATTTTTGCTGTACGTATTTTGAAGCTCTGTTATTACGTGTGTAAACATTTAGGATTTGATAAATGGACTCATTTGTAACAATCAAATATCTTCTTTATCTCTGGTAATATTTTTTGCTCTGAAATCTACTTTGATATTAATATAGTCACTGTAGGTTACTTTTGATTAGTGTCAGCATGGTATATTTTCCATTATTTTACTTTTAACCTTGTACCTTTATAATTAAAGTGAGTTATCTTTGGGCAGCATACTGTTAGGTCTTGCTTTGTAAGTTAATATGTTAATCTCTGCCTATAAATTGGAATGGTTAGATCATTTATATTTAATGTGATGATTTGTATGGTTAGGTTTAAACCTCTCATGTTGCTATTTGTTTTCTATTTGTGCCATTTGTTTGATCTGTTCCCCCTTTCCTCTTTTTCTACCTTCTGTTGGATTGAGCATATATTTATATATAATTTTATTTTTACCTCCATGTTTGTATTATTAACTATAACCCTTTTTGGGTTATTTTAGGCTTATGGTTTATATCTTCATGTTATTAGTCTACTTCAATTGATATTATAGCACTCTTCACACATTGTAAGAACCTTACAGTATACTCCCATTTCTTCCCTCCTGGCTTTTATATAATTGTTACCATATATCTTACCTCAATATATGCTATAAACCCCATAATACATTGTTATCTTTTCGCTTTAAGTGAAAGATTATCTTTGTCTTTATCTTTAGAGATAAAGTGGGGAAGGGTTGACTCTGGAAACGTTTCATTTGTCCATTGGCCATTTGGATTTCTTCTGTGAAGTGCCTTTTCACGACTATCATCTATATTCTCTTAAGTTTGTCCTTGTTAATTATCTTTATCAATTATCTTTAAAACGATTTAAATAATAACAAAAATAATCTTTATATTTACCCTCATAGTTACCACTTCTGGTGTTCTTTATTCTCTAACGTAGATCCAGGTTTCTATCTGGTTTCAAATTCTTCTAGCTCAAAGGACTTCCTTTACCATTTATCATGGTGCATATATGTTTTTTCATTCACTCTGGAGATGAATTCTTCCAACTGTTATATATCTTAAAAAGTTTTAATTTTTGCCTCAGCTTTTGAAAAAAAATATTTTTGAGATAGGGTCTCCCTCTGTCACCCAGGCTGGAGTGCAGTGATGTGATCATAGCTTACTGCAACCTCCACCTCCCAGGCTCAAGCTGTCCTCCCACCTCAGCCTCCCAAGTAGCTGGACTACAGGCGTGTGCCACCACACCTGGATAATTTTTGTATTTTTTTGTTTGTAGAGACGGGGTTTCACCATGTTGCCCAGGCTGGTCTTGAATTCCCAAGCTTAAGCAATCTGCCCACTTCAGCCTCCCAAAGTGCTAAGATTACAGGTGTAAGCCACCGTACCTGGCCTGAAAAATATTTTTGCTGGGTATATAATTCTACATTGGCAATTTATTCCTTTGATTACTTTAAACATGTTTTTCCACTGTCTTCTAGCTTATATTGTTTCCAACAAGAAAGCTACTGTCATTCTTATCTACTGTTGGTGCCCTGTCTAGATGTCCTTTTCTGGGCTGGCATGCCCACTCACAGGCTGTTGTTAATGGTGGCTATTATTGGCTCATGAACTCTCTCCTTTTCTAAATAGATGGCTTGGCCGGGCATGGTGGCTCACGCCTGTAATCGCAGCACTTTGGGAGGCCAAGGCAGGCGGATCACGAGGTCAGGAGATCGAGACCATCCTGACTAACACGGTGAAACTCTGTCTCTACTAAAAAGACAAACAACTAGCCGGGCATGGTGGCAGGCGCCTGTAGTCCCAGCTACTCGGGAGGCTGAGGCAGGAGAATGGCGTGAACCCGGGAGGCGGAGCTTGCAGTGAGCCGAGATCATGCCACTGCACTCCAGCCTAGGTGACAGAGTGAGACTCCATCTCAAACAAAAAAAATAAAAATAAAAAAAAGAGATGGCTTCACCCGGGATAATATGATTTCTTCCTCTCCCCGATGGCATCCCAATGCCAATGACTGAATGTTATTGGAGTACAAAAGAACAGCCCTTTTACCTCAAGTGGATAAAATCTGTGGTATGATTTATGCTTCAGGGTCCCCTGTGGACAAGATCAAGTTCAAACCTTACCTGAGATCACATTTGGCACAGTTTTTTTTTTTTTTACATTACCTTTTCTGCTTCCTCTATTTCCTTAGAGATTTTTACTGGTGAGTCCAACCTAAAAAATCACATGTATTCAAGTCTCTTTTAAGTTCTGCTTCTAAGGAATCAAACCTAAGACAGTGGGTACCAGGAGCGGTCCTAGGAAGCACAACATAAGAATGGGATTCTAGGGCTGGGTTACTTGTCAGCCCTCTGGCAAGGGGGACAGCCATGTTGATGGCAGGCATAGTTTCTGACTTGCTTTAGCAGTGCAAGTGTTAAGACTTTTACTCGGAATAACTAGGCTAGGACACAGGTGGAATTAGATTCACTGGCTGATGTAATGTGTCTGGCATTTAAGAGATATAAGACAAATTGCAAGTATAAGGGCTATGGAGCCAGGTGTGGTGGCTCACGCCTGTAATCTTAGCACTTTGGGAGGCTGAGGCAGGTGGATCATCTGAGGTCAGGAGTTCAAGACCAGCCTGGCCAACATGGTGAAACCCCATCTCTACTAAAAAGTCAAAAATTAGCCAGGCATGGTGGTGGGCACCTGGAATCCCAGCTACTCGGGAGGCTGGGGCAGGAGAATCACTTGGCGGAGGTTGCAGTGAACTGAGATCACGCCATTGCACTCCAGCCTGGGTGACAAGAGTGAGACTCTGTCTCAAAAATAAAATAAAACAAAACAAAATAAAATAAAATAAAGGACTATGGAATTAGGTGGCTATTACTGAGCTTCAGTGATGCCTTAAAGAGAAAAAAATGAAAGGCTCAGGACAATAAGTAATCAATTTAAAGCAAAATATAAGAGTTACAATGCCTTCTTGGCAACATTTAAAGAGACCCTTATCTCTCGTTGCCTGAAGGCAGAGAGACCAGGCTGAATATTTAACTTTAAGAGTGGCATAACTACAGAGAAGTTCAAATTTTTCAGCCTAGGGAAGTTTCTAGTACCAAAACCAGGACCTCAATAGGAAAGAATAAGACCCTGAGACATGGGATGGTGATATTAGATAGATGCCCTTTGAGGTCCTTGGATCATCAGATTATTCTGGACCATTTGGACCTGCAGAAGTGGCTCACACTTTTTATTGGAAGATAGAGGCCCACTCTTGCTTGAAAACCTTGCAAAAGTCTTACACTAGACAAATTCATTGTAAGGAAATGCTGGCTCCCCTCAGGATGTGTTGCACCTCCCCCTTTGGCCACTAGACCCATAACAAAAATCAAATCTTAGCATGGCCCAACTGGGGAAGTACTTGACTTACTAAGGAGAGGGATGGATTAGATACTAAAGGAGCTTCAAGACTTGGACAACATGTGTCATCAGGAGCAAGGAAAATAAATCAGAGAGAAGATTCTGAAGATCCTGGATCAAAGGGAGGGGACTAAAAATAGAAAGCTGGATGTAGGAGTTTGTCAATATAGGGCATTCTTATGGGACACAGGATTTAACACCCTAGCAAGTTTATTCTTAGGAGGTTGATATGAAATGATACTGGGGTGGCTTTTGGAAAGCTGGAAAACAACAAGAGCTTCTATTAATAAAGTTGAGATGTCAGAACTCATATGGAAAATTGTGAGTAAAGGGTTCACAGTTCTCAGAGAAATGGATGTGGGAGAATAGATCTATAACAAAAGATTGGAAAATCCACCACCAGACTCTATTCCTTGGGAAGTCCTGGATAATACTCATTTTCACCAAAGAAATAATGAATGTGCTGGTGATGAGGAGTTTAGAAGCTGTAAGAATCTCAGTAGTGTTCATCCTCTGTAGACGGAGGCTGACAGCAGATGCCCTTATATACTGGATATACTGGTTCCCTAATAGCAATAGGAATGATAGGATTCTGAATCAGCAGAAGCTATTTGGCAGCACTTAATAATCAGAAGCAAAGTAGTTATTATTATTATAATAATCAGGAAGGTTGAAATTATGGCCAAAGGGCCTTGACCTTCAGGGATCTGTGGAGATGGCTAATAGAAAATAGTGTTTCCATGGAGAAAATATACGGTTGCAAATGCATCACATTTGCTATCAACAAACTCCAAGTAGGATAAACTCAAAGACATCCATACTTAGGTACATGATGATCAAACTGTCAAAAGTCAAAGACCAGATAAAACAACAACAACTTAAGAGAGAATCTTGAAAGTAGCAAGAGAAAAGCAACTCATTAAGGACAAAGGATCCTCAATAAGTTTAACAGCTGATATCTCCTCAAAACCATGGAGGCCAGAAGACACTGGAACGATATACTCAAAATGCAGAAAGAAAAGGGCTGTCAGTCAAGGATTCTACAACCAGCAAAAGTATCCTTCAAAAATGAAGGAGGAATTGAGACAATTCTAGATAATAAAAACTGAGAGAATTTATTATTAGCATAACTGCCCTACAGAAAATACTAAGAGAAGTCCTACAGACTGAAATGAAAGAATGCTAGTAAGAGATCATATGAAGAAATAAAGAACAGTTGCAAAGGTAATGACATAGGTAAACATAAAAGACATATACAAAACTGAAAGCTTTCCTCCTAGAAGAAGGAACAAGAGAAGGATGTGTGATCTTATCACACCTATTCAACAACACCTCTAGCTAGTACTGGCGGTTCTATTTAGGGCAATTAGGCAAGAAAAAAAGACATCTAGATTAGAAAGGAAGAAATAAAACTTTGTTTGAAAATGACATAATCTTGTGTAGAGAAAATCCTAAGGAACCCACAACAGCTTACTATAATTAATAAATTAGTTCAGCCACATCACAGTATACAAGATGAGTATATTAAAATCAATTCTATTTCTATACACTAGCAATAAACAATACAAAAAGGAGAATGAGAAAACAATTCAATTTACAATAGCATAAAGAAGAACAAAATACTTAGAAATAAATGTAATCAAGGAAGTGCCAGGCTTCTACACAGAAAACTTCAAGACATTGTTGAAAGAAATTAAAGAAAACATAAATAATATATATTCCATGCTTATGGATTAGAAGATTTAATGTTGTTAACATGGTGGTGCTCTCAAATTGATAAAAAAATTCATTGCAATCCTTATAAAAATTCCAGTTTCCTTTTTTGAAGAAATAGACAAACAGATCCTAAAATTCAAACAGAATTACAAAAGACCCAAAGTAGATAAAAAATATTGAAAAAGAAGAACAATATACATAAACATAAATTCAATCAGTGGAATAGAATTGAAAGCTGGGAAGCAAATTCTTAAATTTATGGCCAATTTATTTTTGATAAGAGTGTCAAGACAATTCAGTCGGGAAAGAACAGTCATTTCAACAAATTGTGCTGGGACAACTGGATATGCATATGCAAAAGAATGAGATTACCTCACAACATACACAGAAATTAACTCAAGGCTGGGCATGGTGGCTCACACTTGTAATCCCAGCACTTTGGGAGGTCAAGGTGGGCAGATCGCTTGAGGCCAGGAGTTCTAGACAAGCCTGGGCAATGTGGAGAAACCCTGTCTCTACAAAAACTACAAAACTTAGCTGGGCATGATGGTGCACACCTGTAGTCTCAGCTGTTTGGGGGGCTGAGGTGGGAGGATCACTTGAGCCTGGGAAATTGAAGCTGCAGTGAGCCGTGTTCATACCACTGCTCTACAGCTGGGTGACAAAGTGAGACCCTGTCTCAAAAAAAAAAAAAATCCATCATTTATTAAGCACTGAATAATGTTAGTCAAACAGGATGTTAAACTGGAAATTTTGATTGGGATTTCGAGATGCAATGTTTGGGAAATACAACACATATCATATTCCAAAGTGATTTGCTGGTCTGAGATGCAGCAATTCAAAGGAAAAGCAAATAAATAAATAAATAAATAAATAAATAAATAAAGGTTAAGCTACTCTTAAAATCTACACCCACATCAAAGTTGTATAAAATGGCAGAGTTGTTGGAAATTACAGGGAGAGAGAATTAACTTTGGAGAGAAGATATCTTTGTTTTTTTTTTTTAAATTTATTTTCTTTTTTTAGGCTAGTTGAGTGAAGCAGTGGGAGTAGAGAAGGAACAAAGACATTTGTAACTGGTTGTGATAAATTGTTTGAAAACAGCACTGCACTTTGACCAGCCAAGAGAGAAGATCTTTTTGGAGAGAGGTGTGCTGTGAGTTCTTCTCCCCAAGAGCAAGGGCTAAGGGTGCTGCCCTTGGAATCTTAAGACCATCAGCAGATGAATGGAAGACGTTGGAATTGGCCTGCATGCCCAGGTTATAAAGTGTGATATGGCCGGGCGCAGTGGCTCAGCCTGTAATCCCAGCAATTTGGGACGCTGAGGCGGGTAGGTCACTTGAGGCCAAGAGTTTGAGACCAGCCTGGCCAACATGGTGAAACCCCATCTCTACTAAAAATATAAGAATTAGCCGGGCATGGTGGCATGTGCCTATAGTCCCAGCTACTCGGGAGGCTGAGGCAGGAGAATCACTTGAACCTGGGAGGTGGAGGTTGCAGTGAGCTGAGATTGCGCCACTGCACTCCAGCTTGGGTGACAGAGTGAGATTCCATCTCAAAAAAAAAAAAAATAGTGTGATATGATCACTTTACACAAAACTAGTCTGTGACAAGTGGATAAAAATAGTATTTCATCACTATTTTACTATTTCTTTGATTCCTACCTGGACTAAACATTTACAGGCTTTGAATAACCTTTTCTATGAATGGTCTTTTCATGTCTTTGCTAAGTTTACGTACCGGTGCACTTAGAATTATCTTATAATTTGTATAAGCTCTCAATATAATTTTAGTAAGATGCTTTTTTGATATGCTATTTTGTGCTATTTTTTTCCTTTGCTTTAGAGAGAGGTGCCAAGAAAATTTCTCTTTGGACCTTAGTTTCTCTTAGGATGCTCTGCAGGCTGCTCCATTCTGGGAATCATAGGAAGGTTGCAAGGCTTCCCAGAGGCACTTAGGATAGTCCCCTTTCAGTCAAGAAGCTTCACTGGCTGGAGAATGTTCTCAAGACCCCCTCCTTGAATCCATGGAGAGCACCAGAGAATTAGGACATCTTAGCTGCTGCAGGGACCACAGTCCTGCAGAGCCAATTGCTGGCAGCAGATATTTTGGACAAGAAGGTACTAGAGTCCTGGAGAGAGTCTGAGGAAAGGAAGGCCATCTGGGAATAGGATTTTGGGTGGTGGACGTCTGTTTCAGTCCTGGGTTATGAGGATGTTTTGCACCCAGGAAGTGGTTGTTCTCATGAATAGAAAGGACTATTGTGACTGAGCCTCATGCCTTAGTGAGGGGCAGTATCTGGAACCGAGGTGACATGGTTTGGCTGTGTCCCCACCCGAATCTCATCATGAATTTCCACATGTTGTGGGAGGGACCTGGTAGGAAGTAATTGAATCATGGGGGCAGGTCTTTCCTGTGCTGTTCTCGTGATAGTGAATAAGTCTCAGGAGATCTGATGTTTTCATAGGTTTTTTTTTCTGCACAAGCTCTCTCTTGGCCTGCTGCCATCCATGTGAGATATGACTTGCTCCTCCTTGCCTTCACCATGATTGTGAGGCTTCCTCAGCCACGTGGAACTGTAAGTTCACTGAACATCTTTCTTTTGTAAATTGCCCAGTTTCAGGTATGTCTTCATTAGCAGCGTGAAAATGGACTAATACATGAGGTTGCCTCTGGCATCTCCTCTGTGAAGAGTCCAGCATTGACCCTGAGCACTGTCACTTCGAACACAGGAGACCAGTCCCTCTCTGCACACTCCCTCAGCCCTGTGAGTTACTCTCCTCACTTTGCTGCTTCCCATTCTTGGCGGTATCTCTGGAGAGACTCCTGGCTCTAGCAGTGGGGCTAGGAATGGCCATGGGGACAGGCGTCACAGTTCTCCCTGGGCCTGACGGAGAGGGGTCTGGGTTCTCTGGATTCCTGAAGGGACGTGGAGCAGATTCCCATCATGCTGTGGCGGGGAGTCTGTGCTATTCTCCCAGCCAAGAGGAGAGGACATCCCGAAATCACCACAAATTCTGGGATGAAGGCTGTCTGAGGAAATGAAGCAAACACACACAAACACACAAAGACATACAAATACACACTCACACTTATACATACGTGCACACACACATTCTTCTGTGGGTAAGCTTGTGCTTCAGCTACTTTGGGCAGGAGAGCAGGGGGGTTTTATTCTACCTGTCATTGCCTTCATGCCCCAGTGCTGGAAACACACTGAAGCCATTGCTCCCCCTTCAGATGATCTGAAAATCCCTGTTTCAGTTCACTTTGAAAACACCCCTCACTCTCAACAACAGAGGGTTGGTTATTCTGCAGAACTCATTCTTTAACAGCAGGCCTGCTGCTGCTCCAGCTGCAATTCTTTTCCCCTTCATGAAGGCTGCCAGGAATGAAAAGGGGAGGGAAAAGAAGTAGGTGGTGGCAGGAGGCTGGGCCAGGGAAGTGTGGGACCCCACAGGCTCCAGCCTGAGGACTCCTCTCTCGGCCTCTCTCCCCTGTTGTGAATGCTTCTGCTGAAAGCCACTGGGTGAGTGCAGGGACAGAGAGCCACTGAGCTGGCTCAGGGCCTCGTGGTGGTGGTGGTGGTGGTAGGGGGGCTGCTCTGGGTTCTCGAGAGGCTTCTCCAACTCTGACATGATCATACCTGAGGATATTATCGAAATTCAGATATGACTTAGGAGGCCTGGGATACGGCCCGAGATTCTGCATGCCTGGTGATGCCAGTGTTGCTGCTCTGTTGCCACACTGGATAAAAGCATCTAGAAGGTATTCCAGGCCAGATGGGGTGGGCATTCCCTCCCTCATACCTTAACTCTTTGACATGGATTCTGCCACCAACAGAATCCTGGACGTTTTCTCCCAAGAGATGATAAGAAAAATTCACACCAAAATCATGATGGAATTTCAAAATCTGTTTGGATATTAGAAAATTTCTCCAAACCCTGGCCTTTCCTTCCTCTCCCAACTCTTGAGCTCACAGGTGTTGCTTCACTGACTAAAATCCTGACAGAGCTCCAATTCTACTACCTCCCAGACAACTTTATTTGCAAGCTGTTTCTCTACTCAGAAACAGGGGTGTCCCTTCAGCCGAGCTTTTCCAACAATGCTGAGCTGGGGGCTTTGGTACATCTCCCCCTCCTTCTCAGCCTCAGCTCTCTAGGTCCTGAAGTTTGACCTGGGGGCCCTGTCCACCGTGGGGCAAAGCTGCAGACTTGTTGATGAGAGGAGGATGTGGGTCTTAGGGAAAGAGAAAGGTGAGCTGGGGACAGCTGGACCAGATTGGAGAGACCACAGGGTCCCTGAAAAGCAGGGGGTAAGGGGGTAGGAGGCTATCATATAGGGAGGTCCCTTTGGTATGCAGACTTTGGGACAGAAAGCACAGTTTTGTCTGAACCCTCCAGAAGGCCCTGAAAGCATGGGACATAAGCATTGTGTTGGCGATAACAGCTGCAGGTGAAGGCAGGTGAATGACAAGGAAGGGTGCTTAGGGTTAGATATGAGAGCTCCAAACCAAGGGGCCCTGGGCAGGTCCTTTTGTTCTACTGTTGCCCCTCTCTCCTTTCCAAAACCCCAAAGCTCTGTGGTGAGCTCTGGAGACCTCAGCTTTGTTCTGAGAGCCTCTGAGAGGATTTAGGTGTCTCTTCATGGGCCTGGGGTGGGAATGGGAGAGACAGAAAGAAAGGGGACACTAGGTACGGCCTCTGGAAATGATTTGAATCCCTGACCCTTGAAATATGTCAGACCCACCCTGTGTGAAATTCCACGTCTGCTGGAAATGTGACGGAAATGTGTTTAGAGGGTGCTGGACCTGCACTTCGAAATAAAACAAGGCTGACAGCAAGACTTGAGAATTTACCTAATGATCATCTAGTCTGATAACTCTCAAGAGAGGAAGGACAGAAACCCTCAGAGCCCTGGGGATGCTTCCCATAAATCCAGGGACACCCCCCCTAGACTTACAAGATGGGGCAGGGCTGCAGGTATCCTCACAGATGGGGCTGGTTGAGGGAGGATGCGTGACCAACCTAGATGAACTCAAACTCTGACTCTTAATGGCTCAAAATATAGTGTCTTGCAGTTGGTGAATGATGACATATTTCTCTGGTCAATTGAGACCCTTAGAATTGTCCCTGGGACTCATCTCAACCCATCCTTCTGACTGAGACCACAGGGGAAGTCCAAATTACAGGGAAGATAATTTGGGGAACAAATCCTTGAAGAAGCAGGAAAGATGAGACCCAAGGACACAGATTTGGAAGGCAGAGTAAACTTGGATAACTGTAGGTCCACTTCTTTCTCTACAATGTTAGAAAAGGAAGTAAATATTAAGATAAGAGAAAGTAGTATCTGTGGGGTTTCACATCAGTGTCTCTATTTTCTCTTTGGAGTAAGAGGTTTTCGTGGTGTCTTAGTCTGTTTGGGCTACTATAACAAAATACCTTAGAGAGGGTAATTCATAAATAAGAGATATTTATTTCTCAAAGTTCTGGAGGCTGAGAAGTCCACGATCCAGGCACCAGCAGATTCAGTGTCTGGCAAGGGCTTGTTCCTCTTAGATGGCACCTCTTGTGTATCCTCACACAGTGGGAAGGGATGGAGGGGCTCCCTGGAGCATCTTTTATAAGAGCACTAATCTCATTCATGAAGGTTCTTTCCTCAAGGCTTAATCACCTCTGGTTTGATACAGTTTGTTTGTTCCCACCAAATCTCATGTTGTAATTTAATCCCTATAGTTTGATGGTGTTGGGAGGTGGGGTCTAGGGGGAGGTGTTTGGGTCCTGGGGGCAGATTCCTCATGAATAACTTGGTGCCATTCTTGTGGCAGTGAGTGGGTTATCGCTTCTGTGAAACTGGATTCATTCTTGAGGGAATGGATTAGTTCCCTCAAGAGTGGGTTGTTGTAAAGCCAGGATGCCCCTTGGGTTTGGTCCCTCTTCCCCTTTGACCTTCCCTGCCATGTTTTGACACAGTATGGAAACCCTCAACAGAAGCTAAGCAGATGTGCAGGCTGCAGAGCTGTGAGTCAAATAAACCTCTTTATAAATCACCCAGCCTCAGGTTCTCCTTTGTGGCAACACAAAATGGACTAAGACACTTGGTAAGGGCTCCACCTCTTAGTACTATCACACTGAGTACAGCACTTCCACCTTTCCACCTCTTAATACTATCACATTGAGTACAGCACTTCCACCTTATCTGTGGGAGATATGTTCCAAGACCTCCAGTGGATGCCTGAAATTGTGGATAGTACCAAACTCCATATATACTATGTTTTTTTTCCCCATATGTACATCCCTATGATAAAGTTTAATTACAAATTAGCACAGTAAGAGATTAACAACAATAACTACTAAGAAAATAGAACAATTGTGGCTGGGCATGGTGGCTCATGCCTGTAATCCCAGCACTTTGGGAGGCCGAGGCAGGTGGATCACAAGGTCAGGAGACTGAGACCATCCCGGCCAACATAGTGACCCTGTTTCTACTAAAATACAAAAAATTAGCCCGGCGTGGTGGTGCGCCCCTATAGTCCCAGCTACTCAGCAGGCTGAGGCAGGGGAATTGCTTGAACCTGGGAGGCAGAGATTGCAGCGAGCCAAGATCGTGCCAGTGCACTCCAGCCTGGTGACAGAGCGAGAGTCCGTCTCAAAAAAAAAAAAAAAAAAAAAGAAATAGAACAACTGGAACAATTGTAACAATATGCTGGCATCACTACTCTTGCTTTTTGGGGCTATTCTTAAGTAAAATAAGAGTTACTTGAACGAGTATTGATAGTTGATCTGATAACCAAAATGGCGATTAAGTCACAAACCAGCAAGGAGCGTCTACAGCGTTGGATACCCTGGACAAAGGGATGATTCACATCCTGGGTGGGATGGTGTGAGATTTCATAGTGCTACTCAGAACAGCACACAATTTAAAACATTAATTTTGTATTTCTGGAATTTTCCATTTAATATTTTTGGACCTCTGTTGACTGTGGGTAACTGAAACTGTAGAAAGTGAAATCGCAGATAAGAGGGGGGACTACTGTATTAGGTTCTAGCATATGCATCTTGATCATCATTCAGACCATACCACATGGTCTTCTGAGTGTGAGGGTAACCAGATGAGTGAGAATTTAGGCTAAATGGGGACGGTTTGAAACAGCTGCTGGGCATTGGGGAAGGCAGCTGATTAGGACAAATATAGAGATGGTGAACTTGGGCTTGTAGCATTGTGGTATTTTGGCTGGGGAACAGAGGGATTTCTGAAACTTATCCTTGATCATGGTCGCCTGTCACCATGAGGGAGATAATATGCCCAAGGAACAATGGCAAGTGGGGGTCAAAAATCTGAATTTCTATCTAGTCAGTTCTGGCTCTGGCCCCAAATCCTATAGTATGTAATTCTGGTAAATTCTGCTGGGTTACCTTCCAAATGTTCTCTTCTTCCTCAGCTTGTAAGGCCTAAGAGCATCAGACTAAAGCAAGCCTCGATGCTTGCTCTGTTCATTTCATCCATCACATCTAGCCCCATAACCTAACTACCTCTCAACTTTACCACTGTGATGGGAGAAGAGGACATCCAGACACACCTGTGATCATCCAAGGGCATGGAGGAAGAGAAAAGAAGACCGCAAGAGAATGCACATTCCCTCTCAGCATCAGCACTAATTTGCTTAAGATGATGCTGTAGGAGCACCAGGCCTGGCAGCCATCAGCTGGGGAAGCAATACCTTTCAAAGGAAAATTAACAAAACATCCCAGTCTACTCTCTTACGTT
The DNA here is from genome assembly GCF_000001405.40 of Homo sapiens. Taxonomy (NCBI): domain Eukaryota; kingdom Metazoa; phylum Chordata; class Mammalia; order Primates; family Hominidae; genus Homo; species Homo sapiens. The sequence goes on along the minus strand of NC_000007.14, from coordinate 99,929,965 downwards.
CAGCCTTTGGGAAAGAGAGACGGAGGGAAGGAGGGAAAGAGAGAGATGAAGATGTATCCTGGTCTCTCCAACCTGAGAGTTCCTCTCCACTCCAGCAGTACAGAAGGGGAGGGCAGAAGAGAGAGCCACACCACACACACTCACTGTTATTATTTTACATAGATGATTTCATTAAGTAGTAAAGAGGTGCAATCAGAGTCTTGGTATTTAATCAGTCAGATACTTGGAGAGGAATAAAAAAGCTTGCCTTCAGTGATCCTTGGATTAGGAGTGACAAGGTGGACTGGAGCTCCCTCTGAAGGACAGTGAACAACACTGATCTCTTGTCCTCTGCTCCAAAACAGGATGTGTGGCAGGTTCCTGCGGCGGCTGCTGGCGGAGGAGAGCCGGCGCTCCACCCCCGTGGGGCGCCTCTTGCTTCCCGTGCTCCTGGGATTCCGCCTTGTGCTGCTGGCTGCCAGTGGGCCTGGAGTCTATGGTGATGAGCAGAGTGAATTCGTGTGTCACACCCAGCAGCCGGGCTGCAAGGCTGCCTGCTTCGATGCCTTCCACCCCCTCTCCCCGCTGCGTTTCTGGGTCTTCCAGGTCATCTTGGTGGCTGTACCCAGCGCCCTCTATATGGGTTTCACTCTGTATCACGTGATCTGGCACTGGGAATTATCAGGAAAGGGGAAGGAGGAGGAGACCCTGATCCAGGGACGGGAGGGCAACACAGATGTCCCAGGGGCTGGAAGCCTCAGGCTGCTCTGGGCTTATGTGGCTCAGCTGGGGGCTCGGCTTGTCCTGGAGGGGGCAGCCCTGGGGTTGCAGTACCACCTGTATGGGTTCCAGATGCCCAGCTCCTTTGCATGTCGCCGAGAACCTTGCCTTGGTAGTATAACCTGCAATCTGTCCCGCCCCTCTGAGAAGACCATTTTCCTAAAGACCATGTTTGGAGTCAGCGGTTTCTGTCTCTTGTTTACTTTTTTGGAGCTTGTGCTTCTGGGTTTGGGGAGATGGTGGAGGACCTGGAAGCACAAATCTTCCTCTTCTAAATACTTCCTAACTTCAGAGAGCACCAGAAGACACAAGAAAGCAACCGATAGCCTCCCAGTGGTGGAAACCAAAGAGCAATTTCAAGAAGCAGGTGAGAAGGACACGCTCTCTTCCTGTCACTGATGTTTGTGTCCTGATGATCTCCTCCCGGGGCAGGTCCCTCACCTTTCTGGGAAGTACAACTTCTGCATGTTACAAAGTAGGTAACCAGGTTCTAGGCAGATGTGTTCTGACCGCCACTCCCAACCCTTTTCTTTGTTCTCTCTTGCTCTCAAAATCTATCCCAATGTCCATCCCCATCAACTTGATGGTTCCTTCCAGCGAACAAGGACAAGAGTGCTAGTCCGTTGTCCCTCCTGAACTTCCATTTAGGTCTCTCTCCACTTAGGAAAAATCTCAGCTTCTTCTTGATTCTCTACTTTGCAGAGTTATAAAGACACCTGACTTGCCTGAAGGAAACTCTGTGATTGAATCTTCTTTCCAACATCCAGTGAGTGGGGATTCATGTCTGTGACAAATTAGAGGCTGTTGAAGGATCTCTAAGGGCCCCTTGGGCCATGTAGTCTAAAGCATTTCCTGACTGTGCCTTTTCACTGGAATTTTCTGGTGTCAGCATCACAATTTTTATGGGCTTGGTTCAAGAGTCAGCCGGGAGAAGCCTCCCTAAACTGTGTCTCTCCCCTGTCCTGCTCAATAAATATTGATGACTGCTGTTGGCATTCCTGTTGCTGAAGATAATGCCCCTTCCTGTCTCACTGGCTTCATTTACCTCTTTTCTGTTTTTCCACATTCTCTGCTCCCCTTATCATCAAAGTTTTGTAAATGAATGCCCCTCAGACCTGCAGCACATGTCATAAGCCAGAAACTCTGGGCTTCAAGCATATATAAGTCAGTGTCCTCTAATATCTATAGATTTATCCAAATACCCGGCCATATCCTTAAGGAAAATTACTGTGAATTCAGGGGCTTAGGCCCCCTTGATCACTGATAGCTCTGATTTCTGCTCAATTCTCATTCTTCATTTCTGCAGTTCTCGTTGCAGCTTGTTACAATTGTCTCCAGAACTGCAGCAACTCATGCTGGACCAAGTTCCTACTCTTTAATTTCATAACCCTCAATACCACACAGAAAAAGCAGTAGAGTTCTACTGCTGATATGCTGATTTGGGAGTAACAGCAAGGGAGGCTGACATCACAGTGTGATTCGGCGGGTAACTGCAATCTGAATATCAGTCTTCTCGAGTCTCTTAGTCATTTCTGTTGGACAGTGTTGTTCTATCCCTTTTTTTTTTTAACAGAACGCTGCCCTCTTTTCTTAGTTTTCTCTTGCCCTGAAATTCTCAACAAAGGCAGTTATCTATTTTTTTTTCTCTTTCTGAATCCCAAATTATCCCCAAGTAAGTTAGGGGATCCCAAGGGATGCTTTGGCAATAGCTAGGAAATTTTTTTTTTCTTCCTGCTACACAAGTGCTTCATAAGAATCCCTCATCCACTGTAGCCAGAGCCCAGCCAAAGTGACCAAGGAAAAACGCAAATAGCATCATTTGGAATTCTTCCTTATACCACCCCCTTTTAAAACAGCTTTATTGAGATATAATTCATACACCATATAATTTATCCACTTAAAGTGAGGCAGGAGAATAGGTTCTGGAGGAAGGGAACCTAAGGCTGTTTCACGCCAACTTCCTAGGACTAAATTGAAAGGAAAACTCTAACTTTCCTTGCCTAAGTAACACAAGGACCAGAGGCTACTCCCTTTGCAACACCCCCACCTTTTCTGTGCAGCAGATGGGAAATTGCCTGTCCCCAACAAATCAGGCTGTTTGCAGATGAGTCTTCCTTTGCAACTTCGTAACTTCTTCCTAGCCTCTGATTGGTTGCTTTCTGCAAAGCATGAACTGGCCAAAGGGAAACTTCTAGTGGGTACTGGGACCCAAGAAGATTGTGTATCCGTGCCCTTGAACCGCTGCTCGGATTGCTCCCACACTGTGGCGTGTACTTTGGTTTTCAATAAATCCCTGCTTTCGTTCTTTTGTTGCTTCATCCTTTCTTTGCTTTGCTAGGAGTTTTGTCCAATTCCTTGTTCAAAACGCCAAGAACCTGGACAACTTGCAGTCACTATCCTCTACCAGTGACAAAAGTATACAATTAAATAGCCTTTAGTATATTCAGAGTTGTATATCCATCAACACTACCAATTTAATAACATTTTCATCAACTTAAAAAAACCCTACCCCCTCATGTTACTCTCAAACTCTTATTAGCACCCAAAACATGCAACCATCATATGGTTTTGTCTCTATTGGTTTTCCTACTCTTTCATACAAATGGAATCATGCAATATGTGGTCTTTCATGTCTGGCTTCTTTCACTGAGCATAACTTGAGGTTCATTCATGTTGTGGCATGTTTCAGTATTACATTCCTTTATATGGTTGAGTGTTATTCCACTGTTAGGATATACCACATTTTGTTTAAGGAGATACCACATTTTGTTTATACATTCTTCAGTTTCAGGACATTTGGGTTGTTTCCATTTTTTGGCTCTTATGACCACTGTTGCTATGAACATATGTGTACCACTTTTTTTTTTTTTTTTGGGATGGAGTCTCACTCTGTCACCCAGACTGGAGTGCAGTGGTGTGATCTTGGCTTATTGCAACCTCCACTTCCTGGGTTCAAGCGATTCTCCTGCTTCAGCGTCCTGAGTACCTGGGACTACAGGTGCGCACCACCACACCCAGCTAATTTTTGTATTTTTTGTAGAGACAGGGTTTTGCCATGTTGGCCAGGCTGGTCTCAAACTCCTGACCTCAGGTTATCTGCCTGCCTCAGCTTCCCAAAGTGCTGGAACAACAGTCCTGAGCCACCACACCTGGCCCCAGTTTTAGTGTTGTGTAAACACATGTTGTCAGTTCTCTTGCATAAATAACCAGGAATAGAATGTCTGGGTCATAAGGAAACTCCACGTTTCAACTTTTGAGGAACTGCCAAACTCTTTTCCACAGCAGCTGCACTATTTTTACATTCCTACCAGCAATGTGGGAATACTTTTTATTTATCTATTAAATTCTAGCCATCCTAGTGGGTGTGAAGTGGTATCTCATTGTAGTTTTGATTTGCACTTGCCTAATGGCTAATTACATTGAACATTTTCCATGTGCTTAGTGGTTATTTGTATATCTTCTTTGGAGAAATGTCTATTCAAATCCTTTTCCCATTTATAAATAGAGTTTTTTGTATTTTTGTTGTTGCATTGTAAGAGCTCTTTATATATTGTGGGTATTAGATACTTATTGTATGTATGATTTCCAAATATCTTCTCCCATTCTATGATTGTCTTTCACTTTCTTGATAGTGATGCACAAAAGTTTTAAATTTTAATGAAGTCTAACATCCAATTTTTTCTTTTGTTGCTTATGATTTTTGTGTATTACCTAAGAAACTATTGCCTAATTCACAGCCATAAAGATTAATGCCTATGTTTCCATAAGAGTTGTATAGTTTCAGCTCTTACATTTAGGTCTCTGGTTGGTTTTGAGTTAATTTTTGTGTATGGTGTAAGATAAATGTCAAACTTTATCTTTTGCATGTGGATATTCAATTGTCTCAGCACTATTTCTTTTTTAAAAACTTTTTTTATTTAAATGGGTACATAGTAGGTTATATATTTATGGGGTATACAAGGTATTTTGATACAGGTATGCAATGTGTAATAGTCACATCAGGGTAAATGGGGTATTTATCACCTCAAGCCTTCAGCCTTTGTTATAAATAATCCAATTATACTAGTTATTTTATAATGTACAATTATTTTTGACTGTAATCACCCTGTTGTGCTATCAACTACTAATTCTTATTCATTCTATTTTTTGTACCCATTAACCATCTCCACTTTCCCCCTACTACCCTTCCCATCCTTGGTAATCATCAGAGAAGATATACAGATAATAAGAAAGCATATGAAAAGATGTTTAACATCATTTATCATTAGAGAAATGAGAATGATTGACTTTAGGGTTAGGGAAGAGAAATACAAGATAAGACTGGAGGATTTTGTAGCGGTAGAAAGTAAGAAAGTGCTACTCCCTCTTCCCCACAAAATGACAGGAGTTTGTCAAAGGGACACAGATGTCAACTGAAAAAGTTCCCAATGGCCAACACAGGAATAATCTGAGCAGTAAAATAAACAACATAGTATTGGATTATACCCAAAGTATAAAATAGGAATCCATGAATTCATAATATAAATAATTGAATAAATAGGAGATAACTGACAAATTTCTCATGCAGAAGAATGTAGATACTCCACCGCAAGGAGGGGAAATATAACTACTCACTTTTTTTTCTTTTGAGATGGAATTTTGCTCATCGCCCAGGCTGGAGTGCAATGGCAGGATCACTGCAATCTCTGCCTCCCAGGTTCAAGCAGTTCTCCTGCCTCAGCCTCCTGAATAGCTGGGATTACAGGCGTGCACCACCATGCCTGGCTAATTTTTGTATTTTTAGCAGAGACGGGGTTTCACCATGTCGGCCAAGCTGGTCTCGAACTCCTGACCTCAGGTGATCCACCCACTCAGCCTCCCAAAGTGCTGGGATTACAGGCGTGAGCCACCGTGCCCACCAACTACTCCCTTTTTAGGCATGGGCTGCACATAGTGACTTCCCACTAAACAGTAAAATAGGGGGAGGGGAAAGAATAACTTTACAGGGAGAAACCCATCAAATACTACCTCAGCCGGGTGATCAAGGTTAACATCAACAGTGATGAGCAATGTTGACAGCATGTGCCCCGGATATGATGTGATGACGGTTTTTGTATTTTCCCGTTCTAAAATTTCCATGGGGCTATTCTTTGTATTTTCTATTACTTCTCTGAGACTTTTAAACTTTCCATTTGAATAGCAGCTTTATAGTCTTGATAATTCCAACATGTGTGGCAACTTACATTCTGCATCTGTTACATTTTTTCCCAACGTGAGTTGAGATTTTCCTGGTTCTTCACCTGCCAATTAATATCGATTGTATCCTGGACATTTTGAATGTCATTAGGATGCTCTGGGTCTTGGTTAAATTTGGTGGAGGATGTTGATATTTATGTTTTAAAGGGTAATTAACCCATTTGGGTTCAAGTCATAAGTTTTGACCAGCCTTCTGAGGGTTGTGGTTCCAATGTCAGTTCAGTTTTCAAAGCCTTTGTAGTACTCTTCTGATAGGTCCCACATGGGTGGCACCTAAAGTGTAACCCAGGGTCCTTGGGTTTTGGGTACGCACTGTGAAAAAGTTACACACTTGTAACTGTTACATCTTGAATTTTTGTTTTAAAAAGTTCCAGGAAGAAGCTTAGCCCAGGAAAAACAAAGACCAGTTGGACCCAGAGATGCCTGAGTTGGAGATGAACTTTGGCCAACTTTCCTCATCACCATACTTAAAATCCTGTCCAAGGAGGAGCTTATTCACCATTTTCTATACATGTGACATATGTAGCAGCATAACCGACAACTGGGACTGCGCTGCCTTGACTCCACCTCTACATACAATGACTCAGCTAACCAGACTAATAAAAGCCATGTTTGCACCATTGCTCAGGGAGGCATTGCTTTGGGGAATTATTCCCAGTGTCCTCCTTACTTATCGCAAGTAATAAAATCCCCCTGGGAAATCCTCCTTGGTTGTGGTCATTGGACTGTCCCCTGCCAAGCAATTTAACCCATTCATTGTGTGGGTAACAAAAGGCCAGTCTGGGACATGAGATCTGGGTCTACAGTTTAGTTCTCAAAGTCTTTGGCATGCAATTTAGGACCAGATTCATCATACCAAAAAAGGGAGATAGTCTCAACAGAATTCTCAAATTACTTAAATATCAGAGGCAGTGTAGAGAAGGAGTACTTGGTGGTATGGTAGGTTTTCTGACAGGAAACAAAAGATGGAGGTAAAATGGAACCAGTACTTTCTTTCTGAGAATACTGACTGCACCAACCATAACATGAAGCGAAGGCTATATCTCCCTGAAGTAAGAAATGTAATAAAGGAAACTTTCAGAAATAATAGATCATCTGGAGATGTTGGGCAGTGTATTTGGTAAGTTATAACTACCAGGTATCAATACAATAAGCTTAGTTTGAATACAATAAGCTTAGTTTCTTTTTAAAGAATTTATCCTGCTCTGTGTTCTCTGAGCTCCTTGGATTGGTTTGGTGTCTTACAAATTTTGGAAATTCTCAGCCATTATTTCTTGATTTTTTTTTTTTTTTTGAGATAGAGTCTTGCTCTGTCGCCCAGGCTGGAGTGCAGTGGTGTGATCTCAGCTCACTGCAAGCTCCGCCTCCCGGGTTCACGCAATTCTCTTACCTCAGCCTCCCGAGTAGCTGGGACGACAGGTGCCTGCTACCATGCCCGGCTAATTTTTTTGAATTTTTAGTAGAGACGGGGTTTCACTGCGTTAGCTAGGATGGTCTCGATCTCCTGACCTCGTGATCTGCCTGCCTCGGCCTCCCCAAGTGCTGGGATTACAGGGGTGAGCCACTGCGCCTATTTCTTGATTTGATGTTGATATTTTCCCACCAGTCTTGGATGCTGTGTTCTGTTTCTGTCACTCTTTTTGTGTGTGTGTGTGTGTGTGTTTCAGCAATTTCTATTTACCTACCTTCAAGTCTGATTTTTTCCTCAACTGTGTTCAGTCTCCTAATGGGCCCATGGAGGGCATTCTTCATCTCTATTATTATATTTTTTATTTTTATAGTTTCCATTTTATTTTTCCTGATAGTTTCCATCTATTTGCTAAAATCACCCATCTGAGCTTGCATTTTGTTCACCTTTCCCCTTAGGGCCTTCATCACATTAATCACAGTTATTTAAAATTCTCTCATATTTCTAATGTCTATGTCTTATGAATCTGGTTCTAATGATTGTTTTATCTCTTTGGACTGTGTTTTTTCTTGCCTTTCTGTATGCGTCTTTTTTTCTTTCTGTTAAAAGTTAGTCATGTTGTATTTTTTTTGCTTAAATTATTTTTTCAATTCTCTCTTCACAGTATGAAGTAAAGATTGTTTTTATGCTTGGAGATGAGTGTGTCTTTCCTTCTGCTAGGCCTTTAGTGCTCTTGAGTGCATAGCAGTGGTTCGGTGGTATCAGTCTAGTCAGAAATTGGGCTAGGTTTACAGTTTGTTGTTGTGGTTATCCTCAGTGCACAACAGACTTCAAATTTCTCTAGAGATAGCTTATGTGTAGGGTGTGGACTTTATTTTGAAAGTGTGTTTTAAAGAGGTCTGTATGGATGTCAACTCGATGCAGAGTGGACAGTGGTAATTTTGTAATATATCAACTTTGCTAAGCTAAACTATGTTTCCCAGAATTTCCTTTCCTTTTGTTTCTGGTTAGAATAGCCCAACAGAGACATGGTTGTGTAAGTCTTGAAGGGGAGAACTGAAGCATCCCTCCAGTTTTATACTTGAAACGGTGGTGCAGGGACACTAGGTGCTACTGCGGCTCATCTACTTTGTCACCAATCAGCTGGTTCACCTTGTTGGGATGGGGCAGAAGCTTTTCCCTGAGTCTTCCTTCACCTTTTTTGATTCCTGAGCTGTGTGTGTGTCTAGTCCTGTGGCAAAAAGTGTCAGCTCCTCTAGCAAGGATACTCATATCTTTAAAGTTGGAGACAGTGAAAGAATGACCAGCTCGTGTCTTAGGTTCCAACTCATTTTTGCTCTTCCCTACTTTATGTTCATCTTCCCTTCTTAACTGCTTGCCCTGCGAACATAAAGAAACATAGTGATTCCACTTCTCTGAATGAACCTTGGCTGGTATACAGACTTATAGACATTTTGTGATGGAGAAAAATTGTTAATTAGGGAGCCTCACTTAGTAAAGAAGGAAGGTCATCTCTGGTATGGCAGGAATAAAGACATAAGGATTTTAAGGGATTTACCTGAAAAGATTTAAATGACTACTGTAAGGGGAATAAATACTTTGCAGGAATGCTGAAACTTCTCATTCAATACTTAGGTAAACATATAGACACACAGATGCCATAAACACTCATGGTAAACATCAGTAACTGTTAAGAGCATTCCTTCCTGCTTGGTCCCTATTAAAGAACCAGATCCCTTCTCCATAGAGTATTCCAATTTGCAAAGAAAATCCATTCATTAGTTGTCCAATTTAAATGTTTTAGAAATATTCAGTGGAACTTTCATCAATAACCCCCAAACAGATACCTCAAGAACCCCTTTTTCTAATCATTTAATCATACTACTTACTGAGAAAAATTATTATAGGAAAGGCAGTATTTGATATTGGGACATAAAAAGAATGAAAAATCTGTTAAATAAGCAAAAGCCCATTAGCCTGAGGCTGTCTTGGTACTTGAGTTCCCATATAACAAAATACAACCTGACTTAGTATGTAAACGAACTGAAGCCTAACTTACTTTATTTTTTATAACAGCTGGGTTTCAGCCAATCACGGCCGAGCTTCAGCAAATAACAGACAGCCAACTGATCAGACCATGCCCCAATAAGGCAAATGCCTCATCATATCATTGTCAAATAAGGCAGACACCTAGATGTTAGCTAATGAGGTGATTTCTCTACTTTGCTTCCTATAAAAGCTAGCAGGTCATACTGCTGGACAGAGCTCTCTGAACCTCTTTTGGTTCTGAGTGCTGCCCAATTCATGAACTGTTCTTTGTGCAAATAGCTTCTATTAAATTTGTCAGTCCAGAGTTTTTTTTGTTTTAAACAAATATTCACAAGAAAAGGAAGAAAGTGGGAAGAATAAAAAGCAAAGCACCTCAGAAACACAAGATCGAAAATCCACTTAAGGGATATAGATAATTCCCTGAAACAGGTGAGCATATTATTTGTTGAAAGCCTCCATGGATGTTCTTTGGGATAGCAAAATGGTTGCTACTTTTCAAATTGGATACCAAAAAGGCAATGTATCTGCATCTCAGAATCCAAATCATCCCCACGTTAGCCAAACTCCAGGCCTACCAACACAGATCCTTCAAGTCTTCCTGGCCTTCCAGGCCCCTAGGCTGCAGCTCGCCCAGAACTCCTGGGACTCTAAAACTTAAATCGGTCTAACCAGCAGGCGAACACAGACCTGAACCCTCAAACTTGGAAAGAAAGATCATAGGCACCTCCCCGGTTGGCTCCCCCAGGGACCACAACGTCCGGCTCTAACGCCTTGCCCAAGTCCTCTGTAGCTTTCCACAGGCATTTCTGGGTCTCTATAGCTGTTTGGAGGAGCCACTCACCGGTCCCGTCCTGCCCCGCGCCTAGGCCTGAACCAACCCCCTCGCGGTTCCGGCGCGGATACCCAGCAGCTTCCGGTCTTGCGCGCTCAGGCCGGGCAACGTCCGTGCGTTCTTTTTGGGTCCTGAACCCCGGAAGAGAAACTGCGTTGTACCCTTTTACGTGAGGCGGTGACGGCGGTTCGGAAGTCGTCTGGCCTCCCCGCGGCCGCTCGCAGCTTGCTGGCCTCTCCCGCGCCTCACGTCGGACTCCGTCTCCGCGGCAGGGAAGCAGCATGGAAGCTGAGGACATCCAGGAGGAGTTGACCTGCCCCATCTGCCTGGACTATTTCCAGGACCCGGTGTCCATCGAGTGCGGCCACAACTTCTGCCGCGGCTGCCTGCACCGCAACTGGGCGCCGGGCGGCGGCCCGTTCCCCTGCCCCGAATGTCGGCACCCATCGGCGCCCGCCGCGCTGCGACCCAACTGGGCCCTGGCCAGGCTGACTGAGAAGACGCAGCGCCGGCGCCTGGGCCCCGTGCCCCCGGGCCTGTGCGGCCGCCACTGGGAGCCGCTGCGGCTCTTCTGCGAGGACGACCAGCGGCCAGTGTGCCTGGTGTGCAGGGAGTCCCAGGAGCACCAGACTCACGCCATGGCACCCATCGACGAGGCCTTCGAGAGCTACCGGGTGAGCTGGCCGTCGCGGTGACTATGACGGGGCTGTCAGTGTTGCCCGATAAAGTTTACTTAATGCTCCTAAAAGAGCCACGAAGTGGCTGTCATTCCTACTGGAAGCATGAAAAGCCCCTGAAACTCAAAGAAGTTAAGCAAAACACGAATTTCAGAGCTAGGGTTAAAACTGGAATGAGAGGAGGGGAGGTGCAAACCTCAGCAATCATTGTGCAGAATTTTCAATAAACTGGCCCTTGGGGAGCTCATAATAAAGAAAAACATACTGAGAGGGTGTGTGCCGCTGCTGTCCAATAGAAACCACATATGTAATTTAAAATCTTTCTGGTAAGATAAGGAAACGAGGTGACGTTAATTGTAATAATATATTTTATTTAATCTGATTACCCCAAATATTCAAAGCTGAGATGAAAATTATCAATGAGATTTTTTTTTTTTTTCTGAGATGGAGTCTCACTTTATTGCCCAGGCTGGAGCACAGTGGCGTGATCTTGGCTCACTGCAACCTCCTCCTCCGGGGTTCAAGCAGTTCTCCTGCCTCAGCCTCCCGAGTAGCTGGGATTACAGGCACACGCCACCACACCCGGTTAATTTTTGTTTTTTAGTATAGAGGGGTTTCACCATCTTGGCCAGGCTGGTCTCGAACTGCTGACCTCAAGTGATCTGCCCCGCTTGGCCTCCCATAGTGCTGGGATTAAGGTGTGAGTCACCACGCCCGGCCTCAATGAGATATTTTATACTCCTTTTTCATAATAGGTCTGAAATTGGTGTGTATTTTACATTTACAACACATAGCAGTTTGGAATATCCACGTTTCAGGTGCTTGTATGGCTAAATGGATACTGTATTGGACAGTGCCTGTCTGTATCTGTAAATGTCATAGACAGCTGATGATTTGGGAAAAGCCTAGCTTGTAATGATGAGGCTGGGTTTTGTTACTAGCTTCCTTCATCAGTTGGGAAAATCCTGTAACATTTGAATTTGGGGATTATCTGTCCTATCTCATGGGTTAAGAAGCTCCGGTTGAATAAATCACTTTACCTTACTCTGCTTCAGCCATACTGGCTTTCTTGCTTTTGTTTCAAGTCTGTTCTCTTTCTCTACCCACATCTATCCTTTAGATCCTTTTAGCTTTTAGCTTGAAGACCTTCCCTGATCATCCTTTCCAGAGTAGCCCCACCCCCTCCCATTACTGATGGTGTAACTCCAGTGGTCTCCAGCAGAATTGATATGCAGTAAGTACATGAACACATGAATTTATTTATTTATTTTATTATTATTGTTTTTGAGATGGAGTTTCGCTCTTGTTGCCCAGGCTGGAATGCAGTGGTGAGATCTCAACTCACTGCAACCTCCACCTCCCGGGTTCAAGTGATTCTCCTGCCTCAGCTTACCGAGTAGCTGGGATTACAGGCACCTGCCAGCATGCCCAGCTAATTTTGTATTTTTAGTGAAGACAGGGTTTCACTATGTTGGTCAGGCTGGTCTCGAACTCCTGACCTCAGGTGATCCACCCACCTTGGCCTCCCAAAGTGCTGGGATTACAGGCGTGAGCAAGCTTTCCTGGCCAAACACATGAATTTAATGACACAGTGAAAATGTTTGGAAACTGTAAAATACTGTACAGTTGTACCAGCTGACTATGAACAGGAAACAGACACAAAGCTGGACTAGAAAGTGTATGTTCATTCCTTCACTCAGTAACGTTTATTGATGCTTACTATTTGCCAAACATTGTTTTAGAATCTGGACATAAGTGGATGAGAAAGACATGGGCTTTGTCTTGTAAGGAACTTAAGCGTGTACAACATTAATTTCAGTGTGTGTGAGAGTAGCTGAAGTATTTACCAAGTGTACAGAAGGTCTGAGGTCGGAGTGATCACTGAGGAGTGAGGAAAGGCTCCGTTGAGGAGTTAAATGTGTTAGCTCTTCAAGGGTGAGTAGAGGTAGGAAAGAAGGTATTTCAGGCCAAAGGAACAGCATATTCCAAATGTGGTGGAGTGGGATAGCATGTGGTGTGTGAGAGGACTGGAGGTTGCTCAGTACTTCTGGAGCATGGAGCATGGGAAGGAGGATGGTGGGCCATGAGCTTGAAGAAAAAGGCAGGGCCTTATCATGAAGGATCTTGTTTGCCATAGTAAAAAGATTGAACTTTCTCTTTCAGGCAGTGGGGAGTTATAAAAGGGTTTTAAGGCAGGGAATGATATGATCGTTTTTTTTGTTTTAGACAGGTAACTTTGACATCCACGTGGATGAATGGAAGAGAAGACTAATTAGGCTGCTCTTGTACCATTTTAAGCAGGAGGTAATAAAGACCTGAATTAGTTCAGGGCAGGGATGATGGAGAGGGAGGGATGGAGTGATAATGAGCTGGAGTTGAATGACTTGGTGATCAATTAGACTTGGTGGGTGAGAGAGAGAGGAGTCTTGGATGGTAGTTCAGATTTCTGCTTCAGATGGCAGGTAGATGACTGTCAGGTTAACTGAGGTAAGGTACACAGGAGGAAGCGTAGTCTTAGGACAGAAGATCCCATGCTTGTGGAATGTACTGAGTGTGAAGTAATTGTGACAGGAAGTCCAAGGAAGAGGGACAGGAGGTGGGGTGCCTTGGAGGCTAGAGATAATATTTTAGAATCCTCAGCCTGTTCTTGAAGTCATGGAAGAAGTAAGAAGATGAGATTCTCCTAGGAGGACCACATAGAGAGTAAAAAAAGGCACAAAGAGAAGCTTGGGAAACACCAATGGTTGGTAGCCAGCAAAAGACATGGAGAGGACCCATCAGATAAATGGAAGGGAAAATACACTTGTGGGTGGGGGCCGAGGGAAATATAAGTGGATGGGTATGAAAGGGGAACATAGCCCTTAAATCTTCCATCTTCAGCAGTAATAGCTATCAGTTGTTCATTACTTCTTACGTACCACCCACAGTTCTAAGCATTTTTCATACTGTAATTCTTTAATCTTCATAGACATCCTATTAGGTGGATTCTGTTATTCCCTTTTTGAAGATGAGGCAACTGTGCCACAGAGATGTGAGGTTACATGCCCCCGAGGTCACAGAACTAGGAAGTGGCTATGCTTGAACTGAGGTCTTCTAACCCCTAATCCTTTACACTTTTCACTCTGCCACAACTAATCTGAGAAGACTTCTTAGAAGAGGTGGGATTTCAGGATTAAACACAATGGCCCAACAGGACAGGAGTGGATGGGTAAGGGTTACACTGGGATGGGCTGAATGTCACAAGGTTGACTTCGTAGGTGTTCAGGAGCCAGGTCACTGGGCGGAATTCCCTGATATCCGCCCATCTCTCCATCCTCCTCTGCTTAGTCACTGCCCTATTCAACCACCTTTCATTCCATCCCCACCCCAAGTTAGTTAGAAAAACATAAACTGCCCCTGGGTGAAGCTGCTTTATTTCCAAGCATCCCATTCTCAGCATATACTCAGATGGATGGACTGTGTTTTAAAAGTTGGATAGCTGGAAGTTCCCTAAATCCATGGAAAATATCCCCATCCTATACCCGTTATGGTGAGGGGAGAAAAAGAGAAAAGAGAAAGAGAAATAGCTTCATAAATCTCCGGATGCAAATTGTTTGCATGGAAAAGGCCTCCAAGTGCAGCTCTTTTTTCCTTCATGCCTGACTCTAGGAGCTAATCCCTCCATTCTGTTAATTAATTTAAGATGTTTATTGAGCACTGGCTTTGTGTCAGATGCTGTGGCACGGCACCAGATGCAGCACTGGGAATCCAGTGGTGAACAAGACAGGTAAAGGCTTTCCATGGAGCTCACAGTCCAGTTGGGCTGAGGGTGGGAGGTAGATAGCAGACAGACAAATAAATGAAATAATCACAGATGGTGATGGCATGCTGGGAAAGAAAAAGAAAGTGCTATCCTAGGCCAGGCGCAGTGGCTCACGCCTGTAATCCCAGCACTTTGGGAGGCTGAGACGCGAGGATCCCTTGAGGTCAGGAGTTTGAGACCAGCCTGGCCAACATGGTGAAACCCTGTCTTTACTAAAAATACAAAAATCAGCTAGGTGCGGCGGTGGGCACCTGTAATCCCAGCTAGTTGGGAGGCTGAGGCAGGAGAATTGCTTGAATCCGGGAGGCGGAGGTTGCAGTGAGCCGAGATCATGTCACTGCACTTCAGCCTGGGTGACAGAGCAAGACTCCGTCTCAAGAAAAAAAAAAGAAAAAAAGAAAAAAAGAAAAAGTGCTATGCCAGAGAAGGGAGCAGTCTTCTCTTAGGAGGTGACATTGCAGCTGAAACTTGCTGGATGCAGAGTCTGCCATCTGAGGAACTGTGGGAAGAGGCCCTGAGGCGGGGGAGAGCTGGATATGTTTATGGGGTAGGAAGAAGGTCTCTGCACCTGGAGGACCAAGAGCAAGGGGAAAGGTGGCATGCGATGTGAAACGAGATGTAGGCAGCGGTCAGCTTATGTTGGGCCACAATGAAGTGTTCAGATTTTCTTGGTGAAGAGGAAAGCCAGTGAAGAATCTTGAGCAGGAGAGTGACAATATCTGATTAGTTTTTAGAAAAGTTATTCCAAGGCCAGGTGTGGTGGCTTATGCCTATAATCCTGGCACTTTGGGAGGCTGAGGCAGGAGGATTGCTTGAGTCCGGGAGTTCAAGACCAGCCTAGGCAACTGTGAGATCCCATCTCTACAAAAAATACAAAAATTAGCTGGATGTAGTGATGCACATCTGTAGTCCCAGCTATTCGGGAGGCCGAGACTAGAGGATCACTTGCACTCAGGAGTTCGAGGCTGCAGTGAGCTATGATCGTGCCACTGTGGCTGCGTTGTGGATATTGTATGAGAGAAGGACATGACTGTAAGTAGGGAGGGCAGTCGGGAGGTTATTGTAGTTGTCAGACAAAAGATGATGGTGGCTTCAACTAGCGGTGGCAGTGGGGTTTGGCATGTAGGTAGATTTGAGGTATATTTCCAAAGTACACCTACCAGCTTGGATCAATTGCAGAAGTTACAGTGACTGAAATTCATAGAACTCAAGAGCTGGGATGGTATTTAAGAGACATTTGGTCCAGTTGTCTTCATTTTATAGTTAAGGAAGCCTTGATCCAGGAAATAAGCAAGGCTGACTTGCTCACAGATGCACAGCTGGTTTGAAGGTCTAGAGTGAAACTAAGATCTTTGGAAGTTTAATGTTGTTTGAGCTACATGATCACAAGTCAGTAAATGTCTTCATTCTATAAAAGTATGCTCTTTTATTACACTTGTGTTTTCATATACGTATAATTTTCTGGTGCTAAATTAAGAGAAAGTGATTTTTAAAAAAATTATTATTTTTATTTATTTATTTATTTATTTATTTGAGATGGAGTCTCACTGTGTTGCCCAGGCTGGAGTGCAGTGGCGCGATCCCAGCTCACTGCAACCTCCACCTCCCGGGTTCAAGCGATTTTCCTGCCTCAGCTTCCTGAGTAGCTGGGATTACAGGCGTGTGCCACCATGCCCGGCTAATTTTTTTTTGTATTTTTAGTAAAGACGGGGTTTCACCATGTTGGTCAGGCTGCTCTGGAACTCCTGACCTCGTAATCTGCCCGCCTTGGCCTCCCAAAGTGCTGGGATTACAGGCGTGAGCCACCGCACCTAGCTGAGAGAGTGATTTTTAAAATTTCTGGTATTTCTAACCCAGATTGAAATGCTTGGTGTTGCGCTCCTGCCACCTCCTGGCAGTTTCTGTTGTTGCAGGGAAAGTGTTTTCTAACTTCCACCAAGGCTGTCAAGTTAACTCACCTCCCAGTTTAGATTCCAACTGTGGCCAGATTGAAAAAAACTTGGGTAGAGTCTTGAGTAGTAGAACCATATGAGAGAATTCATGCATACTGACTTGTTAAGGCTTTTTAAGACATAGAAAATCTCTATTTAGTAGATTATTATATTTTTCATTATCAAGCAAAGTGAAAACTTTCAAAAACTTGGTCCTATTTGAAGGAACTAATATATATCTCATTACAAACCTCATATACATCAAATTTGACAGTGACCACAAAGCGGCAGTTATAATTGAATAAAGTGAAATTACATGAGAGAGTAGCAGGGTTACATGCCTATTAAAGTTAACTACTAGAGATAGTAAATAGATGATATAATGTTAGGAAACATCATGGTAGAAACAGAATAGCACAGATGGTATTGTGCCATTTAACAGAACTGTATGAATCCCTTTTATAATTTAATTTTGTTTTCCTATTTCATTTTACCATGAAAATTTCAAGCATACATCAAAGTTGGAAGAATTTTGTAGTAACACCAGTGTACCCACATGTAGATTCTACCATTAACATTTGACTCTTTTATCACATAGCTGTCCATTTGTCTGTATCTCTCTGAATACATCAATTCTTATTTCCTTTTGATGCTTTTAAAATTCAATTGCAAACAAAATACTTCAGCATGTATATCATTAACCAGATTTAACATTTGTTTATGGTATTATTTTTTTTTTTTAATATGTAGAGTCTCATTCTGTTACCCAGGCTGGAGTGCAGTGGTGTGATCTCGGCTCACTGAAACCTTTGCCTCTGGGTTCAAGCGATTCTCATGCCTCAGCCTCCCAAGTAGCTGGATTACAGGCTTGTGCCACCACACCTGGCTATTTCTTTTGTATTTTAGTAGAGACAGGGTTTCACCATGTTGCCCAGGCTGGTCTCGAACTCTTGGCCTCAAGCTGTCCACCTGCCTTGGCCTCCCAAAATGCTGGGGTTACAGGCGTGAGCCACCGTGCCTGGCCTATGGTATTTTTTGAGGTAAAATTTAATACCATGAAAAACACAAATCTTAGTTGTACATTTGCTGAGCTTTGACAAATGCCCTTCTCAAGATAAAGGATATTACCATCCAGAGAATTCTTTCATGCCCTTTCCCAGTTATTCTCTGCACCCTTCCCCTACCAGGGCAACCACCGTTCTGATTTTTTTTCAAACACAAATTAGGTTTTGCCTGTTCCAGAACTTCATATAAATGGAATTCCATTGTCTGTATGGATCCTTTTGCTCAGCATATTGATTTTGAGATTTATCCATTTTTGTATAGGTTGGTGCAAATGTAATTGCGGTTTTTGCCATTATTTATCCACCTTCCTATCAATGAATACCTGGACTGTTTCCAGCTTCTAGCTATTGTGAATAAAGCTGCGATGAATATTCTTGTACAGGTCTATTTATGGGTACATGTTTTCATTTTTCCAGGGTCTAGGAGTAGAATTGCTGTACCCTAGGATTAATGTATGTTTAGTTTTACACTGAACCTTCTTCCAAAATGGTGGTAGCATTTCATTCGCCTGCTAATGTTGTGTAAGAGTTCCAGTTGCTCCATACCCTTGCCAACTTTGATGTTATCAACCTTGTCAGTTATTTAACTTGATTTTAACCATTGTCACTTGTAAATGATTGGATGAAAAGTTATACCTATTAGTAATTGTTAGTTTTCTGGGGAAGAATTTAAAAAGTTGTACAGATTATTTTTTAGTTCTAATCATTTCTTTTCTTTTAGTTTTTTAAATTTATTTTTAATTTTTTTAATTTTTTGTTTATTTTGACATATAGTGAGACTTACAGAAAGTTGCCCAGGCCACCCTCCAGCATTTGACACTATTCACTAGTTTTGTAATTTAAATGGTCTCTTCCTTTGGCATAGGAGAAACCATTCTCTCTTGGTTTTTCACCAACTGCTCACCTTAGCTTCTTTGCAGGATTTTTATTTTCTACATACTGCTTAAATGTAGTTGTTGCCAGTTCTAGCCTTGATCCTCTTACTCTATAGAATCTTACTGGGTGATTTTACGCTCACCCAAGGCTCCAACTGCCACCTGTGCTTTAATCCCGAAATCTGCTTCTGCAGCATAGATCTCCTTCCCAACTCTAATTGCTAACATATCCACTTGGATGTCCCACAGGCATCTCAGACTCAATTTATTTAGGTGAAATTTATTTTCCTTCCTCCCATTTACACACTGCTCTTCTTCCTATATTTTCTAATTTGATAAATAACCTGCAGTCCATCCAGTTACTTAAACCACAACTGAGGGGCTAAATCTGGACCCTTTCCTCCTGCAGCCATTTGATCATCAGTTCCTGTGGGTTTTTCTCTTGTGTGTTTCTCTAACATTTCTGCTTCCATCTCTGCACTCGCAGCTGACATCCTACTATCGGGTGCTGCCCCTCAGCCCAATTTGTCAATGTTGATTGACTTGCTTTATTTTTTAATAACTTACTCGGGTTTTTAAATTACAAAAATGGCATATGCCACTTGTAGAAATTAAAGCAAAAATGCATAAAATTTCTAGTACCCCACCTCCAAATTCGTAAGCCATTCTTTTTCCTTGGAAGTCACCAATGTTAATACTTGGGTATACATCCTTCCAGATTTCCCTTGCTTTCACATACAAATACACACACATAGATAAACACGTATGCGCATAGACACGTTTATTCTTTTCAAAACAGAATTGTACAATACATATTGTCTTATGGCTTGCTTTCAACTTATTGTGTATTTCATGTCAATATATAGACAGCTACCTGAAATTGATGCAAAGTATCAATATAACATAATTTATTTAATAATTCCTAATTAGTGGATAATGAATAATGCTATAGTGACCATTTCTTTACATATTGGTTATTTTTGCTAGTGTTTTGTTGCATAGATTATTAGAAGTAGCATTATACCCATTTAAAATTTTGTTAAATCCTGCCAGTTGTCCATCAAAAAAAGGCACGTTTTTAATCTCCTGTGGTGCCAGAGGCCTTCTCTCTGCCAGTAGTAGATATTTGCTAATCTTCTAACAGTTTTTAGTTTTTGCTAACTTACCAGGAAAACTCAATATAGTGTTGTGATGATTTCAGACCAGAATAGTTCTTATCATAGGCCTGTGACCGTCTTCAGCATTTTTTCAATCTCATTCTCTGTTTTGATTAGGTGACTTTTAGCTCTTAAAAAATGAAGTTGCCAGGCGTGGTGGCTCATGGCTGTAATCCCAGCACTTTGGGAGGCTGAGGTGGGAGGATCTGTTGAGCCCAGGAGTTCAAGACCAGCCTGGGCAACATAGGGAGACTTTGTCTCTACGAAACATAAAAAAATTAGTTGGACCTGACGGAGCATGCCTGTAGTCCAGCTACTTGGGAGGCTGAGGTGGGAGGATCACTTGAGCTTGGGATGCTGAGGCTGTAGTGAGCCATGATCAGGCCGCTGCAGTCTAACCTGGGTGACAAAGTGAGACTTTGTCTCAAAAAAAAAAAAAAAAAAAAACAAAAAGAAAAAAGAAGATGATGATGGTTGGAGATGTGTTTTCTTACCTGTGTGTGTTTCTGCTGGCAGGAGAAACTTCTTAAGTCTCAGCGTAATCTCGTGGCCAAGATGAAGAAAGTCATGCATTTACAGGATGTAGAAGTGAAGAACGCCACACAGTGGAAGGTAATGGCAGAAGTGGTTGGATATTTCTTGCTCCTGAGGTCCTTTTGGTCTGGGACATTTCTTGCTTCTGAGGTCCTTTTGGTCATGGGGTTTTGCAGTTCACGTAGAGTCTTGGATGCCTCAGAACCTCTGTTTCCTCCATATCATGTGACTGAAAGAAGAGCTTTCTGGGTGTCAGTTCAGTTGTCAGGCCCCTTGTAGATACGGGGATAGGAGAGGAAGTACCTGTCCCTGCTGCTAGTGGCTTTGGGTGATAATGAGTTCCGCATACTTCATCCCCATGTCTCTACTTTAAGGTAGCACCCCTCTCCTTCCTACTTTTTCCTAAATATACTCCCTAGGTTAGAGTCGGTTTGGGCCCATGGCATTGTGGAAAGAAACAGATGAATGGATGCACACACACACGCACACACACACACACACACACACACCCTCACACTCCTAAAGATTTGGTAAAACTAAACGAGTTCTGAAGGCTAAACTAAGTAGTAGATGTGAAAGTTTGTTTTAGTTTAAAACTTGTCAGTAGTAGAGACTGAAATGTTAGGAAGAATGAATGAATACTATAATGACTAGACAGAGCTATCAAGTAGGTATAAATAAAGGAGTAATGGAAATTTTAGTGGGGGTGGGCAGGAGCTTTTCAAGAGGGTTTGATTAGGATTGACTGTGGATTACTGGGGAATTGTGTAAGGAATTTAGTAGCTGGGGTCAGGCAGAAAAAGGAGTGAGCAAATCTCATGTGGCCTTAGGATAAGATAAAGAGTCAGCGAATGAGAATCAGCACGGAGTTTTCAAAGCTGCACAACTTCCTGGTTGAAGAAGAGGACCTGTTTCTTCAGAGATTGAACAAAGAAGAAGAAGAGACGAAGAAGAAGCTGAATGAGAACACGTTAAAACTCAATCAAACTATCGCTTCATTGAAGAAGCTCATCTTAGAGGTGGGGGAGAAGAGCCAGGCTCCCACCCTGGAGCTGCTTCAGGTGAGACAGTTACGAGTGGGGGTGATCTCATCTTCACTAACTGAACTCTCTCTTGTCTTTAGAGCTGAATGTCCTTCCTGGTGAGTGGGTTTCATAGACATGTCTTATCTCTTGCTAGTTCTGTGCTGTCACATAACTAAAAAGCCAAAGATTCACCATTCAAAGGAAATTAATGTGAAATGTAGGTATGCTGAGCTCAGCTCATAGGAGATAAGTTGATTCACACAGTCTCATAGTTCATCTAGGATCTGAGACTTAGCACATATAAGATTTTTTTCATTCATCTTATGTGTACATTTATAATTATTAAACAATAAAACAAAGCAAGCATAAAACTCCCAAGTACATAACTGTTATCAACAATTAAGAGACACTTAACTTTCTCGCTTATTTTTAATCATTACAATCACAGCTTGATAAAACTTTGTTCTTATCCCCATATTTTGAGTGGTACTTTCATTTAAATAATTTCCAATGACTAGCAACCTTTAAAAGATTATAATTCTAACTTAGCACTTAAGTTTGGGTCTTTAGGCCAGTTTGTTATCAAAAGCCCCTCCTTTGAGTTAATCTTTACCTTTATATCCTCTGTAGGTAAAGTGTCCTTATAGCTTCTTTTAGTTTTTGGATAGGGTCCTACATTTGTGACTTTGCTTTTTCTTTTTGCTGAAATAATTCATGTTGAGTATCGGATGCCTCAGAACCTCTCTTTCCTCCATATCACGTGAATGAAGATGAAAAGATCTCTAAAAGGTGTTCTCAAGAACATTTTCTGTCTACCATTACTATTTTTTTTTCATAAGCAAGAGACAACATTCTGTTCTACTCTTAAGGAAGTCAGAAACCTGGACCCACCCAGTAGTTATTATCAATAAGAAATTGCTAGCTAGGTTTTATATGATAGATATAACCTAACAGTTAAAATTAAATGTAATGACTTCCAAGAATTATGTAAAAGTTTTACAACATGCTTAAGCAATGCAGTTGCAAGTACATATCCAAATATGTGTCATAAAAGAATCTCTGAAATAACACATTTAAAATACAGGCTTAACATCTAATTAGAATCTGAAACCTCGAAGATACATGTGAGCCAGCAGAATGTTTACAAAAAATTATATCAGCAAATGGAAATGCAAAGTTAGGGAAACGATTAAAAAAGATGAAACTGGGGCCGGGTGCAGTGGCTCACGCCTGTAATCCCAACACTTTGGGAGGTTGAGGTGGGTGGATCACCTGAGGTCAGGAGTTTGAGACCAGACTGGCCAACATGGTGAAACCCCGTCTCTACTAAAAATTAGCTGGGGATGGTGGCACATACCTGTAATCTCAGCTACTTGGGAGGCTGAGGCAGGAGAATCACTTGAACCCGGGAGACAGAGATTGCAGTGAGCCGAGATTGTGCCACTGCACTCCAGCCTGGGCGACAGAGCAAGACTCCATACCAAAAAACAAAACAAAACAAAACAAACAGATGAAACTAGAACATAGAATCTCAGAGCCTGAGAGAACTACTGTACTTATCTATCTACCTACCCATTTTTAAAATTGATTTCCTTTACTTTTACCCCATGACCCACTTCTAATGTACATCTTCCACATTTTACCTGTTTCTTTTTCCGGTAATGGCTACCTGCGTTGCCTCCAACACCATTACCACTACAAATAATGCTGCAGTGAAACCATTAATATCTGCTCTTTATTGTTTATCTTTATTTTTATTTTATTTAGGTTTTGAGACAGGGTCTTGCTTTGTTACCCAGACTGGAGTGCGGTGGTGTGCTCATAGCTCACTGCACCCTCAAGCTGCTGGGCTCAAGTAATTTTCCTGCCTTGATCTCCCAAAGTGTTCGGGGATTACAGGTGTGAGCCACCGCCCCCAGCTGTTTTTTTTTAAATTGGTCCTTGGGTTTCTTCTCTAGCTCTTTTCTCAACTTCTTGAGTTGGAATGCTTGGCTCCTTTATATTTACCCCTTTGTTTGCTGGTAAATTTAAGTTATACTTTTACCTTTATTGCTCTGTATTCCACAGATTTTGACAAATTGTTATATTTATTGTCATAATAAAATAAACATTAAAACACATTTTAAGGCCAGGTACAGTGGCTCACGTCTGTAATTCCAGCACTTTGGGAAACTGAGATGGGAGGATCTCTTGAGCTCAGGAGTTTGCACTAGCCTGGGCATCTTAGCAAGATCTTGTCTCTATTTAAAAAAAAAAAGTATGACACTCGTGGAGAAAAATGTATAAATCATAAGCTTGACAGATTATCACAAAGTGACCATTCATGTAACTACTATCCAAGTCAAAAAAATAGAACACACATAGCATCCTAGAAGCTTCCTCATGTCCCCAATCAGTACCTCTTCCCTTCTCCTCAAAGGGTAGCCTCCCTCTGGACTTCTCACACTCTAATTTTTTTTTACTTTTTTTTTTTGAGATGGAGTCTTGCTGTGTGGCCGAGGCTGGAGTGCAGTGGAGCGATCTTGGCTCACTGCAACCTCTGCCTCCCGGGTACAAGCTATTCTCTGGGCTCAGCCTCCCAAGTAGCTGGGATTACAGGCGTGTGCCACCACACCTGGCTAATTTTTCTATTTTTGGTAGAGACGGGGTTTTGCCATGTTGGCCAGGCTGGTCTTGAACTCCTGACCTCGAGTGATCCGCCTGCCTTGGCTTCGCAAAGTGCTGGGATTACAGGCGTGAGCCACCACACCCAGCACTCGTTGTGCTTATTTTTGAGTGAGTATCTTTCAGGACGCACTCTTTCGTACTGGCTTCTTTTGCTCACATTACGTTTGTGAGATGAATCCATGCAGTAGGTATTTGTTTTCATTGCTGTACACCAGTGTTTTGAATCAGGGTGATTTTGCTCCCTCCAAGGGCAAAATCTGATATTATATAGAGACATTTTTGGTTGTCACAACTGGAGGGTGGTTACTACCAGCATCTCTTGTGTGTAGGATGCTGCCAACATTCTGTAATGCACAGGACATGCCTGCCTTCAGCTCCCAGCAAAGACTTATCCAGCCCAAAATGTCAGTAGTGCCCGCTGTATAGTACTGTCGTATTCCATTATATTAATATACCAAAGCATATTATTCATTTTTCTTTTGAGGGAAATTTGGATGATTTCTGTTTCTATTATTAAAAACAGGAATATGTGTGAACATATCTTTTTGGGTGCACATTTATATACATTTCTATCAGTTGTATACCTGTGAGAACAATTCCTGGTCATAGGACATACATGTGTGTTCAGCTTTAGTAGATGATTCCAAACCATTTTCAAACTGGTACAAAGTGATTGTTCCAGTTTACACTATTGTTACCAGTGTGTAAAATTAAGAGTTCCAGTTGCTGTGTATCCTCACCAATACTTAGATTTGTCAGTTCTTTAACTTTAGCCACCCTGAAAGGTGCAAAATGTCATCTCCTGCCCTCAGTCAGCACCCCTTCCCTCTTCCTAAAGGTATATGGATATATATATATATGTATGTACACCTTTCCTTGATAAAGCTATTTTTTTTTTTTAATTTTTATTTTTTATTTTTTAGACAGCGTCTCGCTTTGTAACCCAGGCTGGAGTGCAGTGGCACCATCTTGGCTTACTGCAACTTCGCCCCCCAGGTTCAAGCATTTCTCGTTCCTCAGCCTCCCGAGTAGCTGGGATTACAGACACCCGCCATCATGCCTGTCTAATTTTTGTAGTTTTAGTAGAGATGGGGTGTCATCATGTTGGCCAGGCTGGTCTTGAACTCCTGACCTCAAGTGATCCACCCACCTAAGCCTCCCAAAGTGCTGGGATTACAGGCATGAGCCACTGTACTCATCCAGATAAAGCATTTTCCTGATAACTAGTGAGATTGAGCACTTTTCATGTGGTAATTAACCAGTTTTTTTAAAAAAATGAACAATTTAGGTTTACCAAAAAGTTGAGAAGATGGGACAGAGTTCCCACATACCCCTTCACCCAGTTTCCCCTATTGTCAACATCTAGTGTTAATATAGTTCATTTGTTACAATTAATGAACCAGTGATACAGTTTACTAACTAGAGTTTGTAGTTTATTTCCATTTCCTCAGTTTTTACCTAGTATTCATTTTATTTTCTAGAACCACACCCAGGATACCAGATTTCATTTGGTTGTCATTGTCTCTCCTTAGGTGCCTCTTGGCTGTGACATTTTCTGAGACTTTTCTGGTTTTTGATGATCTTGAAAGTTTTGAGGAGTGTTGGTCAGGTATTTTGTAGGATGCTCCCCTATTGGAATTTGTCTGTTTTTTTCTTGATTAGGCTGAGTTACAGGTTTTTGGAGGAGCTGTATTTTTTAAATACACGTTGCCATTGGTTACCTGATATGTTACTTAGAATTTTCACATCTATGTCTTTAAGTAAAATGGGTCTGTAATTTTTTTCTACTGTTTCATTTCATGGCTTAAGGAACAAGGTTATAATAGTCTCTGAAAAATCAGTTGGGAAAATTTATATTTTTCTCTTTTGTGTTATAACTTAGGGTATTTTCAGTTCCATAAAGTTTAGTAAAATTCACCTGTAGAAAATCTCTTTGGACTTGGGCATGATAAAATATCCCTTGCGATTATAATTTAAAAGCAATCTTGTAAAACAACAGGAAGGAGAAGAGTGGAAGCTCAAAGCTGGAGCTGCTGAGGACCCACCAAAAGGCACGCAAAGGAGCAGGCTCTGTGATTGAGACTAGTTGGGGAGGCCGGCAGGAAGCCAGGAGCCAGTTTATGTCATAGTGCCAAAGGAGAAAGAGGAGGGGCGCAGGCAGCATTGTCGAATAAGTGCAGAGGGGCCACGTGAAAGAAAGGACCAGATTCTGTCAATCTGTTGGCTTTGGCAGCAGGAGATCATATGTGACATGAGCAAATGCAACCGTCAGAAAATACCTGCTCACACAGTTGTATTCCAGGTCTCCAGGAGAAGGTTCGTAATTTGCTTATGTCTTCCTTCTTTTCACAGAATCCAAAAGAAGTGTTGACCAGGTATGCACTCCTGTTCTCTTATGGGGACCTGGGTGGCATGGTAAAGATACAGGCTGAGCAGAGGGGAAACAAGGCCTAGGATCCATAGGTCAGTCTGGGCACACCCTAATGGGGGTCTGAGGAAAAATTCTCCTGATTGTTTCTGGGAGGAGGAATGGGAACAGAAGCCATCTGAACTTTGGGCTAAGAACCTTTGACCGGGAGTGGAGGTCTTGGCTACCCTAGTTGTCCCCTAAGAGCAGTCTTCTCTACCTTCTTAGGAGTGAGATCCAGGATGTGAACTATTCTCTTGAAGCTGTAAAGGTGAAGACAGTGTGCCAGATACCATTGATGAAGGAAATGCTAAAGCGATTCCAAGGTGAGCAGAATTTCTAGGACTTGGGGCTCCTTAGAAATCTTTCAAATAGGAGAATAAAGAGAGAAGTCTGGAGAGGAAAGAGGAAACAGCATGCAGCTAATAGAGTGTCAGGAAAGGTGGTTAATAAATGGGTATACACTTCATTCAAGAAACATTTATTTAACGCACTGTTACAAGGTGCTAGTGATACAAAAAGAAGAGACCTGTTCACTTCTTCATGAGTTCGTAAGCACATTGGAGAGACAGACACACAGCACTCACAGTGATATAGTAGGAGCCAGTGTTTGCTGGTGGTAGGAATAAAATGTTACAGAAATTCAGAGGAAGGGCTCTGTTGGGGGCGAGATGGGAAAGTTTTCACAGCAGAGGCGACAGTTTTGAGATTTGAGGGATTAGTAGGAGTTTGGCAGGTGGAAAACAGGGATGACTGTTTCAAGCAGAAGCAGCAGCATGAGCTAAGGTGTGGAGAACATGGAGGGGTGGGTATCCAAAGAGGCTAAAGAACAAGGTGTATTTTGAGGAAAGGTAGAGGTTGAGGTTGAGAAGAAGAGTGTAGGACAGACTGAAAATAAACTCATTGGATCTCCAGGGAGGCACCAAGGCAGGTACATGCTCTAGAAGCTGTGCTGGTGATTCTTATGTGCACATGTTTGATTAAGAACCATGTTGTAGGCCGGGCACGAAGGCTCATGTCTGTAATCCCAGCACTTTGGGAGGTCGAGGCAGGCGGATCATTTGAGGTCAGGAGTTCGAGACCAGCCTGGCCAACATGGTGAAACCCTGTCTCTACTAAAATACAAAAATTAGCTGAGCATAGTGGTGTGCACCTGTAATCCCAGCTACTCGGGAGGCTGAGGCAGGAGAATCGCTTGAACCTGGGAGGTGGAGGTTGCAGTGAGCTGAGATTGTATCCACTGCACTCCAGACTGGGCGATAGAGTGAGACTCTGTCTCAAAAAACAAACAAACTAAAAAGAACCATGTTGTGGGTGTTCACTTCTAGCCAAAATGGAGTAAATAAACGAGTTGTTTTCTTGTCTGCAGCAACTAAAATAAAAACACAAAAACAAAACAGGCACAATATGTGAAACAACCGTTTTCAAAGCACCAGACGTCAGGCAGTGAAGGACGGTGATTCCTGAGAAATGTGAAACAAATGAGGTCAGCCTATGATTGCCCTACCCTCTGCCTGAGGGAGTTTCCAGACCATGTAAGGCTGAGGTAACTGAGGTAGAGCCAGGGAGACTTGCTGAGTTGAGGAATAGACCTGGGAGTTCACGGAGAACAAAGTAGTGAGAGTTCGCAAAGTACTGGGCAGTATCCTGGAGCGGAGAGAGCCGGACACAGAGAGAACCCTCGCCATCTATGGAGGAGCTTCCTAGTTGTTTGGCAGAGTTCTGATCAGCACATGCCTGTGAAAATCTACTCAAGGCTGGAGATAGAAGCTTCTAAAACGATTAGAGGGAACGGTTCCTGGTGCTCACACAGGGCCAGGAACAGTGCCAGTTCCTATCAGCCACACCAGAAAACTCGTAGTTCACGGGCACTGAGTAGCGTACTCAGGAAAATCTTGCCTCATTAGCAGAAAATATTTAGCCCTTGACTGGGTGCTGCTCCACACCCACCTTACAAATCATGAAAGCAAGACCCAAAGGGGTCAAACTCTTTCCAACTAACTTAACTGCATCCCAGGATAAAGCCCTAGAAAATTGGTAGAAATAAACAAAAAAAGAGCACCTAACAATATAAATTCACAATGTCTGGCATCCAGTCAAATATGCATGCAAAAAGATAGGAAAGCAGTGACCCATAATGGAGGAAAATAATCAACTGAAACTGACCTAGAATTGACACAGATGTTAGAATAAGCATGGAAGGACTTTAAAACATTTATTATGAGTGTATTCTGTAAAGAGGTACATAGAGACCAGATCAAAGTTTTAAAGATGAAAAATGTGATTAAGGCGAAGAATGCACTGGATGGGATTAATAGTTGATTAAATATTACAAAAGAAAAAATTGGTGAACTTGAAGACAGAGCAATGGAAACTACAAAAAAATGAAACATACACAGAATAAAACAATTTACAAAAACACAAAGAGCATCAGTGACCTGTGGGACAACTTTATGCAGCCTTATTATCTATGGTGATTGGCGTCCCTGAAAGAGAGGAGTGGGGAGGGAGATGGAATAGGAAAAATACTTGAAGACATAATGGCCAAAGATTTTCTGAATATAATAAAAACTAAGTCCACAGATCCAAGATGCTCAACAAACCCTGAGTATGAGAAATATGAAGAAAAATATGCCAAGGCTCATCATAACTTGCTGGAAACCAGTGTTAAAAAGAAAATCTTAAATGCAACCAGGGGAGAGGATAGTTACTTGCAGTGGAACAAAGACGAAGTTGACATTACACTTCTCATTGGAAACAATGCCAGTAAGCAAACTCTTTAAAGTCCTGAAAGAAAAAAACTGTTAACCTAGAGTTCTAGAACTGGCAAAAAATATCCTTCAAAAACAAAGGTGAAATAAATAAGTTTGGAGGTAAACTAAAGCTTAAAAGAAAGAGTTTACAGCAGACTGACACTTCAAGAAAGGAAGTCTTAAAGGAAGTCCTTCAGACAGAAGGAAAATGCCAGATGGAAATCTCTCTACACAAAGGAATAAAAGAGCACCAGAAATGGTAATGACACGAATAAATATATATTATTGTCATTATTTATTCCTTTAAAAAGGAATTGCGATGGTAAGTTTATACATCAACTTGACTGGGCCACAGAGTGCCCAGATATTGGTCAAAAATTATTTTGGGTGTTTTTTTGAGGGTGATTTTGGATAAGATTAACATTTAAGTCAGTAAGCCTGTGTAGACTGCCCTTCATAATGTGGGTGGGCCTCATCTAATCAGTTGAAGGCTTGAATAGAAAAAAAAGGCTTGACCTTTCTGATGGATTTCTAAAGCATACTACCTTGGCCTTCACTGCAGCATTGGCTCTTCCTGCCTAATGGCCTTCCAACTAGAACGCTGGCTCTATCTGGGTCTTGAGCCTGCCAACTCACACAGCAGATTCGGACTTGTCAGTAGCAATAATCACACAAGCCAGTTCCTTATATTAAATCTTATACACTGGCTGGGTGTGGTGGCTCACATCTGTAATCCCAATTCTTTGGGAGGCTGAGTTAGGAGGATTGCTTGAGGCCAGGAGTTTGAGGCCAGCCTGGGCAACATAGTGAGACCCTGTCTCTACAAAAAATAAAATAATTAGTGTGCTGGTGTGTGCCTGTAGTCCCAGTTACTTGGGAGGCCACGGCGGGAGGATGGCTTAAGCCCAGGAGGTTGAGGCCGCAGTGAGCTGTGATTGCACCACTGCACTCCAGCATGGGCAACAGCGAGACCCCATCTCAAAAGAAAACCCAGAAAACTCACAGGTGCATGCATGCACGTGTGCGCACACACACCCACCCACCATACACAGACACAGACATATATATCCTTTTGGTTCTGTTCCTTTGGAGAACCCTAATAATTGACTATTTCAACAGACAAAATATGGTGTATTTTGGAACTTATATTTAAAAGTAAAATCCATGACAGTAGTGTGAAGATTGGGAGAGGAGAGATGAAAGTATACTATGATACAGTTCTCATGTGTGAAGTGGTATAATATCACTTGAAGGGAGACTGATAAAAAGGTGTATACTTGTGCCAGTCCCCTACTGACTTCATTAAGGATGGCACCGTGTCTGAAAGGCCGAAGAGGAGATCTGGAGTAGTGAATGAGACATGGGGTTTATTGAAGACCTACATGCAGGGCAGTCCAGGAATGGCCAGCTGGACAGGAAAACAAACCACTGCTATTTGTAAAAAGCATGCAGGTTATATATAGCATTTTCATTTAGCAATCTCCACCTGGGACCTTCCATTTAACCCAAAAGAAAGGGCCTCGATTCCCTGTATTGCCTGCATTCCAAGGAATGGACCAGGAGTTCACATGGCCTTTATAGATGAGGAGTGCATTTCTGGGTTGGCCACTCCTGGATTCTTTAGCTCAGAACTCTGAATACACAGTCTTCTTAGACCATAGGGTTATTCTCAGGGTGTGCTGGAGTTACTGCTGTCAGGTGTGTCTGCCGTACACTGCAGTCCAGCATACCCTTGAATGGCCCCCACATTCTTATCACGTCATTCTCTGCAACTTCCCTGAGGCAAGGTATGTGCAGTAGCATTGCTGCCAGATGCTGCAGCAGCGTTAGAAACTACAGCAACAAAAGACAATGACAAGCATAGTAGCAATCATACTCTACAGAAAGCTTTTCCAAGCACTTGATAAGATAGAGAATTTTTACTGAAATATGGGTTTCTAGGGTTCACATAACCCCGGTTATAATGTGAGAGTAATAGGGATATATACACAACATTTGGTTTTAATTAATGTGCAGCTTCCACCCAGGGCAGCAGTTAAGATATCCAGGGCCATGCGATTTTACACAGTTGCCCAGTGAGAAGAGTAATGGCATGGCACAGGTATCCTTGAAGGCTGCAGCCATATGTTTAGCGAGGTCTCCAAATTGCAACTCCAGAATGCACACTTCTGGAAGTGCCTGGCTTTTATACTCTCCCAGTTAGTAAGAATGGTGTCTCAATGGGACAGAATGTGTCCGGCAGGTGAAGACGACCCCAGGTGCATCTACCAGCCCAATTTTAGGGTAAGTAAGGCCAGCTGTGGTTGCCGTCTACCTGTAGCCATCCCCAAGGGGAGGGCATGGGCCCCTACGTGGAGACAGTTACTGTGCCACCCTAGCCACATATTATTGGCTATTTGAAGGGATTGGTTGCATTGCTGTGGGGGTAGCCACCCCACATTAAGAGTTTAGCTTGTGACATGCTATTATCATGCCTTTCAGTACATAAGGGTGCATGACTTACTACCTGTATCTGCACTCTTGTTACTCACCCTTGTCCATCGTGTATGGAATACCCCACAGCTGGGGTAGCACTAACCTGCTCCCATACTAGGTGGAAAATATGTCATCTTGTCTCACTGATGGTGGGAAACGCACTGCATAATGTGGTGGTGGTGCTGAAGGGAAGTGGGTGAGACTTATCATGCCAAATATAGACATGGCTCCAGGTACTCAAGTTAGCAGCATGGATGCCCCATGGCAGGCCCATTGTGGAGGAGAGGGGCAACTCTCTGCAGACCCAATAGTCTGTTGTGTTCTGGAAAGAGGTCACCATGTGCACCCAGTTGGTGAAGCGGTTTGCTGCACCCCATCTGTGGGCAACAGGTGAGATGTTTAGTGGGTACAAGAAAGGGGAAGCCATTTAGTAAGACACAGGAAGTTGTGTCATTCTGAGAGCACCACCCCTGGCAGTGGCCTGGCGCCTGGTTTATAATACAAAGTGGATTGGGCCCTTTGCAATGCTTTGCAAGTGGCCAGAGTAAGACAGTGGGGGGTATTATAATGTTCTATAAGAGGATGATTGTCCCCTTGCACAAGGAAGACTGGGATTCATTATTTTGGAAATACAGGGGGTTGGGGAGTAGGATGTAAAATAGGTGTGACCTGTATATTCTTTTCTAGGCCTTTCCCCCATGGAGTGCAAGAACCGACTTGAGAAATCTTTTGTTCTTTTTTTTAGTTGCTACATAATAATTTTACATATTTATGAGGTACAGTGTGATGTTTCAATACATGTATACAGTGCATAATGATAAAATCAGGGTAATTAGCATATTCATCACCTCAAACATTTATCATTATCTGCATCGGGAACATTCAAAATCCATTTCTACTAAGTGGGAGAGTGTAAAATCCCAGGGAGGGTGGGATCGACTGTCTCCCACTCTGTTTGAACTTACTTCCCAGCTTCACCATTTCCACAGCGGTATAATCCTGCATTGTGGTGGTCTGCCTTCTTTCAGGTGGAGGCAAGTCTTGTAGGGCTACCCTCTGTGGGTGTGGTTGGTCTTCTTTTATCTTGGTAGTGACCATCAGACATGCTGAGAGGATGGGAACCTCTATGGACTCATCCCAGTCCTCATCCTCCCTGCCACTAGATCTCTTCACGGGGTCCCAGGACTTAGGGTTCCAGGACAATTTAGTCATGATAGTCCTAACTCCATGTGGCAGTCAGTGACCCTTCAAACAGGCTATGCAACAAACCAGTGTCTCCATTTTGTCATCCTGTTCCCACAGGTGGGACAGAAATTAGCCTGAGCTAATATCTCCCTAGTTGCAGCTCATCTTGTAAGTGGTACACCCTTGCCTGTGCCACAAGCTCAACCTTGGGGGCTGCTCTAAGCACAGTCAGGACTGGCCGGCCAACTGCAGCTGCCACAGCTTGGGCATTTGACTTTCCCTTAGTTGGATCCACCCCCTGCAGCAGTTCTTCCAGAACTTTTGGCATTTTGGGGGTATCCCCATACTCACCTGGTGGGCCCCACCCATCAAGGATAGTGGCTATTGGGCCCCACATACATGTGGACAACCAGCCCAGGATTTCCACCGTGGATTCTCCCCTGATCCCATTGTCTTGGCACTCGTGGAATTTTCTCCAACCTCCTGCTGGGCTAATTGTTGTGCTAGACCCCTATTGATTTCAGTACGGATGGCACTGTGTCTGAGAGGTGGAAGAAACCTGGAGCCGGTGAATGAGACATAGGATTTATTGAGGACTTATATGCTGGGTGGTCCAGGAGCAGTGGGCTGGACACGAAAACCAGTTGCTACTGTTTGTAAAAAGCATGCAGATTATATAGCATTTTCACTTAGCAACCTGCTCCTAACAACCTCCATTTAACCCGAATCAAAGGGCCTTGATCCTCTGTACAGCCTGCATTCCAAGAATGGGCCAGAGGTTCAGATGTTCAGATGTCCTTCCTAGAAAAGGAGCAGATCTCTGAGTTGGCCACTCCCACATTTCTTAGCTTGGAAGTGTGAACCCACATTCTACTTGGACCATAGGGTCATTGTTAGGGTATGCTTGAGTTATTGCTGTCAGGTGCATCTGCCATACGATACCATAAACCTTAAACCACTAAAATAAAAGAGATGTAGCTAGTCAATAAAAGGAAATAAAGTGGAATTATAAAAAAAGATTAATAAAAAATAAGGCAGAAAAAGAAGAAAACATATAGGACAAATAGAAAACAGCAAAATAATAGACACAAATCTAATCATACTAATAATCACATTAACTATAAATGGTCTGCATGCGCTAATCAAAAGGCAGAAGTTGGTTGGATTGGCTAAAAAAAAAAAATAAGACCCAATTTTTTACTGGAAAAGAAACACATTAAATATGAAGAACCATATACGTTTAAAGCAAAAGAATGGAAAAAGATATGTTAATAGATCTGGAGTGGGTATATTAGTATCAAAGTAGATTTCTGAGCAAAGGATATTACCAGAGATAAAGAATGTTATATCCTAATGATAAAGTGGTCAGTTCGTCAAGAGAATGTAAGTTCTAAACATTTCTGCACTTAACAGTGCTTCAAACATATTAAGCAAAAACTAATAGAGCTGCAAGAAGAAATACACAAATTCACAATTACGTTTGCAGTTTTCAGTACCTTTTAATAATTTTTAGAATAATTAGGCAATAAATCAGCAGGGATATAGTAGACTTGAATAATATTATCAATCAACTTGATCCCATTATTTATAGAACACTCTACCCAACAGCTATATACTACATATTTTTTTCAGTGTACGTGAAACATTTTCCAAGATAGACTAAGCTGGCTGTAAAGCAAGTGTCAAATTCAAAGGATTCCGATCATTCAGAGTATGTTCTCTGATCACAATGGAATTGATAGAAATCAGTATCAAAATATCCTTAGAAACCCCCCTAAATATCAAGAATCTAAATAATAGACTTTTTAGTAACCCTTGAATTAAAGAAGAAATCAAAAGGCAAATTAGGAAGTAGTTTGAATGGAATGAAAAGGAAAAGACAATATACCAGAATTTGTGGGATGCACCTAAAGCAAAACTTAAAGAAAAGTGTATAGTGCTATATTGGAAAGAAGAAACTTCTCAAATCACTGACCTCAGCTTCCACCTTAAGACACTAGAGAAAGAGGAGCAAGTAAAGCCCAAAGTAAACAGAAGAATGGAAATAATAAAAATCAGAGCAGAAATCATTGCAGTGAAATACAGAAAGCCAACAGAAACCAATGAAACCAAAAGCTGGTCCTTTGAGAATTTCAGTAAAATTGACACACCTTTAATCAAAATGATCAGAAAAAAAGAAAACACACATTACTAATGTCAGAAATGAGAAAGGTGACATCATTACAGATTCTGCAGATATTAAAAGGATAATAGAATATTAAGAGCAACTTTTTGCCAATAAACTTGACAATATAGATGAAATGGATGAAGTCCTTAAAAGACACAAATTACAAAAGCTGACTCATGAAGATAGAGATAACTGGAATAATCTTATTTCTATGAAAGAAATTGCTATTAGAAACCTTCCAAATGGCTTTCGTTTTGTTTCTTTTCTTTCTTTTCTTTTCTTTTTTTTTTTGGGGGGGGGATGGAGTCTTGGTCTGTTGCCTAGGCTGGGGCGCAGTGGTGCAATCTCAGCTTACTGCAACCTCCACCTCCCAGGTTCAAGTGATTCTCCTGCCTCAGCCTCCCAAGTAGCTGGGACTGCAGGTGCGCGCCACCATGCCTGGCTAATTTTTGTATTTTTTTTTAGTAGAGATGGGGTTTCACCATGTTGGTCAGGCTGGTCTTGAACTCCTGACCTCGTAATCCACTGCCTTGGCCTCCCAAAGCATTGGGATTACAGGCATGAGCCACCGCGCCTGGTCCCCAGATGATTTTCTTGGTGAAACATTTCACCAAACATTTAAGAAATAAATGCCAATTCTTCAAGAACTCCTATTGAAAATTGATGAAGAGGGAATATTTCCCAATTCTTTCTGTGAGGCCTGTATTACCATGATGCCAAAATCAGACAAAGACGTCACAAGAGAAAAGAATTATACATCAATGTCTCTCATGAACATAGATACCTAAATTCTCAGAAAACTTTAGCAAATTGAATCCAACAATATATTAAAAGGATAATATGTAATAATCACAACCAATTTATATATCCTTTGGTATACAAAAAGGATAATGTATAATAATCACAATATGTGAGATTTATCCCAGAAGAGCATAGTTGGTTTAATATTTGAAAATCGATGTAGTTTATATCACTAAAGTAAAAAAAAAAAAAAAAGGAAAACCATGTGATTGTCTCAGTGGAAGCAGGAAAAGCATTTGTCAAACTCTAGCATACATTCCTGATTTTTTTTAAAAAAAGTCCTCAAACTCAAGAGACATGGAGAGTTAGAGGGAAGGGAATTTGGAGTCAGGGAGGCCAGGGAGGACATTATTAACACATTGAGTGACACTGGAGATTGGAGTAAAGGCAGTGGCAATGGGAGTGGAGGGGAGGAAAAGAACCTGAGTGACAAATTTCAGAGGTAGAATTGGTAGGACTTGGTGACTAACTAGCTATTGAAGGTTAGAGGAAAGAGTCGAAAATAAAGATTTAAAAGCATGAGTGTTCAGGTGGAGGGGACTCTGACACCTTAGAGAACATAGAAGGCAAGATGTCTGCATATGAAGTGGATTAGTCCCGAGAGTATAGAAGGGGGTGTAAGTAAGATAATTAGTTCAGTTTTGAATGATCTGTGGGGAGATTTGTGGAGATGCCCCATAAACAACTGGAACCCGTGAAAAGAGACCTCATTATTCTGTCCTATGTGACACCTGTGTGTATCTAGCCAAAGAACCAGCTAGTCGGCAGCCTTGGTTCTAGTTTTGATTCAACGTGAGAATTTGTTAATATCTCTCCAAATTTTAGGCTGTTTGTGAAAACTTGGGGCATGAAATAATTAGATCCCCAGTTTCTAGAGGTTAGTCTTTTTTTTTTTAAAGATAGAATCTTGCTCTGTCACCCAGGCTGGAGTGCAGTGGCACGATCTCGGGTCACTACAACCTCCGCCTTCTGGGTTTAAGTGATTCTTCTGCCTCAGCCTCCCCAGTAACTGGGATTACAGGTGCCCACCATCATGCCGGGCCAGTTTTTTTGTTTGTTTGTTTTTTGGTATTTTCAGTAGAGACGGGGTTTCGCCATGTTGGCCAGGCTGGTCTCACTCTCGTGACCTCCAGTGATCTCCCTGCCTCAGCCTCCCAAAGTGCTGGGATTACAGGCATGAGTCACTGCGCCTGGTCTAGGGCTTAGTCTTTTAGAGCAGAAGGGAAATGAGGACTTCAGGTTGCTAAAGGCCATGCTGTGGCCTGCTAGGCCTGGCTGAGGATCAGTTGGGCAGCAGTGGAGTCATGAGTGTTTGTTAGGAGGAGAAAGATGAAACTGATGCTGGAAAAGATGGGCATTTCTGGGGAAGGGTTGATGATAAGCTGCTGCACTACTTAGCTCTCATTTTCTCCACAGTGGCTGTAAACCTAGCTGAAGACACAGCTCATCCCAAACTCGTCTTCTCCCAGGAAGGGAGATACGTGAAAAATACAGCATCAGCCAGTTCTTGGCCAGTGTTTTCTTCAGCATGGAACTACTTTGCTGGATGGAGGAATCCTCAGAAGACTGCTTTTGTAGAGAGATTTCAGCACTTACCCTGTGTTCTGGGAAAAAACGTTTTCACCTCAGGGAAACATTACTGGGAAGTTGAGAGTAGAGATAGTCTGGAGGTTGCTGTTGGGGTGTGTCGGGAGGACGTCATGGGAATTACTGATCGTTCAAAAATGTCCCCAGATGTGGGCATCTGGGCGATTTATTGGAGTGCTGCTGGCTATTGGCCCTTGATAGGCTTCCCTGGAACTCCCACCCAGCAAGAGCCAGCTCTCCACCGAGTGGGGGTTTACCTGGATCGTGGGACTGGGAATGTCTCCTTCTACAGCGCTGTGGACGGAGTGCACCTGCACACCTTTTCTTGTTCTTCTGTCTCACGCCTCCGGCCATTTTTTTGGTTGAGTCCATTAGCATCTTTAGTCATTCCACCAGTGACTGATAGGAAATGAGGCTTTTCTTCCCCTGACCAAAACTCCTTCCCTGTAGTCCAGCTGAGGGACACACATCCCTGGGCCCTCTTCTGCCCTTCATGTCTCTATCCTGGATGGTCCATCTTCTGGGTCTCCCTAACGGTACCGTTTGGTATCTGCCCTTTGTGTGCTTCACAAGAGGCAGTCCCATGGGAGGTGGGTCTGGCCAATGGAGATGGGACAGGAAATTTTCCAAGACGCTTTTGGGAAATCTTTTTGTAGCTTTTAAAGAGATGTGCGGGGAAGACATATGGATGTTAGCAGCCATATTGGAACTGAGAACACAGGAATGGTGGAAAGGTAGAAGAAACAGAGTTTTTGTTGCCGTTGTGAAATTGTTGAAATTTCCTTCATGCCAAGCTTCTTGTTATATGAGATAATTACGCCCTTATTGTATAAGACAATTTTAGTTGTATTTGGTTACTTGCAGCCTGAAGTACCGTAACTGCACTAAAGGGACGTAGTGTGAACATCCCGCAGTATAGGCTTAAGTCACTTTTGTGAAATTTGACAAAGGCATAGAATCTTTTTCTATCCAGTCAGGCATTGCCTATTCTTTCCAGTAACTACTGATTCCCCCACTTTTCTGTCTTAGAAAATTGTGGGAATCCCCCCTCACTCTGCCTATGTTGCACTCTCTCTCTTCCCAACCATAACTCTGCCCTCAGCTATTAACTGTGCTGTGTATTTATCAAGTTGGTATGTTGTATGTACAGTGTTATTCATGTCATCATGAGAATGTTGAACGCTTGTTAAATATCTTTTGCTAGCCTCTTCATATGCTGTTGCATATGACTCTCATCACAACTCAGTGAGATGGAAAGTCAAATCCTATTTGTACAAATGAGAAAACTGAACTCTTTAGAGTAACTAGCTCAGTATTGGCCAGCTGGTAAATGGCAGTGTTGGGATTAAAATCCAGTTCTTATCTACTCTCCCTTTATTCAGAAGCATTTATTGGATGTTGATCTTTGTTTCAGGTTTTGATTTTGTTACTTTTTTATACTGTGTATATTTTCCTCAGTCTACCCTTCTGCTCTAGATTGTCTGGACTCAGGAGATTGTGGCAGTTACTGGATAGTTATTTTTAAGATAATGATTGCTTTTCTCTGTTTATATAAGTCATGTGTACTTATTGTAGAAAGTTTGTAAGATGCAAAAAGTATAAAAATTAAAGTTATGCACTACTAACATTTCAATATATTTTCTCCCAGATTTTCAGTAAAGACTTTCAGGCAGTGATTTAACGAGGATTTTATTTTAACTTATATTTTAGTTTAAGGGGAACACGTGCAGGTTTGTTCTATAGATCAATTACATGTCACAGGGGTTTGGTGTACATATTATTTCATTACCCAGGTAATAAGCATAGTACCCAATAGATACTTTTTTGATACCCCACCCTCCTCCACCCTCTACCCTCAAGTAGTCCCTGGTGTCTGTTGTTCCCTTTTTTGTGTCCATGGGTACTCAATGTTTAGCTCTCCCTTATACGTGAGAACATGTGATGTTTGGTTTTCTGTTCATGTGTTGGTTTGCTTAGGGTAATGGCCTCCAGCTCCATCCATGTTGCTGCAAAGACATGATCTCATTCTTTTTTTATGGCTGCATAGTATTCCATGGTGTATATGTACTATGTTTTCTTTATCCAGTCTACTGTTGATGGGCATTTAGGTTGATTCCATGTCTTTGCTATTGTGAATAGTGCTGCAATGAATATATACATGCATATGTCTCTATGGTTGAATGATGTCTTTGGGTATTGGGCATATACCGAATAATGGGATTGCTGGGTTGAATGGTGGTAGTGAGGATTCTTACACAACTTACAGCATCTTCCCTAACTCCTCCTCCCCTCCTCCCCTTCTTATACATCAGCCATCTTGGCTTGTCTTCCTATTCAGCCTGAGCAGCCCCCTCATTCAACAGTTTCTACTGAGTTCTCAACTTCCCAGGATATTTGCTGTTATAGGTTGAATTATGTTCCCCAAAAACATATGTTGAAGAGCTACCTGTGAAAATGACCTTATTTGGAAATAGGATATTTGCAGATGTAAACAAGATAAGGTCATTTGGGTGGGCTCTAACCCAATATGACTGGTGTCCTTATAAAAAGAAGGAAACTTATGCATATGTTCACACACTCATGCCCACACACACACAGAAAAATGCCAGATGGAAACAACGTGAAAGAGGCTCTGGAAGATGGAGGCAGAGATTGGATTGGAGTTATGCTGTCACAAGCCAAGGAACCTGGGGCTACCAGAAGCTGGGGGAAGCCAGGAAGAATCTTCCCCTAGAAGCTTTGAAGGGAGCATGGCCCCATCAACACTTTGGTTTCTGATTTCTAACTGCCAAAACTGAGGTTAGACAGTAAATTTCCATTGTTTTAAGCCACCCAGTTTGTTATGGCCACCTTAGGAAATGATGACTACACTTGCCCTTCAGGACGTCCTTCAGTGCCTGTCTTACTAATAGCTAATCCTTTGGAAACTCATCAGTACCTTCCCTCCTCTCTTCCTTCTGGCTATTGAAAGGTTGATTGATTCTGCTATAAATCCTTGCTCTCTGCCTTCAAGTGGGCCCTTTGAGCTGCATGGTAAACTTTTTTTATCACTTGACTTGTTTTAACGTCTTTGGTGGCAATGATTCCAAACTTTTCCTTTTAAGCCTTCATGAGTCCCCCTTCATACGATTGCAAAGAACTTGCATCTTCAACAGAGAAAAAATTCTTTTCCCCTACCCTTCTTATTCTTCACAATTCTTTGTCTCTGTGCTTGAGTCTTGATATTGACCCCTCTGGTCTCATCAGGTATGGGATGGGACCTAGGTGTTCATTTTTGTTTAAAAAGCCAACCAAGTCCCTCTCCCTCTCCCTGTCCCTCTCCCTCTCCCTCTCCCCACGGTCTCCCTCTCCCCACGTTCTCCCTCTCCCTCTCTTTCCACGGTCTCCCTCTGATGCCGAGCCGAAGCTGGACTGTACTGCTGCCATCTCGGCTCACTGCAACCTCCCTGCCTGATTCTCCTGCCTCAGCCTGCCGAGTGCCTGCGATTGCAGGCGCGCGCCGCCACGCCTGATTGGTTTTCGTATTTTTTTGGTGGAGACGGGGTTTCGCTGTGTTGGCCGGGCTGGTCTCCAGCTCCTAACCGCGAGTGATCTGCCAGCCTTGGCCTCCGGAGGTGCCAGGATTGCAGACGGGTCTGGTTCACTCAGTGCTCAATGGTGCCCAGGCTGGAGTGCAGTGGCGTGATCTCGGCTCGCTACAACCTCCACCTCCCAGCTGCCTGCCTTGGCCTCCCAAAGTGCCCAGAGTGCAGCCTCTGCCCGGCCGCCACCCTGTCTAGGAAGTGAGGAGCGTCTCTGCCTGGCCGCCCATCGTCTGGGATGTGAGGAGCCCCTCTGCCTGGCTGCCCAGTCTGGAAAGTGAGGAGCGCCTCTTCCCGGCCACCATCCCATCTAGGAAGCGAGGAGCGTCTCTGTCCAGCCGCCCATCGTCTGAGATGTGGGGAGCGCCTTTGCCCCGCCACCCCGTCTGGGATGTGAGGAGCGCCTCTGCCCAGCCACGACCCCGTCTGGGAGGTGAGGAGCGTCTCTGCCCGGCCGCCCCATCTGAGAAGGGAGGAGACCCTCCGCCCAGCAGCCGCCCCGTCTGAGAAGTGAGGAGCCCCTCCGCCCGGCAGCCACCCCGTCTGGGAAGTGAGGAGCTTCTCCGCCCGGCAGCCGACCCGTCCGGGAGGGAGGTGGGGGGGTCAGCCCCCCGCCCAGCCAGCCGCCCCGTCCGGGAGGGAGGTAGGGGGGTCAGCCCCCCGCCCGGCCAGCCGCCCCGTCCGGGAGGGAGGTGGGGGGGTCAGCCCCCCGCCCGGCCAGCCGCCTCGTCCGGGAGGTGAGGGGCGCCTCTGCCCGGCCGCCCCTACTGGGAAGTGAGGAGCCCCTCTGCCCGGCCAGCCGCCCCATCCGGGAGGGAGGTGGGGGGTCAGCCCCCTGCCCAGCCAGTCGCCCCGTCCGGGAGGGAGGTGGGGGGGTCAGCCCCCCGCCCGGCCAGCCGCCTTGTCCGGGAGGTGAGGGGCGCCTCTGCCCGGCCGCCCCTACTGGGAAGTGAGGAGCCCCTCTGCCCGGCCAGCCACCCCGTCCGGGAGGGAGGTGGGGGGGTCAGCCCCCCGCCCGGCCAGCCGCCCGGTCCGGGAGGGAGGTGGGGGGTTCAGCCCCCCACCCGGCCAGCCGCCCTGTCCGGGAGGTGAGGGGCGCCTCTGCCCGGCCGCCCCTACTGGGAAGTGAGGAGCCCCTCTGCCCAGCCACCACCCCGTCTGGGAGGTGTGCCCAACAGCTCATTGAGAACGGGCCATGATGACAATGGTGGTTTTGTGGAATAGAAAGGGGGGAAAGGTGGGGAAAAGATTAGAAATCGGATGGTTGCCGTGTCTGTGTGGAAAGAAGTAGACATGGGAGACTTTTTATTTTGTTCTGTACTAAGAAAAATTCTTCTGCCTTGGGATCCTGTTGATCTGTGACCTTACCCCGAAACCCTGTGCTCTCTGAAACATGTGCTGTGTCCACTCAGGGTTAAATGGATTAAGGGCAGTGCAAGATGTGCTTTGTGAAACAGATGCTTGAAGGCAGCATGCTCCTTAAGAGTCATCACCACTCCCTAATCTCAAGTACCCAGGGACACAAACACTGCGGAAGGCCTCAGGGTCCTCTGCCTAGGAAAACCAGAGACCTTTGTTCACTTGTTTATCTGCTGACCTTCCCTCCACTATTGTCCTATGACCCTGCCAAATCCCCCTCTGTGAAAAACACCCAAGAATGATCAATTAAAAAAAAAAAAAAAAAAAAAGCCAACCAAAAAAAAAATCCACCCATAAACTCTTTCCCATGCTTCTTGATATACAAACAGGATTGAAAATAAACTGTCAGTTGTAAACTAAAAATCCTAAGCCTCCCGTCTGACTGAATGAACCCCCTCTTGGCTAAGGGGACTCCGGAGA
Organism: Homo sapiens; assembly: GCF_000001405.40. Classification (NCBI taxonomy): domain Eukaryota; kingdom Metazoa; phylum Chordata; class Mammalia; order Primates; family Hominidae; genus Homo; species Homo sapiens. Next base: position 99,887,155 of record NC_000007.14, on the reverse strand, counting down.
AACCTGAAAAACAAATTTCTGGCCATGATGGGCTGAGAAGTTAGACGTGTCTCAGGTGCACCTCCTCCCTTTTGGAGTTTAGACACAACAGCTGCCCAACATTAATATTAAAATAGAGACAACAGGATTAACAAAATGGGCTCTGTGACAATAAGATACCAAATTATAAATAAGACCTAAGGCCATGACAGACCTTAAGTCACACACCTTTACAGGTTAGTCTGATGCAGTGAATTAGCTAACAGACTTCCTGTCCTTCAGGGATGTCCTAGAAAGGGGCTGTAGTGCTGCAGTTGTCCACTTTCCGGTGGTATCTGCATATCATGCAGACCTGTCTGCAAGCTGAGGAGCAAGGAAGCCAGTCAGAGTCCCAAAGCTGAAGAACTTGGAGTCTGATGTTTGAGGGCAGGAAGCATTCAGCACAGGAGAAGGATGTAGGCTGGGAGGCTAAGCCAGTTTAGCCTTTTCACATTTTTCTGCCTGCTTTATATCTTGGCTGTGCTGGCAGCTGATTAGATGGTGCCCACCTAGATTAAGGGTGGGTCTGCCTTTCCCAGCCCACTGACTCAAATGTTAATCTCCTTCGGCAACACCCTCACAGACACACCCAGGATCAATACTTTGCATCCTTCAATCAAGTTGACACTCATTATTAACCATCACAATACCCATATATATACACACTTCTAGAATTATTTCTTTGTCTACCCATCTATATTTATATTCAGCTAAGCATGAATTAATACTAATGTCTCCAACTGTAATCCAGCTCCATGAGATTCATTCTAGCCTTCCCTCCTTTCTTATCATCTGTAATTTTCTTCTCTGATCATCCACCATCTGTTTATTTATAACCCCATCATACACGCAAAGCAGATTCAGAATTGTTAACCTGTATCCCAGTGAGAAATTTATCAACTGGAGTACAGTGTTTGTGCACAATTCCTTTTATTTTTCACCTTATGTTTTTCCATCAAAACAGCATTTTCCAAAGTTATTCAGCTCCTTCCCCTACCACTCCATTCTTCAGTGAGATTGTGTAATAAAGATTTGTAATATAGTTAGAGTCATCCTCACAGTCTGCATTTCATCCTGGAATTCTTTGAACATCCTGTTTAATTTTTAAAATTTTGTGTATATCAAAGTTCACTCCTTGTTGATGTATGGTTCTATGGGTTTTGGCAAATGCATGAGTTATGTATTTATCACTCCAGTACCAAATATAATAGTTTCATCATCCTATCATTACCCTGTGTATCCGCTTTGTAGTCATCCACCTGCCCTCCCAACCCCCAGGTGGGAGGGCAGGTGGATGACTCCCAATGTATTCTGCATATATTGATATAATCATATGGTTTTTGTTTTTGGTTCTGTTTATGTGATAAATTACACTTACTGATTTGCATATGTTGAACTAACCTTGCATCCCAGGGGTAAAGCCTACTTGATAGTGGTGGATTACCTTTTTGATGTGCTGCTGGATTAGATTTGCTAGCATTTTGTTTGTTTGTTTTTTGAGATGGAGTTTCGCTCTTGTTGCCCAGGCTGGAGTGCAATGGCCTGATCTCGGCTGATTGCAACCTCCGCCTCTCGGATTCAAGCGATTCTCCTGTCTCAGGCTCCTGAGTAGGTGGGATTACAGGCACGTGCCACCACGCCTGGCTAATTTTTGTATTTTTAGTAGAGACAGGGTTTCATCATATTGGTCAGGCTGGTCTAAAACTCCTGACCTCACGTGATCCGCCCTCCTCGGCCGCCCAAAGTACTGGGATTACAGGTGTGAGCCACCAAGCCCAGCCAAGTATTTTGTTAAGAATTTTTCCATCTATGTTTTTTTTAAGGATATTGACCTGAAGTTTTCTTTTTTTGTTTTGTCTCTGCCATGTTTTTGTATCAGGATGATCCTGACCTCATAGAATGAGGTAGGGAGGAGTCCCTCTTCAGTTTTTTGGATAGTTTCAGCAGGAATGATACCAGCTCTTCTTTATACATCTGGTAGAATTCAGCTGTGAATCCTTCTGATCCTGGGCTTTATCTGGTTGATAGGCTTTTTATTACCAATTCAATTTTGTAACTTGTTATTGGTATGTTCAGATTTTTAATTTCTTCCTGGTTCAATCGTGGGAGATTGTATGTTTCCAGGAATTTAGCCACTTTTAGTAGGTTTTCTAGCTTGTGTGCATGGAGGTGTTTGTTATACTCTCTGAGGTTTTTGTTTTTTTTAAATATTTCTATTGGGTCAGTAGTAATGTCCCCTTGTCATTTCTGATTGTGTTTAATTGGATCTTCTCTCTTTTTCTTTATTAGTCTATCTAGCGGTCTATCAATCTTACTTATTCCTTCAAATATCGACTTCTGGTTTCATTGATATTTTGTATGGTTTTTTTGCACCTGAATTTCATATAGTTCAGCTCTGATTTTGGTTATTTCTTGTCTCTTACTGACTTTGGATTTGGTTTGCTCTTGTTTTTCTAGTTCCTCAAGGTGTGATATTAGGTTGTTAATTTGAGATTCTAGCTTTCTGATGTGGGCAGTTAGTGCTATAAGCTTTCCACTTAATACTGCTTTGGCCATGTCCCAGAGATTTTGGTATATTATATCTTTTGTTCTCACTAGTTTCAAAGAATTTCTTGATTTCTGCCTTCATTTCATTGTTTACCTAGAAGTCATTAAGTAGCAGGTTGTTTAATTTCCATGTTATTGTTTAGTTTTGATTGCTATTCTTATTATTGTTTTCTATTTTTATTGTTTTGTGGTCTGAGAGTGTGGTTGGTATGATTTTGGTTTTTTTGAATTTGTGGAGAATTGTTTTATGGCTGATTGGTTGATTTTAGAGTATGTGCCATTGCAGATGATAAGAATGTGTATTATGTTGTTTTTGGAATGGAGAAAACACAAATAAATGAAAAGACATTCCATGTTAATGAATTGGAAGAATAATATTGTTAAAATGTTCATATTACCAAAGCAACCTACAGAATCAGTGCAGTCTCTATCAAAATCCTGATGGTATTTATTACAGAAATAGAAAAAAATCCTAGAATTCACATGGAACCACAAAAGGCCTCAAATAGCCAAAGCAATTTTGAGCAAGAAAAACACAGCTGGGGACATTACAAGTCCTGATTTAAGACTATATTCCATAGCTACAATAATCAAAACAGCATGATACTGATATAGAAGTTAAAAAGGAATTATTTAGGCAGTTAGTAAGGGTAAAAGAATTCTCAGTGGAATTTCCTTTTAATAAAAAGCAGCCCCCACATCATTTCTTTTCTAACAAAAATCAACCTGAAAAATCAAGCTGCAAGCATTGATACACAAGCTGGAAGCTTGCATAGGTGAATACTGGCAGCCGTGCCGATACCAAAGAGATACCTGGAAGCCAGGTACATCCAACATGGAGGTTTTCTCCTCCCTTCTCTTTGTTGCCAAATGTGCAGATGTCATGGTGCTGGCCAGGTGGAGATCCCACCTGTATAATAAAAGATTAGGGTGGGATGGCCAGCCTAATCACGGGCTATGTAAATGGCACACCTGGTCCAACCAATCCCATGGGCCCTATGAAAATCAGACACTGCCTTTCTAAGCCCCTCTATAAAGTCAACTGCATCTCACCCCAAACCTGGAAACCCACTTTGGTTCCCTTCCTCTGCATGAGGAAGCTCTGTCTTCTTTCTTTCACTTTAATTAAAGTTCTGCTCTTAAACCCACTCCTTGTATGTGTCCTCATATTTGATTTCCTTAGCACAAGACAACGAACCTTGGGTATTTCCCCAGACAAATGATGTCGCTTCAGTATTGGCATAAAAACAGACAGATAGACAAACAGAACAGAATAGGCAGTGCAGAAATAAACCCATGCATATACAGTCAGCTTATCTTCAACAAGTGTGCCAAGAATGCACAATAAAGACAGGATAGTCTCTTTTCCATCCTGGCCAACGTGGTGAAACCCCGTCTCTACTAAAAATACAAAAATTATCTGGGCATGTCGGCATGTGCCTGTAATCCCAGCTACTTGGAAGGCTGAGGCAGGAGAATTGCTTGAACCTGGGAGGCAGAGGTTGCAGTGAGCCGAGATCACGCCATTGCACTCCAGCCTGGCAAAACAGTGAGACTCCGTCTCAAAAAAAAAAAAAGAAAAGATAGTCTCTTTAATAACTGGTTTTGGGAAAACTGGATATCCGCATGCAAACAAAGAAATTAAACCCCTCTCTTACACCATACACAAAAATCAGCATAAAATGAATTAAAGACCAAAATGTAAGACCTGAAACCATAAAACTCCTAGAGGAAAACATAAGGGAAAAGCTTCTTGACATTAGCCTTTATAATGATTTCTTGGGTATGACACCAAAAGAAGGCAACAAAAGCAAAAACGGGCAAGTGGGAAGACATCAAACTCAAAAGCTTCTGCACAGCAAAGAAACGATAAAAAATAAAAATAAAAAGCCCACCTATTGAATGAGAGAAATTATTTGCAATCTGTATTAGGTTATTCCTCCATTGCTATAAGAAGTACCCAAGGCTGGGTAATGTATAAAGAAAAGAGGTTTAATTGGCTCATGGTTCTGCAGGCTGTACAGGAAGCCTGGTGCTTGTGTCCGATGATCTTCTTGGGAGGCCTCAGGGAGCTTTTACTCACCGTAGAAGGCAAAGTGAGAGCAGGTAGGTCACATGGAGAAAGCAGGAGTGAGAGAGAGTTGGGGAGAGTGCTACACAATTTTAAACAACCAGCGAATATCAGTGAAGCAAAACATTTTAGGATTTGAGTTGAGATGGAGAAACAAAGAAGAGGTCAACATATCCCTATAATGGAAAGGAAGGGCAGGGTATGAGAATGATATCGGAGTGCATAAGAAGGAGAGGTAGGGTTATGCCATTTTTTCCTTTTCCCTCTGTGTCTGAAATCTTTTTCTTTCTTTCTTTCTTTTTTTTTTTTGGAGATGAAGTTTTACTCTGTCACCCAGGCTGGAGTGCTGTGGTGCGATCTCAGCTCACTGCAACCTACACCTCTCGGGTTCAAGTGATTCTCCTGCCTCAGTCTCCCGAGTAGTTTGGACTACAGATGTGTGCCACCATGCCTGGCTAATTTTTGTATTTTTAGTACAGACAGGGTTCTGCCATGTTGGCCAGGCTGGTCTCAGACTTCTGACCTCAAGTAATCCACCTGCCTCCATCTCCCAAAGTGCTGGGATTAAAGGTGTGAGCCACCGCACTCGACCTGAAATCTCTTGACATGTTATATTCATGTAGTCTATGAAATTGGAGTACGATCAACAGCTAGGATGGGAACTGCCTGCCTCTATTCCTTGACTTCTTTCCTATGATATGGCACATGGAAACCCTCAAAAGGGTCCTGTGGGCAAAAGAGACTAGATATTATTACTCAGACTGTCTTCTCAAAAGGGTTGCGTGGAAAGGCGTTACAGAAATCTGGGTTCCCAAGTGAAAAACAATCAAGGGACTCTAAGAATTTTTTATCTCCACAGTTAATTGGCCCCTGAGGAGAATATTCTCCTGTTATCTTCAGGCTCACTCCGCAAAATATCTCATTCTCCTGATCACTTGGAACAAACTCCAAGTAAAGCCCTTTGGGGATGCTTATCTCAGTGCATACAGCACAGTCTAATTGACATCTTGAGTAATGGTCTCCAGAAGCCATGCAAGATGTGTCCTCTGGGATGGAATCCCTGACGCCATTCTATTTAGTGTCCACAATTTGCTTCAGCTGACATAGGTCCTCTGGGTTAGGGGGATGTTTTATTTCTCCCAGATGATGTCTGTTTTTTCTTATGATTGGCTCACATCAGACCAAGAATGTTCTTACTCTAACCCCCATGATTACTATTGAGAAGACATTTATGCAGTCAGAAAAGTGCTTCCTGACTGCATCAGCCAAATTCATATTTTATTAAGTAGGGAAGGAAGTGTAAAGCTAAGAAGAGAGTGCCTTGAGAGATCCAAAACAATGGAAAACCATAACAGATTTTCTTTTGACTCTGGGCACATTCATGATTAAACTGGTATTCAGTTTACCTTCTTAATAAAGTAATATTAATGGAAATTCCTATTGCCCAAGCTCCGATATTGGAATGGAGGGTTGTCTCAAATATACATATAGAGCCAGAGGAAGCATATGTGTGATTCAAAGGTCCAACTAGTAGAGGCTAAAGTTCAGTTACTTAATCTGTCCTGATGTGTGTTGATGGAGCTCACAATATGAACACACATGTGTCCCATTGGTCCTGGTGATATTCTGCCATTAGGGTAATTAGTGCAAACAACAATGCCTGCGTTGGGGCAATTTCTTCTATGCCGTTCCACAGTAAATGTAACGTAAATGGAAATTTCCAGGCTTAGGGAAGGAAGTCTGGTGAGCACCTCAGAAAAGGCTTGTTTTGATCAACAGTAGCCAACAGGTGGGTCAGTGTGGACCTCTCTTGCCCTCTGCATTTCATTTCTATGCTTTGTCTTCCTACGAGTCTCTGCAGGGAAATAACAGGTAAGATAATATTAGGGCTTGAGGTATTTAGGAAACCTTTATTATAAATTAGGGCATTGTCAGCTTATCCCTTAAGTCAATCCATAAGGAAAGCTTCCTTGGAAGGCAGAGAAAAAAAAAAGTCACTTGAAGGCCACAAATCAGAATGGGAAATTATTAGCAAAGTTGCTGAAGGGAGGAAGAGAGACACAGGTCAGATGGTGAAAAACTTACACCATGGAGATTTGTAGAGAAAGATGGACACTAATGTGGAAAGTGATAGAGAAGTATATGGATACTTAAATAAAAGGGAAGTGTGTGGAGATCTCTAATGGGTTGGAGTGATCAGGAGGAGCATGGGAGAAGTTGAGCTTCTAGTCCACCAGAAGCTGAGTGTGAAATAACAGTGTGAAGTGACAGCCAGAAAGATGAGACTGTAGACTGCATTAGGAGAGAGACAGTAATAGATGTGACTTTTTTTTTTTTTTTTGAGACAGAATTTTGCTCTTGTTGCTCAAGGTGGAGTGCAATGGTGTGATCTCGGCTCACTGCATCATCTGCCTCCTGGGTTCTAGCGATTCTCCTGCCTCAGCCTCTGGAGTAGCTGGGATTACAGGCATGCGCCACCACGCCCGGCTAATTTTGTATTTTCAGTAGAGACGGGGTTTCTACATGTTGGTCAGGCTGGTCTCGAACTCCTGACCTCAGGTGATCCACTTGTCGTGGCCTCCCAAAGTGCCAGGATTACAGGCATGAGCGACCGCGCCCGGCCAGATGTGACCTCTTTCTTACTGATCAAATGCTTGGGAGAATGCATTCAGTTCTGAGTTCTTTGCTTTAAGAAGTAAATAGATAATCGTCACCGCATGAAGGTCTAGAAAGACATTTAGGAGAAAAAACACAAAAAAGAATAGGGTGGATATTTGAGGAATCAATTAAGATTACTTTTTTTTTTTGAGACAGAGTCTTGCCCTGTCGCCCAGGCTAGAGTGCAGTGGCACAATCTTGGCTCACTGCAAACTCCACCTCCCGGGTTCAAGGGATTCTAATGCCTCAGCCCCTCGAGTAGCTGCAATTACAGGTATGTGCCACCAAGCCTGGCTAATTTTTGTATTTTTAGTAGAGACAGGGTTTCACTATGTTGGCCAGGCTGGTCTCAAAGTCCTGACCTCAGGTGATCTGCCTGCCTTGGCCTCCCAAAGTGCTGGGATTACAGACCTGAGCCACTGTCCCCTGCCTGAAATTAACAATTATTAATACATCTTATGTTAGATACGGGGGATGACAGAGGAGAAGAAAACAAATATTCAGTACACATACACACACACACAGAATAAATGCCCATAACTATTACAGTTTTTGTTTCTGTAGCTGCTCACATGGTTTTTGGCTGGTATTTATAACGACTTGCTTTCACTACCCATTCCAATTCTCTTTGTCTACAGTTATTCATGACTCTTTGCCTGGTGGGGTAACCCAAACCTTTATTCCTGAAGCATCTGGGCCACTAGCAGTCTTGTCTGAATTGGGTTGTAGTTTTCTATTGGCTTACATCATGAGACATGAGAGTACACCCTAGAAAATCTGACTGCAGACATAATTCTCCATATCCTCACTGTATAGTAGTGACTGAATTTCCCATTGCTAGTCAGAATCAGTCTTACTAGCCAATAGAGTAACCTTATTTGCCTATTGATTCAGTTCTATGAGGAGCCCCAAGTGGCATGGTGGCAGTCTTAACTATCAGAAAATGGGATTATTGTTGTGACACCTGGTAGAAGAATTTCTCCCTTTGGAACTAAGACCTCTAAAACAGCAAAAGCTAAAAGTGAAGGGATAGAAAACTAAAATTGTGCTGGTGGGTCACAGTTATGGGGGCTATAGTGAGAGGACTCATTCTCTCTTCTACCTGGTGATTTCTGGTTCCATGAATCTTGCTATGGGAGGAAGAGCAGCATAAATTGGATGCAGATTTAGAGTATATTTCACATCCTAGAGGACACTGCCCCAGCACCAAAACGTGTTGCCAACCAGATGGTCTTCAAAAGGCCTTCCCTTGGATTCTCCTTTAGTTTTTCTGACTTCTGGGTCAGGTGTGTGCATTCTTTTTTTTTTTTATTTTTTTTTTTTTATTTTTTTTTTTAAGACGGAGTCTCGCTCTGTTGCCCAGGCTGGAGTGCAGTGATGCGATCTCCACTCACTGCAAGCTCCGCTTCCTGGGTTCACACCATTCTCTTGCCTCAGCCTCCCGAGTAGCTGGGACTACAGGCGCCCGCCACCACGCCCGGCAAATTTTTTGTATTTTTAGTAGAGACGGGGTTTCACCGTGTTAGCCAGGATGGTCTCCATCTCCTGACCTCGTGATCCACCTGCCTCGGCCTCCCAAAGTGCTGGGATTACAGGCGTGAGCCGCCGCGCCCGGCCAGGTGTGTGCATTTTTAATCTGGCCATTAAGAAGCGCCCCAGCGGCCGGGTGCGGTGGTTCACGCCTGTAATCCCAGCACTTTGGGAGGCCGAGGCGGGGGGATCACGAGGTCAGGAGATGGAGACCATCCTGTCGAACACGGTGAAATCCCCGTCTCTACTAAAAATACAAAAAATTAGCCGGGTGTGGTGGCAGGCGCCTGTAGTCCCAGCTACTACGGAGGCTGAGGCAAGAGAATGGCATGAACCCGGGAGGCGGAGCTTGCAGTGAGACGAGATCGGGCCACAGCATTCCAGCCTGGGCGACAGAGCAAGACTCCAACTCAAAAAAAAAAAAAAAAAAAAAAAGAGGCGCCCCAGCTTCTGCAGGATATCCACACCGCCAATTTCAGAGACAACAAGAACTGACATGGGTTTCAGTCTGCCTTTGTGGGATTGCAGCTCATGCTTGTGGGTTCCAGCATGACTTTGATCTGCCACTCTTTATATCCATTTTTTTTTTCCTGACTACTTGCCCTCTGGAATTAAAGTTCCAGCATCAGACACAAAGGTAACAGCCACGCATAGATTGCCTAACCAGCTTCCACAATTGTATAAGAGAAATCTCTTAGTGTTATAGCTTTTCTAGTAAAATCCTCACTGATAAAATAAGCAACGCCCCCAAGCTTTTCTCCAAACTGTCTCTCTGTGTGTGTCTGTATAGAGAGAGAGAGCTTAAAAATCTGCCTTCACAAACATGATCACTCTGAAATCTCAGAATATCTAGACTCCATTAAGTATCAAACTTCAAGTCTCTTCTCATTAAGAAAGACAAATGTGTGTGTGTGTGTGTGTGTGTATACATATGTGTGTTTTGGAAGCCTAGGAAGTAAATGGGGAATAAATATATACACACATACATATACATACACACACACACACACACACATATATATCTTTCTTAACGAGAAGAGACTTGAAGTTTGATAATAGAGTCCAGATATTCTGAAATTTCAGAGTGATTATGTTTGTGAAGGCAGATTTCTAAGCTCTCTTTTAAAAAAAGGTTATTTGAATAATTAGAGAGGTTGAATAATTAGAAACGGAAATTTTTTTCACAGGTTCTGTCCTCTATCAAAAGGTGCTTTTCCTTGGGTATACTGGACCCCAGTATTTCCAGTCACACTCTTTATCTCCACTCTCTGTTTCCTCAGGGATTGAGAAAGGGGACAATGTGGCAGAAGAATCAGACCTCTCTGGCAGACTTCATCCTTGAGGGGCTCTTCGATGACTCCCTTACCCACCTTTTCCTTTTCTCCTTGACCATGGTGGTCTTCCTTATTGCGGTGAGTGGCAACACCCTCACCATTCTCCTCATCTGCATTGATCCCCAGCTTCATACACCAATGTATTTCCTGCTCAGCCAGCTCTCCCTCATGGATCTGATGCATGTCTCCACAATCATCCTGAAGATGGCTACCAACTACCTATCTGGCAAGAAATCTATCTCCTTTGTGGGCTGTGCAACCCAGCACTTCCTCTATTTGTGTCTAGGTGGTGCTGAATGTTTTCTCTTAGCTGTCATGTCCTATGACCGCTATGTTGCCATCTGTCATCCACTGCGCTATGCTGTGCTCATGAACAAGAAGGTGGGACTGATGATGGCTGTCATGTCATGGTTGGGGGCATCCGTGAACTCCCTAATTCACATGGCGATCTTGATGCACTTCCCTTTCTGTGGGCCTCGGAAAGTCTACCACTTCTACTGTGAGTTCCCAGCTGTTGTGAAGTTGGTATGTGGCGACATCACTGTGTATGAGACCACAGTGTACATCAGCAGCATTCTCCTCCTCCTCCCCATCTTCCTGATTTCTACATCCTATGTCTTCATCCTTCAAAGTGTCATTCAGATGCGCTCATCTGGGAGCAAGAGAAATGCCTTTGCCACTTGTGGCTCCCACCTCACGGTGGTTTCTCTTTGGTTTGGTGCCTGCATCTTCTCCTACATGAGACCCAGGTCCCAGTGCACTCTATTGCAGAACAAAGTTGGTTCTGTGTTCTACAGCATCATTACGCCCACATTGAATTCTCTGATTTATACTCTCCGGAATAAAGATGTAGCTAAGGCTCTGAGAAGAGTGCTGAGGAGAGATGTTATCACCCAGTGCATTCAACGACTGCAATTGTGGTTGCCCCGAGTGTAGAGTGGAATAGGATAAGCTCCTTAAATTAATTCATATAAACCTCTAAAGTTTTTCAGGGAGATAGCTTCCTTATGCTGTTTTACTACTGGAAGAAAAACACATTTAACACACAATTCCAGTATTCCAGCTTGGTGTCAGGTATCCAAGCACTGTGGAGAACATTTGAGTAGATCTTTAGAGAATTAGGGAAAACTTTTTAAAAAGTCCCTTTGAAAGAAGACATATAAAGGTCACTGACACCCTGAAAAAAAGAAGGCAAGATAAAGATATAAGGGCCCTTATCTATTATTATTTTTATTAACAAAAATATATAAAACATGCCACCAGAGAGTATTTATGGAGTTTAAAATTGGAGTGTGTTGCTTACTTTTGGAAGCATGGGAAGTAAATGGTGAATGATGGCTGTTTGAAAGGGAGGATGCATGATATAAAAGTTGTATTCTTTTTTTTTTTTGTGACGGAGTCTCTCTCTGTCACCTAGGCTGGAGTGCAGTGGCACGATCTTGGCTCACTGCAACCTCCGCCTCCCAGGTTCAAGTGATTCTCCTGCCTCAGCCAGGAGTAGCTGAGTATTACAGAGTAGCTGGGATTACAGGCGCGTGCCACCATGCCTGGCTAATTTTTGTATTTTTAGTAGAGACGGGGTTTCACCATGTTGGTCAGGCTGGTCTTCAACCCCTGACCTCAGGTGATCTGCCCACCTTGGCCTCCCAAAGTTCTGAGATTACAGACGTGAGCTACTGCACCTGGCCCTAAAAGTTATATTCTTAGACCCTTAGTGTTCCATGAATCACAGTGTGTAAGAATTCATAAGGGAAAGAATAATACATTTTGTATACATACATAATAATATATAACATAATTCTTGTAATCCATGTTGTGTTTAACAAATCTTTGTTGAGTGCCTAGTATGATCCAGGTGGTAGACTAGATGTTTGGAATTGCATTGTGAAACTTAAGATTTTTTACACATCTGCTTGTGCTTTTCCTTGGTCTACGTTGGACTTGCCATAGCAGGTAGGCATATTAACTTTTATTATTTCACAGGCTGAAAATACCTTTCTGTTCTTTGAGGGTTCCTAGCCTTGTGATTTGGAATCAGAATGATCTGGAGGAGAGTCTGCCACTTGATAACAGTGGTAAGTTACTTAACCTCTCAAGGCCTCAGTAATCTTATGTGTTTAATGAAAAAAAAAATAGGGTGACCTGAGATTTTGTGTTAGTTATGGGTATTGGTTCCAAGCAACAGAAATGGACTCTGAATGAAACAAGCAGAAAAAAGCCTTATTGAAGGCATGATGGGAAGATGTCAGAATCAGTGGGAGCACTAAAGAACCAGATTTGGAGACTATTACTCACATATCCATTTACTGCCAAATTGTCCACAGAATAAGTCCAAGAAGAGGCCAGTAGTAGAATTCATCCAATGGAGACAAGATTATTTGGGTTTAGCAATATGGGGGAGGACTAACACAGGTCATCATAACCATCTGATCTGCAAGGATCTCTTATAATCTTGCTCTTGAAATTATTCTTCTCTCTTCTGCGTTATAAATTTTCCCAGTCTACTTGATCAGTACCTCAGCCTACAGACATACCTTTATGATTGTCATCTTAAAAAGAAACTTCTCCTCAATCCCGGAAAGTCTAAACCAAGCTCATTCAACCCATGTACTGCAGACCATATGTGGCCTGGGAAGGCTTTGAATGTGGCCCAACACAAATTCATAAACTTTCTTAAAACATTTTCATCATCACTGGCCATCAGAGAAATGCAAATCAAAACCACATTGAGATACCATCTCACACCAGTTAGAATGGCGATCATTAAAAAGTCAGGAAACCACAGGTGCTGGAGAGGATGTGGAGAAATAGGAATACTTTTATGCTGTTGGTGGGACTGTAAACTAGTTCAACCATTGTGGAAGTCAGTGTGGCGATTCCTCAGGGATCTAGAACTAGAAATACCATTTGACCCAGCCATCCCATTACTGGGTATATACCCAAAGGATTATAAATCATGCTGCTGTAAAGACACGTGCACACGTATGTTTATTGCAGCACTATTCACAATAGCAAAGACTTGGAACCAACCCAAATGTCCAACAATGATAGACTGGATTAAGAAAATGTGGCCCATATACACAGAATACAATGCAGCCATAAAAAATGATGAGTTCATGTCCTTTGTAGGGACTTGGATGAAGCTGGAAACCATCATTCTCAGCAAACTATTGTAAGGACAGAAAACCAAACACCGCATGTTCTCACTCATAGGTGGGAATTGAACAGTGAGAACACCTGGACACAGGAAGGGGAACATCACACACCAGGGCCTGTTGTGGGGTGGGGGGAGAGGGGAGGAATAGCTTTAGGAGATATACCTAATGTAAATGACGAGTTAATGGGTGCAGCACACCAACATGGCACATGTATACATATGTAACAAACCTGCACGTTGTGCACATGTACCCTAGAACTTAAAGTATAAAAAAAATTATGAGATTTTAACTTTTATTTATTTATTTTTTAGCTCATCAGCTGTCATTAGTTTTAGTGTATTTTATGTGTGGCCCAAGACAATTCTTCTTCCAGTGCGGCCTGGGGAAGCCAAAAGATTGGACGTCCACCCATGGTCTAAACAGTCTTACAGAAGAATTCCTTGAAACAGTTTTCTTTTTTTTTTTTGAGATGGAGTCTTGCTCTGTTGCCCAGGCTGGAGTGCAGTGATGCGATCTCCACTCACTGCAAGCTACGCCTCCTGGGTTCATGCTATTCTCCTGCCTCAGCCTCCCGATTAGCTGGGACTACAGGCACCCGCCACCATGCCTGGCTAATTTTTTGTATTTTTAGTACAGACAGGGTTTCACCATGTTAGCCAGGATGGTCTCGATCTCCTGACCTCGTGATCCGCCCGCCTCGGCCTCCCAAAGTGCTGGGATTACAGGCGTGAGCCTCCGTGCCCGGCCGAAACAGTTTTCTTTACTTGTTATTTCCACTTTTTCTGCTTCCATTTTCTCCTGAGCTCACTTCAGTTGGCTTTTGTCATCATCAATCTATGGAAACCATTAGTATGATTGTCACAAATGGCCTCCTTGTGGCCACATTTAATGGCCAATTTTCACTTGCTCTTAGCCAAAAGGCCAAGAAGCGATCAATGACCAATTTTCAATGTACCCAACAGCCTTTGACAAAGTTGATTATGCCTTCCTTTTTTGAAACACTTTCTTCACTGAACGCTACACTCACTTTAACTCCTACTTCATTGAGTCTTCATTTTCCATTTCCTTTGCATTTAAATTCTTTCATGTTACTTCCTTGTTCTCATGCTCTTCTACAGCAGCGATTCTCAAACATGAGTACACATTAGAATCATCTGAAGGTCATGTTAAAGCAGTTGGCTGGGCCCTAGTTCCAGGGTTTCTGATTCAGAGTTTCTGATTCAAAAACTCTGAATTTACATTTTTAATAAATCCCAAGTAGTGCTGATGCTGTTGATGTAGGTACTACATCTAGAAAATGTATTTTTCTTCCAGAATATCCATGGTGACAATTTAGCAGATGAATAAATTTAGGCTTCTGTGAACAGAGGAGAAAATAATCCCCCTGACTCCCGATGCCACACTGCTTCCCTGTCTTCTCATGGGAGCCGTCCCCTCTTGGGTGGCCCATTGTAGTCACAACGCTACAGCCCTGCTTTTGTCTGGTCACTGGACTAACCCAAGAGTGGGGATATCAGCTCCATGGCAGGCAGCTGGAGGGGCTCATTACAGCTCAGAACTCCATGGCTGTGCTCCTACTTACTCTCAAAGTGAGGGGCTTGCCCTTCTCTACTTTCTGTCTCAGGTTTCTCAAGAACACATCTCCGTACTAGAGTATGATCAGGAGCATCTCAACACTCAAAGAATATGCAAGGGGAACTCTGGAATAAAAAAATGAATTCAGGCCGGGTGCGGTGTGAGAATCAGAAGGGTCACACGCCGATGGGGCAGATTAGTGGCTCATGCCTGTAATCCCAGCACTCTGGGAGGCTGAGGTGGGTGGATCACTTGAGGCCAGGAGTTTGAGACCAGCCTGGCTAACATGGTGAAATCCGTCTCTGCTAAAAATACAAAAATTAGCCAGGTGTGGTGGTGCATGCCTGTAGTCCCAGCTACTCGGGAAGCTGAGGCAGGAGAATTGCTGAAACCCGGGAGGCAGAGGTTGCAATGAGCCAAGATCGCACCACTGCACTCCAGCCTGGGCAAAAGAGTAAGACTCAAAAAACAAAAACAAAAACAAAAAAAATAGGTGAATTTAGCACAATTGTAAGATACAAGATCAACACATAAAAAGTCAAACACATTTCTACATGACAGCAATGAATATGTGAAAACACATTATAAATGCTATATGATTTATAACCCCTCCAATTAAAGACTTTAGGTATAAACCTAACAAAACATCTCACTATCCTGAAACTACAAAATGTACATGAGAGGAAGAAAGGAAGGAAAGGAAATGGAGAGGTATCCTGTGTTCATAAGGTCAAGATTGTACATAGTAAAGATATAGATTTATTTCATATTGATCTGTAAGTTTATTTCAATTTGTATCAAAATTTCAGTAAGTTTATTTTTAGATATCGATGTTTATTCTGAATTGTATAGAAAGTCAAAGGACCAACAATAGATAAAATATTTCTGAAAAAAATAAATGAAGTGGGAGAAATCACTCTCAATAATGTTACGACTTACTGTGCAGCTGCTATAGTCAAGACGCTGTGATCACAATAGAGAATGAGAAGTAGATGCACACAAATAGGCCCAGCTGATTTTTTTTTTTCTTTTTGAGACGGAGTCTTGCTCTGTCGCCCACGCTGGAGTGCAATGCGCGATCTTGGCTCACTGCAACTTTCGCCTCCCTGGTTCAAGCATTTCTCCTGCCTCAGCCTCCTGAGTAGCTGGGATTACAGGTGCACACCACCATGCCTGGCTAATTTTCGTATTTTTCAGTAGAGACGGGATTTCACCATGTTGGTCATGCTGGTCTCCAACTCCTGACCTCGTGATCCGCTTGCCTCAGCCTCCCAGAATGCTGGGATTATAGGCGTGAGCCACCGTGCCTGGCCTGATTTTTTTTTTTTTTTAAGATAGAGTCTTGCTCTGTCGCCCAGGTTGGAGTGCAGTGGCTTGAGCTTGGCTTACTGCAACCTCCACCTTCTGGGTTCAAGCGATTCTTCTGCCTCAGCCTCCTGAGTAGCTGGGACTATAGGCATGCGCCACCACGCCCAGCTAATTTTGTATTTTTAGTAGAGATGGGGCTTCACCATGTTGGCCAGGCTGGTCTCGAACTCCTGATGTCAAGTGATCCATCTGCCTCAACCTCCCATAGTGCTAGGATTACAAGTGTGAGCCACCACGCCCGGCCCAACTGATTTTTGATAGTGGTGCAAAAGCAATTCAGTGGAGGAAGGATAGCCTTTCCAGAAATGGTGTTGGAACAATGAACAGCCATAAGCCCCAAGAAACGAACCTTGATCTAAACCTGATACCTTATACAAAAATTAATGCAGAATGAATCATAGACTTAAATGTAAAGGATAAAACTATGTAACTTTTAGAAAAACAACAAAAACATCGGGGGTGGGGTGCGATACACAAAGAATTTTCAGACTCAATACCAAGAACACAATTCATAACAGGAAAAATTGATAAATTGGTCCCCTTAAAATAAAGTTTTGCTTGATAAAAGCAATGAAAAAATCTTGTGAAAAAGAAAAGTTAAGCTACACATTATGACTATAAAAGAATAGCAGGTGAGAATCAGAAGGGTCACACGCCGATGGGGCAGTTCTGTATCTTGATTCTTCTGGGCATTATGCAAATCTACACATGCGATGAATTTGCATAAAGCTACACACACACACACACACACATACACACAAATGAGGGCTCATAAAACTGGTGAAATCTGACTAAAGCCCTGTGGATTATATCAATGTCAATTTCTTGTTACTAGAGTAATAGGAATATACTATATACACAGTTATGGAAGACATTAACATTGGGGGAAACAGAATGAAGAGTACATGACACATCTCTGTACATTTTTGGGGCAACTTTTGTGAATATATATTTCCAAATAAAAATTAAATAACTATTTAAATTAAAAAAATGAATGTCTACCCTCCAGTTTGGGAAGACAGAATAACATTCTTTCACTAGCACTGTTTTGATCATTGCTTTCATTTGCTCAATAAAAGCAATAAAATACTTGTTAAGAGGAAAAGACAAGCAACACATTACAACTCTAAAAGAATAGCAGGTGAGGCCAGGCACGGCGGCTCATGTCTGTAATCCCAGCAATTTGGGAGGCTGAGGTGTGAGGATCACCTGAGATCAGGAGTTCGAGACTAGCCTGACCAACATGGTGAAACCCCGTCTCTACTAAAAATACAAAAATTAGCCAGGTGTGGTGGTGCATGCCTATAGTCTCAGCTACTCAGGGCGGTGGGGGTGGCAGTGAGGGTGAGGCACGAGAATTCCTTGAACCCTGGGAGACAGAGGTTGCAATGAGCTGAGATTGCACTACTGCATTCTAGGCTTGGTGATGGAGTGAGACCCTGTCTCCAAAAAAACCACCTAAACCAAAACAAAACAGCATGTGAAAAAAAAGCTGGCCAAAGCCCACCAAAACCAAAATGGTGATGGAAGATGACCTCTGGTCATCCTCACTGATCATGATATGCTAATTATAATGCATCAGCATGCTAAAAGACACTCCCGCCAGTGCCATGAGAGTTTACAATTGACATGGCCATGTCAGAAAGTTTCCCTATATGGTCTAGGAAGGGAAGGAACCCTCAGTTCTGGGGATTGCCCACCCCTTTCATGGAAAACTCACAAATAATTCCCCTTGTTTAGCATATAATCAAGAAATAACATAAAAATAGCCAAGGAGGAGCCTATGCTGCTGTTCTGCTTGTGGAGTAGCCATTTTTTATTCCTTTACTTCTTAATAAACTTGCTTTCACTTTACTCTATGGACTTGCCCTGAATTCTTTCTCATGAGTGATCCAAGAACCCTCTTTTGGGGTCTGGATTGGGACCCCTTTCCGGTAACATTATTGCTAATACTACATGCTCTATTAGGGTAATTTCCTCTTGTTGATGAAAAGAGTCAAACTCTGTAAAATATTTGAAGAGATTTATTCTGAGCCAAATATTAGTGAGCATGTCCTGTGACACAGCCCTCAGGAGGTCTTGAGAACATACGCCCAAGGTAGTGGGGTGCATCTTGGTTTTATACATTTTAGAGAGGCATGAGACATCAATCAAATACATTTCAGAAATACATTAGTTTGGTTCAGAAAGGTGGGACAACTCAAAGTGGGATGCTGGGGGTGTGTGTGCTTCCAGGCTATAGGTAAATTTAAATATTTTCTGACTGACAGTTGGTTGAGTTTGTCTAAAGACCTGGGATCAATAGAAAGGAAATGTTCAGGTTAAGATTAAAAAAAAAAACAGGTTGTGGAGACCAGGGTTCTTTTGAGGTTTTACAGTGACTGCCCTTAGAGACAATAGATGACAAATATTTCCCATTCAGACCTTTAAAAGGTGTTAGACTCTTACTTCATCTCTTCAGGATTGGGAGGGCCTGGAAGAAAAAGATCTAGCTACATGATAAAAAGAGATTCTTTACAGATGCAAATTTTCCCCCCACAAAGGACAGCTTTGCAGGACCATTTCAAGATATGGCAAAGAAACATGTTTTGGGGTAAAATATTTTGAGTTTCTTCTTTGTCACGTAATGTTATGCCAGAGTCAGATTGGAAAGTAAGTCACGATATATAGGGTTAAATAAAACCCATCTGATGAGAATTTATGGTTTGTAGGGCATGACTCCCTAGACCCTGTGGATAGGAATTTGGGCAAGATGAAAAAACTCAGGGCTTAGTCCTCACTCTGGAAAAGTGGAGACCCATATACACAAAATAAGAAAAACTGGCCACATGGTTACAACCTGTCTCGACTAATTCCTTATGGTCATTTGGTTTATTTAATTACTTGCCTTTAAGCCTAGGTTCATGGCTTATAAGCATTATGCAAACTAGAGTTATCATATTACTATTAATTTCACTTTTTTTCTTTTTAAACCTTGTATCTGTTACTAGTCACATTTCTTTACATAAGCACAACTCCCAAGCAAATAGTGCTGGTCTAGCTTCTTGAGATGATTTTAAAAATGTCTACAACACAGATAAAATTAGACAACAATTGACTTCAGGTAGACTTAGCCAGTTTATTGCAGCACTATTCACAATAGCAAAGATTTGGAATCAGCCCAAATGCCCGTCGATGATAGACTGAATAAAGAAAATGTGGTACATATACACAATGGAATACTATGCAGCCATAAAAAGGAATGAGATCATGTCCTTTGCAGGGACATGGATGAAGCTGGAAGCCATCCTCCTCAGCAAACTAACACAGGAACAGAAAACCAAACACCACAAGTTCTCACTCATTAGTGGGAGCTGAACAATGAGAACACATGGACACAGGGAACAACACACACTGGGGCCTGTTGGGAGTGGGTGGGGGAGGCAGAGCATCAGGACCAATAGCTAATGCATGTGGGGCTTAATACCTAGGTGGTAGGTTGATAGGTGCAGCAAACCATGGCACCCCTTTACCTATGTAACAAACCTGCATGTTCTGCACATGTATCCTGAAACCTAAAATAAAATAAAAGAGAAACAAACAAAACAAAATGTCACTGCTCATTGATAATACATTTAGTCACTCAAGAGCTCCAATGAAGATGACAAAAAGATTATTGTTGCTTTAATGCCTACTAACAAAACATCCATTCTGCAGCTGTGGATAAAAGAGTAATTTTAACTTTCAAGTCTTATTATTTAAGAAATACATTTCATAAGGCTACAGAGGAATTAGATAGTAATTCCTCTGATGGATCTGGGCAAAGTCAATTGAAAGCCTTCTGGAAAGGATTTACTACTCTAGATGCCATTGAGAGCATTTATGAGCCATGGGAGGAGGTCAAAATATCAACATTATTTTGAAAATTTGGGAATATATAGCCCCATTTCTTTGGGATGAAGCAGAAAAGGAAAAGGAAGAACTCTGTGCAGCCTCTGATACCAGCTGAAACTGATGAATGCCTTTAGCTTTGCTGCCGAATCAGTTGACTAATAAACCACATTTTATTCGGTGTTCATTATGTTAAAACATTTGGGAGTTAAAGGTGAAATAGAACAAGTATAGGAAAACATGTTCCCTGCCTTCCAGCACTATCAGGTGAGATGAGATATAACATTAAATCAAAACTAATAATGTAAAAATAAGTTCCTAAGTTGAATGTTACCAAAATATGTGCTTCAAAAGAGGCCCAATGAAACTACGAATATGTTTTCTAAACAATGGGCAAAGTCACAGTGGTTTAACTCACACCTAGATTAATAATCAAGTTAGAGTCCTGTAAAAGACCCCACAGAACCAGCAATTATAATGACCAAAAATATTTATTTGTTGATCCTTATTGATCTAATTCTGTAGATTCATCCTTAATATGCAGGAAGACATCAGATAACAGTTTTGTAAAGAGGTGCTTGTTGACTTTCTCAATATAATACTTATTATAGAATATCACAAATGGAACATGTAATATAAATGTCACTACGAGAATCACAAGTATAATTTTCCTTTTCATTAAAAATTGTTGGTAAAATTGTTGAGAAATGTTTATTCTCTGATCACAGCTCAGGAGGACTTGAGGGTACTAACTATAGGTGGCGGGGAGATAGTCTTATGAGAACTAGAGAAGATGACTGTACTTATTTGGCATTGATTTGTCACCTGCTTTGTAGTATGCAACGTGTAATACTCTACCCAGACAATGAGAGCTCAATGAATGTAGAGAATTTCTAATTATTCACCCAGTATACTAGGTTAATTAAGCTCATCTTCATTTCTGAGTTTTATTCACAAAACAATTTGAAGTGTCTAGTGTTCTGGGATACAGCTTTCTTGAACAAAGTGGAAGTCCTTAGGGAAAGTCAGGGTCCACTTGTAATCCCATCTCTTAAGTGCACTTTTAGAACAATAGGTTTTTCTGGTTGAAGAATTGGTAGATTGTCTAATTTCAGTGGGATCTGCAAAAGTTAAACAAGAATATTCAGAAACAATGAAGCAAATGAAGAAAAGATAGAAGCAAAATAAAAAAGATGACATCAAGGGTAATGCTTTGCAATGACTAAAAAAAAACTACTTTCAGCACCATACATGTTGGTTTATTTGTACTTGTTCAGTTAGCTCTGTGAAGATTGGATAGTGAAAGCATTTACCATTCATCATTTAACAAAATATTTATTGAGTATCTATTCTGTGCCAGGCTTGAGATTGTTCATGCTGGCTTCTGTTCCTTTTTATTTAAATTTTAAGCAAAGAGATATTTTAAAAAATCAAATCCAGATTATTAGGCATTATGTTAAACTATTTTGGAAAAGCCATATAAAGTTAATTTTGTATATGATGAAACTTGCAAGGTAATCCTCAGTAGGTGTTATATATTTCAATTATATGGACAGTCTTCAACTTATTAAGCATTCACTAACTCCATCCAACTGAACCTATCCAGTGTAATGATGGGAAGAGATCTTCAAGAAGCATTATGCTTTTGTTTTTTACTTCTTCTCTTGATTTCCAAAGGAAATGCAAATGGGAAGCTTCTCAAGGCCTATAGTGTTTTGACTAATACTTTGAGCCCTCATTCTCCCAAGTCACTTCAGTGTCAGGGGAGCAGCCAGCAGAGAAATGTTCTGATGTCAGTTAAGTGAAGGGCAGGCAAATTGTCATGGAAATTGAAAAGTGCCAGCTAGTAGATGCTTGGGAAATTGCCAGGGAGTATCACCCCATCCCATGTGTGCCAGAGACCTGCTTTTATTCAGAGTTGAGCCCCTGTCTGTACACACTTAGAGGATGGATGTACAGCTTCCCTAAAGCCACAAATAAGATTGAAACCCTATCTATTCTTCCTTCCCATGCACAAAGCCTACTTTAGAATAGGAGTTGCATAGTAAATGCACAAGTCCTAGAAATAAGGCTTATAGGGCCTTGCTTGATATAAATAAATGACAAGTGTTCATTAAGTTCTTCAGAGAAAGATTCCATATCTTTCTATTAATGTGACTCATTATTTTAAAATTTCAAATGGCATGAATGTTTTTCCTGCAGACAGACATACACACTCAAATATACAAATGTCACATATTAAATTTAAAAATTAAACAGCTTAAAACTTGTATCCAAGAACTCCAAATCAACTGAAACTCACTCCTTAAACATGTGTGGAATGCCTGCAATGGATAATGTCCTCTGCAAGACACTATTGGACTTTTATGAAAGAATTAAAACAAAACAACATAAATGGGGCAGAGAGGAGAAATTCTTAGAATAGAGAAAAGACTTGTAGAATAAAACTGAGTGGTTTAATGAAAAGTATAAGATTAGGTGATGATAACAGCCTGCAATAAACAGTAACAAAGCAGAAGAATAACTGGCCCTGTACTCGATGGGGAAGGTTTCTTAGAGTGGCTTGGGGAATTGATGTAGGACTTGTGGGATAGGAACATAATGAGAAGGAAAAGAAGAACATTCATAGAGCTATTATTGGGTTGAAAAGATGCACAGCTTGTATGAAGCAGCGAAGCAGTGCTCCTGGAAGATAAGGTCAAATGGTCAGGATGGCCTTGGACTGTAAGTATCTTTTCTATCTGGCAGAAATGCCTTAAATTAGTGATTCCCAACATTGGCTTCACATGAGGACCAATGGGAGAGCTTTTAAAGCCACAACTCTGGGCAAATTAGTTTAGAATTTGTGAGATGATCCAGGCATCATGAATTTTTGAAGCTCCCCAGTGATTCCAATGTACAGCTAGTGGTTGAGAAACACTGTCATGAGAAAGCTTCTGCAAGTTCTAGTGAGTTCTAGTGGAGGAGAGCACCATTCGAAAGTCCTGACAAAGTAATCATTGCACTTCATGATTGTGCAAAAGACTTCCTCATCTTTACAGTTGACATGAAACTGAATTTAAAATTTGCTCAAGTTCACAGAGACTGAACATAATTATACCATGCTAATCTATATTGACATTAGATGATCTTTATAGTTCTGTCTTTACAAAGCCACAGATTTTGAACTCCAGAAGTGATTCATCTTTAAGCATTATGGATAGCTCCAATTAGATTCTTTGTCCTACAGAGCAAATTATTGAAAAATGAACAATAATTTTTAAAAAATGTAGACTTCTCAGTTTAAAAAACTCCCAATAAACATTATTTATAAGAAAGTTTACTGACCTGAGTCTCTTTACAAGGTTTGAAGGAGAAGTTCTGCAGTGCTCTAATGACAGCAAGTTTTATGTTTGTGAGAGCAAACCTCATGCCAATGCAGTTTCGGGGTCCAGCTCCAAAAGGTATGTATCTGTAAAGATCTATGCTGTCCTTGTTCTTCTTACTGAACCTACTTTCACAGTAGTACATAAAAACTAGTTAATGAAACATAAAAACTATTAAAACTACACGTTATGCAGGGTGTGGTGGCTTTTGGGAGGCGAGGACCTCCTTGGCCTCCCAAAGTGTTGGGATTACAGGTGTTAGCCACCACACCTGGCCGGCTATACAATTTTTGAAGGTTAAACCCATGTTTATTCAAATTTGATTCCTCAATATTTGATTATATTGTGAAAAAATTTTGATGGAGGAAAGTGATAATGCCCTTGTGGTTATGTGTTTTTAAAAGACTACTTATATTTTAGAGAAAATTCTGAAATATTTACAGGTTATTTCTTCAAGATAACATTGTAGTCACAGAGAGGATTGTGGTGGTGTGTGGACAGGGAAGCTGACATGCAGCATTGACTACTGAGACAGGTGATGAACACAGGGGGATGCATTAATACTGTTCTATAGCCTGGTGTCTATAGAATATAGTTATGTGTATGTCAAACATTCTTCACAACAGACTTTTTTTAGTATATGGATTTCTCACTGCCTGGCCCAGTTCCTGACACACGGTAACCACTTACTATCTGTTTGGTGACTGAATGATGCAAAGAGAAGTACAATGAGTGGTCTCTGATTTTGTGTTGGTGCAGCCACAGGAGGTGGAAGTGCCAAGATGGAGGAAACACAGAAGTCCTCTACTCCAGAAAACAGAGAAATTGGTCAATTCTGACTTGCTCTTCCAACAAGTATTATGTACAGAGTCTGTGCCAGCAGTAGAGACAGCATGCCTAACAAGACAAGGTCCCTGCCATTGGGAAGTTTATAGTTAGGGGCCAATAAAAGTCTAGATCCCAGGCCTCACCAGCCAGTGCCCTACAAAGTTCATTCCAAATTTTCCTTTCCAAAATGGGAAAATATCAACTATTTCCAGAGTGCAAATTGTGCCCAAAGCTTGACCTTGGCTCTGAATTCCCAGAATATCATGCCCAACACTTCCAAGGAAGAACTTCTGAGAAGTCTAGAAAGCAGGTGACTTTGCTTTGGAAGAGTCATCAACAACTGAGAGTACAAGGGAGCCGGCACAGGACTGCAGACACAAACAGGACCAGGAGAACCTCTGCTTCCCTCTGTCCTCAATGAAGTGGCTTAAACCATCAGGGATGAGGATGTCTCAGGATCTCAGCCTGCACTTTCACAGTTACATTACGGAAAACAGCAAGCAATGTTGAAAGAAAAAGGAATGTGGAAACATGTCCTAAACGTGGTGCTAAATTCAGAGAGCTAAAGGGCACAGCAAAGAAAAACTGAAATGAATAACAAGCTTATATACTCAAAATAACATTATGGTGAAATGAATTATAGCTTATGCATATAGAAATATGTAGTAACGTAAGATAGTAGATAGGTAATGGTTTACTTTGAAATGAAGTAAGCAGCAGTTCAAACTCAAATAAAATGTGATAGTATACTAGTTTTTAAAAATGTCTATGCATAGAAAAATGCCTACAAGACAGGCATTACATAGTTAATGAGGGTTGTTATAAGGTGTTTCTTAATCTATGGTTTGTAAAGTTTAACAGTTATCATTTTGTAATAAAAAACTTCCAAAATGAAAAGGCACATATTCAAATGATTGCCATGTGCATCGAGAGAGGCAGAATATACTTGAATCAGGCTGGTTGAGGGAAGGCTCCTTTCCCAGGGGCCTTGTACCTTTCAGGGCAGAACTTCTCAGGCTCTGTCCAGTACTTTGGGTCATGGTGAAGAGCATAGATTGGAACCATCACTGCTAACCCTTTGGGAATGAACACTCCATTGATTTCAATATCTTTCTTGCAGACTCTCGTAACTCTACTAACAACTGGGAATAATCTGAGCGTTTCATTCACCACCATGTCAAGGTACTCCATCTGTACCAGGGCATCGTAGGTGACAGGTGCCTGGGAAGAAAGAAACAGATTTGGATAAATTGAGATTGGGAATTAACTTTCAACTTAGTCCATGCAGTACTATTGAAGTGTTAGGAGCTCCAGAGAATAATTCATTCTGGTAAAAGATTGTTGCATTTATAAATTATTTTAATAATTCTCCATACCCAGTGATGTGCTCGATGGCCCATTGAGATGTGTGGAGGAGTTATGAATTTGGCACAATCACTTACACAGAGACTGAAATCCTTGACATTACCATTTCGTGTTTTTTCTTTCTTGGGAGAACAAACATGACTAATAGACGATGGCCATTTGAATCACCTAAAATATGCCAAAGCCAGTGTCACCTTTCCAAAGAGAGGCTATGCATCTGTACCAAGGAAAAAGAAAATGTAAAAAGCAAATCCTCTATTTCATACAAGCATTTAAAATGGAAAAGTCCTGTTTAGGCCAGGCATGGTGGCTCATGCCTATAATCCCAACACTTTGGGAGGCCAAGGTGGGTGGATCACTTGAGGTCAGGAGTTTGAGACCAGCCTGGCCAACATGGTGAAACCCTGTGTCTACTAAAACTATAAAAATTAGCCGGGCATAGTAGCGCACGCCTGTAATCCCAGCTACTCAGGTGGCTGAGGCACGAGAATCACTTGAACCCTGGAGGCGGAGGTAGCAGTGAGCCGAGATCACCCCACTGCAGTCCAGCCTGGGCGACGAAGCAAGACTCCATGCAAAAAAAAAATGTGGAGAGTAACACTATGTTATATAAAAACCCTATAAATAGTTTGGGGATAAACTAGTTCTTTTGTAACCCAAATATGACAAAAGAACTTTATAACTGGACAGGGCACACAATTTCAGTGCTACTGAGAGTTGTAAACAGGATAGGAACCCTCCGGGCAGCCCCATCCTGTCTTTCTCGAACAATTTCCCACTTGTTCCTTCAGGCCTGGACTATGAACTTAGATGAACATTCCTTTGTGTTCACCTCACTGCCAAACCAGGGCCAGCCCCAAGGCCAGATCTCGTTACACCATAAAGAATTCCAATTTGGGCAGAATTCTGGAAACAGTGTGGGTAATACGTGGCTAGCATTTGGTGTTATATTTGGAAGGTAATATTGTAGAGGTTAAATGTTTGGCCCAGGCGTCAGGCACCCTGGGTCCTAGCTTGGCTTCTTCACCACTAGCTACTTGACTGGAGCAGAGAGAGGTGTGAGGCAGAGCTGAGTCAGCCTGCCCAGCGCACCCAGGGCCAGGTTCCATCAGACCACTGCCAGACCACAGCGAGTCCAGCCAATATCAGCAGAGCTCACTATCCAGACTTGTGAGCAATAAATGATTGTTTTTAGTTGTCATTGAGATTTCTGGATATTTTTTACTTGGTGTTATGTTGCTAACAGACAACGGATGCAGCAGGACCAGCACTGTTTCACAAAGATCTTACACTTACGCAAGAAGCATCCACTACCTACGATTCTCCCTTTGTTTTTACTCTTTACAGCCTTTCTGCATAGTGTAAATGAAAGAACTGATGCTTACGCTTTTTGCAAAAATTGTCCTGGCAAGTGGTGAGGAGGCATTCTTGCTGAGGCTTCACCTTCTCCCTCCTTCTCCAGGGGATCATCCCCTTACCTTATTGGGTAAAACTGCGTCAATCTCCTCCTGCAGTTTCTGCTGGACATCAGGGTGAGTGGCCAGTTCATACATAATGAAGGGGAGAGTGGTGCTAGTTGTGTCATAGGCAGCAAAAATGATGATAATTGACTGGGCCACAAGCTCCAGATCAGACAGAGCTGAAAGGAGAGGAAATATATTTTAGGAAAAGTGGTTAGTGTAGAGCATCACAGTTTAGATGAAGCAAAATTCCAGTGAAGCTCCCAAATCCCTAAGAGCAAAAATAGAAAAGCAATTCAGAGTCACACTGCGGGTGGCTTCACTCTGATGTGTATCCTACAGAGCCAGAATAAGGCAAAGTCACTTTAATCCAGTTTTTTTTCCAGGGTCTACACGATTGTGGGCCATTCACTCCTCATCATACCATCCCCACCAGCTGCACAGCTGGGTAACTTTCAAAGAGAGCATTTCTGTCTAACATACTCAGTGTTATAGGGATGTCCCTTGGATAATCATAGAAGTTCTTTATCTATAAGTAAACGTGGAGTAACATTCTCCCCAGGGAAGATTTAAATTACTCTAGCTACAATATAGCTTGACAAACAATGAGACAGTTTGCAATACTAAGGCTTGATTTTAGGGAAATATAAAGGAACTTTTCTCTAAGCATGTTTGCGGGAACCCAAGGGAAGAATATTGGGCTCTTGCCACTCAAAATGTGGTCCATGGACCAGCAGCACCAGCAGCATCTGGGAGCTTATCAGAAATGCAGAATCTCAAACCCTACCCTCAAACTGCAGAATCAAAATCTGAACTTTCATGAGATGTGGTAATTTGTGAGCCCAGCATGGCTTGAGAAGCATGGATTACATCTTTGAGTGACATCAAGTAATAGAGTTCCTAGGGCACTAGTCTTCAAAATGGATGACCTCTGGATATACGAAAGCTACAGAGACAAAAATCTAGAAGTGAGGTGATTGACTGTAGTCCAATGAGTGGTTTTAATAAAACAGGCTGGGCACAGTGGTGCAAGCGTGTAATCCCAGCACTTTGGGAGGCTGACACAGGAGGATCATTGAGGTCAGGATTTTGAGACCAGCCTGGCCAACATGGTGAAACCCCATCTCTACTAAAATTACAAAAAAACCCACAACTGGGTGTGGTGGTGGGCACCTGTAGTCCCAGCTACTCGGGAGGCTGAGGCAGGAGAATTGCTTGAACCTGGGAGGCAGAGGTTGCAGTGAGCCAAGATCAGACCACTTCACTCCAGCCTGGGTGACAGAGTGAGACTCCATCTCAAATAATAATAATAATAATAATAATAATAATAATAATAATAATAATAATACAGCAGGAAGAATGCATGTATAGATGGGCATTGGCCAACATGAAATATAAAAACAATAGGGTCTAGTGAGTGGAATTCATAGTGCCTATTCCATCCTGGCCCGAATAGCATCTTCCTTAGTACATGCCCATTCTCTCTGCTCCACTTCATGCTCACCGAACAGCATTTATGACTACAGGTTTGCCTCCCTCTTGATATTTCTCCCAAGAAAAGCTTAGCACAGTCAGCCATTGGTCTGTTTGATCAGGACTGGATTAAGAACTTTAGAGACCTAGGGTACTAAAATAAATATGGTGCCCACTCCAACCATGTATTTCATAACTGAAAACAATACAAGATGAGTGTGAGAAAGGTCTACAGAGTTGTGATTTACTGGTGATAATTTTCATGATGATGTTGTGGGTAAATTCAACTTTCCAATTATTTTATTCAGTTGGCATGAACCCCAGGACATGGAATTGAAATGAAATCATAATCTCAAAGTGTAGATCTGCTACCCAGTAGGGTAGGCACTAGCCACAGGTGGCTACTTAAATTTAATTAATTAAAATTAGATATACTTAAAAATTATTCTTCATTGGCAGCAGCTACATGTTCAGTACTCAATAGCCATGTATCTAGTGATGTCTGTATTGAGCAACAAAACGATAGACTGTTTCCCTTTTCACAAAAAGTTGCACTGGGACAGATGGACAGATGATAGATGACACATAGATAGACAAGTAGATGAAGACATAGATATATTTACAATGGTGTGTTTGAGTTAAACATTTCCTGCTCTTTATTTTTACTTATTTTATTTATTTAGTATTATTTTTGAGATGGAGTCTCACTCTGTTGCCCAGGCTGGAGTGCAGTAGTGTGATCTTGGCTCACTGCAACCTCCGCCTCCCTGGTTCAAGTGATTCTCCCACCTCAGCCTCCCAAATAGCTGGGATTACAGGTGTGCGCCACCACACCCGGCTAGTTTTTGTATTTTTAGTAGAGACAGGGTTTCGCCATGTTGGCCAGGCTGGTCTCGAACTCCTGACCCTAGGTGATCCACCTGCCTCGGCCTCCCAAAGTGCTGAGATTACAGACGTGAGCCACCATGCCCAGCCTCCACTTCCTGCTCTTTAGAATTAATTGTTAATATTCACAATTATGTCATATGGTTGTCAAACTTTGATGGCTTGAAATCGATCATGGTCATTATTTTGCGACCATCATAGTAATGATGGTTTCAGTCAAAACCATCCATGGGTGGTAAAACTAGTAGGTGAAAAATTGAAGAGGAAAAGGACATTACACAGTCTTAAAGGTTTTCTCACAGTTACTTTTCCATTATATAGGGAAAAATAAAACCCGTCAGTAGATTAACCTTGTGAACACACTTTCACCAAGTGTTTCCAGTTAAAATCACCCTTATTTGGACAGTGTGTCTCCTGATTGGATGTTAGATGTACGTTTCCAAGTTCTGAGTAAGTGGATCTGGAGGAGGCTGAGAACTGGCATTTTATCTGATGTGGGTGATCCACAGATCACTGACCGACCTCCGGGAGTGCCACACTTGTTCAGGGTTGCCCTTCAAGCCTGGAATGTGGCTATGCCTGTGTGCTTCTAGAAAGTGCCTCCAGCTATCATTTATAACATCCAAATGTGTGCCTTTCTGCAATGTGGAAGAAATTCTCATTTTCCTGGAAAACTTTCTGCACATTTTCAGAACAGGGCCTTCTCTCTGAGTGTCCCCATCAGTAGCCCCCAGATGCAGTTCTTGGTTACCTTTATGGGACTTTGTTTCTTTGGAATTCTGGGAGTCGATCATCTGTTGAAAGAAATCTACTCGATGCTGGAAGCAAAAAGAGAAATTTTAATGACAGAAAGTCACTTGTGAAGTCAGAAGTGAATCAGGAGTCCAGTCCTAAGCACCCCTCCTGAGAATATGCTCTCTTTAAGTTCAGAAGTGTAATGGGTGTTGCCTGAGTCACCAATGTTTAGAATAAAATCATGCATCTAAAACCTTGGAGAGCAGGATGTTTCCTTGAGAGAAATCCTTTTGTCATGTCTATCTGCTTTTTAGTCTTTGCTCTCCCTGATCCTCAGCTTCTCTGGCCTTTGGACACAACTTCCTGGCCAAAGAGTTGTCAGCTCATTCTCTAGTCATAATTTCTTGAACAGGAAGAAGTCCTGAATTTCAATCCTATTTGTTCTGCTGCTTTTATTCTTAACCAATGGACAAATAGATTAATCTCTGGATAATCCCAGGGGAGCTGATTTGAATGCATCTTCAAATACTCCCCACTCCTAGAACTCTATACAACGTTCAGTGTCACCTAGGGGACCCAGTCCTGCATTCCTGACTTTGAGGCATCATCATCGGGCTGGTCTCCAGGGCTCATAAAGGCAAAGTTGGATCAGTCAGCTTGCACCCACAATGCCCAGAGAAGACCCCTGCCCAGTCCAGGCTATGACAGGACTGAAATTTAACATACACTTACTTCTGCAGGTAGCCTGGTAGGGACTCCTGCTGAAGAAGGTGTAAAAATAACAGGCTTGGACTTGAAATGA
The DNA here is from genome assembly GCF_000001405.40 of Homo sapiens. Classification (NCBI taxonomy): domain Eukaryota; kingdom Metazoa; phylum Chordata; class Mammalia; order Primates; family Hominidae; genus Homo; species Homo sapiens. Next base: position 99,856,113 of record NC_000007.14, on the reverse strand, counting down.
TTCCTTACTAATATAAGAACTAGGGAAATTGTAATACCCATAAAATAATTTTATCAGTCATTTTTATCCAGTCAGATTTATTGGCAACTTTATACAGTCAAATTTATTGACAATTTACTGAAAGGAAGAGAAGCGGTAAAGCTTCTATCTCTACATTATTTATGCCATAATATACTAAAGTCATGCCTATTATTAAATTCCAAATGCTGTTTCACTCATTCTCTTTCTTCCCCAAGCTTCACCTTCTTTATTCCCAGCAAAATGTAAAAACCCTCTTGGTCTAAAGTTCTCTAGCTGCCTTTAAAAAACACAGATAAGTGCACAAATCGTATGTAAACAGCCCAAAAATATAATAAAAAAGTGAACATTCTCATGTCACCACCACCAGATTTTACCTTTTGTTTATCTTTGAGGCGACTTTCTTTCATCCTTTCAATGGAATTTTTTAAAAAATGGGTAACATCTTTTGGAAACAAACCGATATTTAGGGCTTCAAAAACTGGGGTAAGAAATGGAAAGAGTGCTATAGGAAAATTAAATAGAAAAAGAAAAAATAAATCATAGTGAAAAATGTGAAATTTACCTACAACAATTACAATTTTCTCTACCTATAGACTTCAGGGTTCTCAACCAGGATCCATTTCCTGTATGACCTTTGCCCCTCTTCCTGTATGACCTTTGCCCCTCTTCCATGCCAATGGCTGAGCAAGAGCAGATCCACACATAGGGGCCTCCACTATAGCAGTGAGATCAGTGGTCCCTTCTGCATCTTCAGAGTGACCAAAGGAACAGAATTAAATTCCCTGACTTCTTAGCCTTTATCTACTGGACTAGAGTCTCTTTGGATAGCCTGCTGCTTTAATGAATCATGTTTTTCCATGAAATAGTAGTCAGGATAGAAACAATACGGCAAATGTCCTTCAACTACCATGGAATGAAACTAGAAATCAATAAAAGCAAGAGAATTGCACTTAGGGAGGCTGAGGCAGGCAGATTGCTTGAGGTCAGGAGTTTGAGACCAGCCTGACCAACATGGCGGAACCCCATCTCTACTGATACAAAAATTAGCCGGGCATGGTGGCATGTGCCTGTAGTCCCAGCTACTTGGGACCCAGTCATGAGAATCGCTTGAACCAGGGAGGCGCAAGTTGCAGTGAGCTGAGATTGTGCCACTGTACTCCAGCCTGAGTGACAGAATGAAAATGTCTCTCGAAAGAAAAAAAAAAAGAGAGAGAGAGAAAAGAGAATTGGAAAACTCACAAATATGTGGAAGTTAAACAATACACTTTTAAGTAACCAATGAGCTGAAGTAGAAAGCAAAAGGACAATTAGAAATTGTTTTGAGATGAAGAAAAATGAAGACATGATATGCCAAAGCGTATGGGATGTAGCCAAAGCAATGTTCAGAGGGAAATTTATAGTTGTGAATGTCAGATAATCTCAAATCAATAACCTAAATGTATACCATAACACACTGAAAAATGAAGAGCAAAGTAAAACTAAAGCCAGCAGAAAGGGGGAAAATAATAAAAACTAAAGTGTAACCTAATGAAATACAGATTTAAAAGCAATAAAGAAAACCAAAAATTGGTTCCTTGAAAATATCATCAGCCGGGCGCGGTGGCTCACGCCTGTAATCCTAGCACTTTGGGAGGCTGAGGCGGGTGGATCACCTGAGGTGAGGAGTTAGACCAGCCTGACCAACATGGCAAAACCCCGTCCCTACTAAAAATGCAAAAGTTAGCTGGGCATGGTGGTGGACACTTGTAATCCCAGCTACTCAGGAGGGTGAGAAAGGAGAATTGCTTAAACCCGGGAGGCAGAGGTTTCAGTGAGCCTAGATCACGCAACTTTTTTGAGACTCTGTCTCAAAAAAAAAAAAAAATTATCAAAACTCAAAACTCATGGACATAGAGAGTAGAAGGATGGTGACCAGACTCTGGGAAGGGTAGTGGGGGCGGGGGAGGTAAGGATAATAAAAGGTTACAAAAAATAGTTAGAAAGAATGAATAAGACCTATGGTTTGATAGCACAACAGAGTGACTACAGTCAATAATAACTGTACATTTTAAAATCATTTAGAGTGCAATTGGAATGTCTGCAATTCAATGGATAAATGCTTGAGGGGATGGATTCCCCATTCTCCATAATGCTCTTATTTCACATTTCATGCCTGTATCAAAACCATCTCGTGTACCCCATAAATGCATACACCAACTGTGTATCCACAAAAGTTAAAAATAAAAAATAAAGCTCAAGGCTGGGCGCGGTGGCTCACGCCTATAATCCCAGCACTTTGGGAGGCCGAGGCAGGTGGATCACCTGAGGTCAGGAATTCGAGACCAGCTTGACCAACAGTAAAAACCTTGTCTTTACTAAAAATACAAAAATTAGCCGGGCATAGTATTGCATGCCTGTAGTCCCAACTACTCTGGAGGCTGAGGCAGGAGAATAGCTTGACCCCAGGAGGTGGAGGTTGCAGTGAGCCAACATCGTGCCATTGCACTCCAGCCTGAGCGGCAAGAGCAAAAGTCCATCTCAAAAAAAAAGCTCAAATTTTACCACAAAAGAAAATATCATCAAAATTGGCAAACTTTTAGCTACATTGATGAAGAAATAAGAGATGACTCAGTTTACTAGTCTCAGAAATAAAAGAAGGGAAATAATTACTATTGACATTTAAGAAAAATAAAAATTAGCATAAGGATATTCTCTTAACAATTTTATTATTAGAACAATTGTATAAATTAGATAACAGGTAAAATGGATAAATTCTTTGAAAGACACAAACTACAGAAACTGAGTTGGAAAGAAACAGACAATCTGAATAGATCTATAACATATAAAGGCATTGAATCAGTAATCAAAACTACCCACAAAGAAAAGGCCAGGCCAGATAGTTCCAATAATGAATTCTACCTAATATTTAAAGGAGAATTAATATCCATTCTACAAACACTTTCAAAAACTAGGAAATGAGGGAACATTTCCAAATTCATTCTATAAGGCCAGTATTACCATCATATTAAAACTGGAAAAATATATCACAGGATAAAGAAACTACAGACTAACATATCTTGTAAATATAAATGCACAAATCCTTAACAAAATACTAGCAAACTGGATCAATCTAGCAACATATAAAAATAATTATATACCATAACCAAGAGGGGTTTACCCCAGGGAAACAAGGTTGTGTAATATACCATGTCAATTAAATGAAAACACACAATCGTCTCAGTATGAGTAAAAGCATTTGACAAAAATCCAAAAGACTTTTGTGATAAAAACACTCAGCAACTAAAAATAGAAGAGAATTCTTCCACCTGATACAGGGCATCTATGAAACCCATAGCTAACCATACTTAGTACCTTTCCCCCTAAGATCATGAATGAGACAAGGATACCTCTCTCAGCACTTCTATTTACCTATTAAAACTAACAAATGTGTTCAGAAATATTTGAAGATAGAAGGTCAATATACAGAAATAAACTGTATTTCTGTACGTTACAATATACAATCCAAAAGTGGAATTAAAAAATTGTATTTACCATAACATCAAAATATTAGTGATACACTTATCAGGAATAACATTAACAAAAGTGCAAAACCCAGACTCTGAAAAATACAAAACACTGTTGAAATAAATGAAAGAGTATCTAAATAAAAGGAATCACCACCCCGTGTTCACAGATTAGAAAACTTAAAAAGGTCAAAATGGCAATACTTCTCAAATGGATCTGCAGATTTAATGTATTATCAGAATCCTAGCTAGATTCTTTGTAGAAATTGACAAGTTGATTTTAAAATTGATTTGGAATTGTAAGGGATGCAGAGTAGCCAGAACAATGTTGAAAAAGAATCAAGTTGCAGGACTCATACTTCCCAATTTCAAAACTTACCACAAAGCTCTAATAATCAGGACAATGTGATACTGGCATAAAGATAGAAGTATAGTTCAACAGAATAGAATTTACAGTCCAGAATACATCCACATGTCTCTGGTCCACTGAATTTTGAGGAAGGTGTCATGATCATTGAATGGGGACAAAATCGTCTTTTCAACAAATGGTCCTAGGACAACTGGATAGCCAAGTGTAAGAATAAAGCTGGGCTCTTACGTCACACGGCATATAAAATGAAAATCAAGATGCATCGAAGACCTAAACAGAAGAGCTAAAACTATACAACCCTTAAAAGAAAACCAAGAGGGCAAATCTTCATGAGCTCACAATTGGCAATAGATTCTTAGATTTGATACCTACAGGATAAGCAATAAAAGAAAAATACGCAAATCGTGCATCATCAAAATTAAAGTTCAAAGAAGTTCAAAGAAGATACAGTTCAAAGAAGATAAAGTTCAAAGAACAATATCAAGAAAGTAAAAAGACATGTATAGAATGGGAGAACAATTTTGCAAATCATATGCCTGAGAAGGAAGTTGTATGTAGAATATGTAAAGAACTCTTACCAATTAACAAAAAGAATTCAGCTGTATATGGGCAAAAGACTTGAACAGACATTTATCTAAAGAAGATATAAAGATGGCCAATGTTGCTCAATTTTATTAGCCATTAGAGAAGAGTAAATCAAAATCACGATGAGACCAGTTCACATGTAGTAAGGTGTCTATAAACAAATGAGAAAACCAAGTGTTGGCAAGAATGTAGAGAAATTAGAACCATTATATGCTCCTGGTAAAATGGTGCAGCTGTTGTGGGAAACAGTTTAGAAACTCCTTAAGAAGTGAAACATGGAATTACTACTATAAAACGCCTCCATTCCACTGCTGAATATATACCTAAAAGAAGAAAAATCAAGTATTCAAACATAAACTTGTAAACAACTATTCACAGCAGCACTATTCACAATAGTTGAAAGGTAGAAACAACACAAATGTCCATCAACTATGAATGGATAAGCAAAATGCAGCATATCTTTTTTTTTTTTAGACGGGGTCTTGCTCTGTCACCAGGCTGGAGTGCAGTGGTGCGATCTCAGCTCACTGTAACCTCCACCTCTGGGTTCCAGTGATTCTCCTGCCTCAGGTTCCTGATAGCTGGGATTACAGACACCCGCCACCATGCCTGACTAATTTTTGTATTTTTAGTAGAGACAGGGTTTCGCCAAGTTGGCAAGGATGGTCTTGATCTCTTGACCTTGTGATCTGCCCACCTCGGCCTCCCAAAGTGCTGGGATTACAGGCATGAGCCACTACACCTAGCGCAAAATGCAGCATATCTATACAATGAAATATTATTTGGTCATAAAAAGAAATGAAGTACTGATCCATGTTTCAACATGAATTAACTTTGAAAATGTAATGCTAAATGAAAGAAGCCAGTCACAAAAGACCACATATTATATGATTCAATTTATATGATGTGTGCTAGATTAGGCAAATCTAGAGACAGAAAGTAGATTAGTGGTTGCTTAAAGCTGAGGGGGGTTTTGGGGCTGTGTGCAGTTGCTCACTCCTGTAATCCCAGAACTTTGGGAGGCCAAAGCAGAAAGATGGCTTGAGGCCAGGAGTTCAAGACCAGCCTGGGCAACATAAAAAAGGTGAGGAAGGCAGGGCATGGTGGCTCACTTTGGGAGGCTGAGGCAGGCAGATCACAAGGTCAAGAGATCGAGATCATCCTGGCCAACATGGAGAAACCCCGTCTCTACTAAAAATACAAAAATTAGTTGGGTGTGGTGGCGCATGCCTGTAGTCTCAGCTACTTGGGAGGCTGAGGCAGGAAAATCACTTGAACCTGGAAGGCGGAGGTTGCAGTGAGCCGAGATTGAGCCACTGCACTCCAGCCTGGCAACAGAGTTAGACTCTGTTTAAAAAAAGAAAGAAAGAAAGAAAAAAAGGCCAGGTGCGGTGGCTCACACCTGTAATCCCAGCACTTTGGGAGGCTGAGGAGGGCGGATCATGAGGTTAGGGGTTCGAGACCAGCCTGACCAACATGGCAAAACCCCGTCTCTACTAAAAATACAAAAATTAGCCAGGCGTGGTGGTGTGTACCTGTAATCCCAGCTCCTCAGGAGGCTGAGGCAGGAGAATCACTCGAACCCAGGAGGTGGAGGTTTCAGTGAGCCCAGATCGCACCATGCACTCCGGCCTAGGCAACACAGCGAGACTCTGTCTAAAAAAAAAAAAAAAAAAAAATGGTGAGGAAGATTGGAAGGGGATGATGGTTAAATGGTATGTGGTTTCTGAGTTTACAAAAAATGTTCAGAAGTTTACAAAAATGTCCAGAAGTTAACAATGATGTTGGTTGTGCATATCTTTAAATGTACCAAAAACCATTGAATTATACATTTTAAGTAGGTGAATTATATGGTATGTGAATTTTGTTTTCAATAAAACTGTTTTTAAAAATTAGATGAGAGAGAGAGAGAGAGAGAAATAACATAAAAGTCCACATACATATTAAGAGTAAAAAGGGATCCAAAAAATCCAATTTTAAAAGCTTCTTCATATTTTTCAGAAAGGGATCTTGTGGATTGTTGAGAGAATCCAAGTTCACTCCAAATAATGTGCCAGTGATTACATCCATGGTGTAGGCCCCAAAGAAACTGAGTAGAGTAAAACATGGAAAATTAAAACCAGCACCTCTTTACCTTCCTTCTGCTATACACACAGCAAGAAGTGCTATGCCAGAGCAAGACAGGTGAAAACCCACACACAATCAGAACAATCTGCTGCATCATCTCCCATCATACTCATGAGGCATTTATTGGGTATCAGTGATGCAGCTGGCCCTGTGCTGGGAGTGATGGAGACACTAAGGTGAGTTAGACCCACCTCTGAGCTCAAGGACCTCAGTCATAGGGAGACACAGACCCAATAATCAGACAATTACAGTAGTTTGTGTTGAGTGTGGATGGTAAAAGGTGTGTCAACACTGTGCTTCTGCAGGACAAGAATAAAATAATTAACTCTTTCTCGGCCAATCAATAAATTTGACATTGCCAGACCCCACAGTCTACGCCCAGAGCTGATGTCTCTTCAGCACTTTATAGAACAGCCACACCCTGTTCAGACTTGCTGTGAACGTCATGTCTCCGCTGCACTCCCTGATAAGCCTCCTGAAACACCTGCTTTTCCCCAACTCCTGGGATCTGAGGTTGCTCTGAGGGCAGATTATTTTTGTAAAAGTAAGAACTAACAGTGATATTGATTAAACAAATAGATCACTCCAAAGTTGATCGGGGCATCCCATAGCTGAGTGACCACATGTCCCCAGTCTGCCCAGGACAGGCTCAGCTTACACATGTTGTTCCAGCATAATTCAAATTACATTCCAGTTCAGACAACAAACAATAGCATTGCCCTACCTATAGCCTTTACAGAGTCTTTTAAAATTTAAGATTGGAGAAAAGAAATTAGAAGTGGTGGGAAGGTTTAATATTTCATATTTTGGTGGTATCCTCAGCAAAATAATGAAGGGATTGAAGTTATTCCAACTTCCTCATTGTAACTTTCCTGCCCCAGTCACTGCCAGCCAACAGCTATCAAACACCTTCCCCTCCCACCACTCCATAACGTCTATGCTCAAAACTTTAGTACAATCAGGTTTTTATTTTTTCTTTCTACACAATGTATTATTCTTTTGGAATATCCAAGGGGACAATGTAACAGATAAGTTATTCCTGGCTCCTGTGCACAGGGGAGAAGATCCTTTTCTCTCAGCTTCCTAGCTTTCTTTTGTGAGCAACACCATCTTGGGTGGCCTATTGGAGTTGCAACACCACAGCCCTGCTTTTGTCCGATCACTGGAGTAACCCAACAGTGGGAATATCAGCTCCACTGCAGGCAGCTGGAGGGGCTCATGACAGCTCAGAACCTCAAGACTGTGCTACTTACTCTTTCAAGTTGATGGACTTGCTGTTCTCTGCTTCCTGCCTCAGGCTTCTCACCAACATATCTCCACATTGGGAAATGATGGGGACCATCTAAAACACAACACCACCCATAGTTAACTACGCAGACTCGAGTCTCAGAAGGACATGGCTTTGCCCAGCATGGAACAGTAAATGATATTTTGTAATGACTCACCATGTCCTCTAGGACATAAATAGAAAAGACCGCCCCCTGCCCCTTTTTTTTGAGACAGAGTTTCGCTCTTGTTGCCCAGGCTGGAGTGCAACGGCGCAATCTTGGCTCATTGCAACCTCCGCCTCTAGATTCAAACAATTCTTCTGCCTTAGCCTTCTGAGCAGCTAGGATTATAGGCATCCGCCACCATGCCCAGCTAATTTTTGTATTTTTAGTAGAGTTGGGGTTTCACCATGTTGGCCAGGCTGGTCTCAATCTCCTAACCTCAGGTGATCCACCCACCTCGGCCTCCCAAAGTGCTGGGATTACAGGCATGAGCCACTGTGCCCAGCTGAAAAGACCCTTTTTAGAAAGCTCAAACTCAGTGGACTACCCATTAGAAAGGAACTATGATGATACTTACTACCTGTCTCCAGATTCATCCTTTAAGTTTCTAATTATAAATCACCTTATTTTCTTACTTCCTTGAATTTTACACTGGTGAAAGCTGGAGATAGCAATGTTCGTATTCTCTTCCATTCTTCATCTTCAGCAAAACTTAAGGCACTTTTCAGAAATCCCATTGGACCTAAAGGCTTGAGTTCAAAGCAGAAGCAGTTTGTCCTACGTAAGTTTTAGAGATCTCCATAGTTGTAGAAAATGTGTTAAACAGGCATCATGAATTTAACAAATATTTAGTAACTATCTACTGGGTGGCAGGCTCTATACTAGATGCTCAATAAAGATTTATCTTGAATGTGTAGCCTCCTGTAAGCATATGGAAGGGGGATGGTGGAATCAAGGCAAATGGTGTGGTTTCCAGTCACTATATCCCAGTTTCCTTTTAAATGCATGGTTTCCACGTGGAAGAGAACCAGTTCTTCCAGTAGAATAGATGGGAACAAGACCTAGCAACTCCTCCAGGGTTGTGCAAAGCAGAAAGGGACTGGTGACAGATAGGCAGGTCGCCTTGGCAGATTGTACGTTGCCTCAGAGCAGCTGTGTCTTTAATACACCTATAGCATGAGAAACTTGACAAAGGGGTGGTTTGATTTAGTGACTTTTGAAAAAAAAATTAGTAATAAGCAAAAGACTAAGAATGCACTTTGAAGAAACAATGCAATTACATGAAAAGCCCCTTTCTTTTATTTTCCCCCCAGGATTAGAGGAAAAATAAAGAAAAGAATGCTATTTCCCAACTTGCGACAGGCCTATTAGTCCAATAACTTGAAACCTTCTTCCATCTTTCAAAACTGTATTTTAAAATGGATAATTTCAATGCTTATTTAGGATAAAACCTGGCAAACTAGGAAAAAGAGAAACGTCCTCAATTTGATATTCTGAAAAACATGGAAAAAAATATATACAAAAAACCTTCAGCTAAATCACACTTAATGGTGAAAAAAATGAATGCTTTCCTCCAAGATCAGAAACAATACAAAAATATCCACTCTCACCATTCTTATTCAACATCATATTGGATGTCTCAGTGCTATAGATGAGAAAAAAATTAAAGGCATACAGATTGGACGGCAAGAAATAGAAGGGCCTCTATTTTCGGGTGACATAAATGTCAATGTAGAACCTTTCTAGGAATATACAAAAAGACTTCTAGAGCTAAAAAGTGAGATTCAGCAAGGGTGTAGAACACAAGATCAACATGCAAAAATCAATCACATTTCTACGCCATAACAATGACTATCTGAAAATACAGTAAAAATATTCCATTTACATGTCAATGAAAATGAAATACTTTAGGTGTGAATCTAACAAAACACGTACAGGATCTCTATGCTAAAAATTACAAAACGTTGATGAAAGGACTAAAAGAAAACCTAAAGAAATGGAGAGGGATACTATGTTCATGTTTTGAAAGACTCAATGTAGTAAAGATACAGATTTTCCCTAAACCAACTTATAGGTTTAATTCAATACTTATCAAAATCTCAGCAGGTTTGTTTGTAGACATTGACAAGCTTGTTCTGAATTTTTATGGAAAGGAAAAGGGGCCAGGCGTGGTGGCTCATGTCTGTAGTCCCAGCACTTTGGGAGGCCCAGGCAGGTGGATCACCTGTGGTCAGGAGTTCGAGACCAGCCTGGCCAACATGGCGAAACCCCGTATCTACTAAAAATACCCCAGATTAGCTGGGCATGGTGCCGCATGCCTGTAATCCCAGCTGCTTGGGAGGGTGAGGCAGGAGAATCGCTTGAACCAGGGAGGCAGAGGCTAGAGTGAGCCGAGATCATGCCACTGCACTCCAGCCTGGGCTACAGAGCGAGACCGTCTTAAAAAAAAAAAAAAGCAAAAACAAGAACTAAAACAATAAATAAAGTGGGAGTAATCCCTCTACATGATGTTAATAGTTACCGTACAGCTACTATTGTCACCACAATGTGGTACTGGTGGAGGAATAAACACAGTGATCAATGGGACAAAACAGTGAATGAGAAACAGATGCGCAGGTTAGGTGTGGTGGCTCACGTCTGTAATCTCAGCACTTTGGGAGGTTGAGGTGGGTGAATCATTTGAGCCCAGGAGTTTGAGACCCGCCTGGCCAACATGGCAAAACCCCATCTCTACTAAAATACAAAAATTAGATGAGCACGGTGGTGCACAGCTGTAATCCCAGCTACTTGGGAGGCTGAGGCACAAGAATCACTTGAACCTGGGAGGCAGAGTTTGCAGTGAACTGAGATCGCGCCACTGCACTTCAGTCTGGGTGACAGAGCGAGACTCTGTCTCAATTAAAAAAAAAGAAAAAGAAAAAGAAAAAAAAGAGATGCACAGAAATCTGCTCAACTGATTTTTGACAATTGTGAAAAAGTAACCCCATAGAGGGAAAGTAACCTTTCCAAAAATGGTGTTGGAAAAATCACACAGCCACAGGCCACAGAAAGTGAACTATGACCTAAACTTTACATCTTATGCAAAAAATTAAGACAAAAAATTAACACAAAATGTATCATAAACTTAAATGTAAAGCATTGAACCATATAACTTTTTTTTTTTTTTTTTGAGACTGAGTCTTGCTCTGTTGCCAGGCTGGAGTGCAATGGCGCAATCTTGGCTCACTGCAACCTCTGCCTCCCGGGTTCAAGCGATTTTGCTGCCTCAGCCTCCCGAGTAGCTGGGACTACAGGTGCCCACCACCATGCCTGGCTAATTTTTGTATTTTTAGTAGAGATGAGGTTTCACCATGTTGGCCAGGATGGTCTTGATCTCCTGACCTCGTGATCCACCCACCTCGGCCTCCCAAAGTGCTGGGATTATAGGCGTGAGCCACCGCACCCAGCCTTAAACCATATAACTTTTAGAAAAAACACCAGCGACAAAGTGTGCTTGGAGAATAATTTTCAGACTTACAGTAAAAGCACAATCTATAAAAGAAAAATGGATAAATTGGCCTCACTGAAATAAAAAAAAAGTTTTCTCTACTATAGACCCTGCAAGGAGGAAAAGACAAGCTACACATAGTAACAACAGAATACCAGCAGGGAGCCTCCTGGTGCTAGAACAGATCTGTACATATTGTGCTGATAGTCATGCAATTATACACATGGGTACATTTGCATAATGCTACACACACACATATACACCCACACAAATGAGGGCATGTAAAGCAGGAACTCTGAATAAGTTCTGTGGATTGTGTCAATGGCAATTTTCTGTTACTAGAGTGACAGAAATACACTGTATCTACAGTTAAATAAGACATCACCATTGGGGGAAATAGGACGAAGTATAAAGCACTTTCCTGTCCATTTTCTGGGCAAGTTTCCATGAATATATAATCATTTAAGAATAAAAATTTGATTAATACATTTGAAAATATAGGCCTACCATCTGGTTTGTGAAGACAGAGTAACATTCTTTCACTAACACTGTTTTGATCATGTCGGGATCCATGATGACCAGCATGGGCTGTTGCCCCTCATACAGCCTGTGTGGGGGAAAACAGAGCTGACTAAACCTCGCTTGCCTGATTCTGCAGCTGGAACCACACCAAAGAATCCAGATTTTGATCCTGACATTCCATCATCCATACTTGCAGTTGTGCAATACACAGCAAAGCCAGCTCCAAGGTCAATTAGGGTATGACACAGAGTAAGATTCTCACCACGGAAGCCACTTAAGCCTTCATACAACGAAGGGTGATGTGGCTCAAACAGGAAAGAGTCATTGAAAGACAAAAGAGCTCTTCAAAGAGATCATGGTTAGAAATATCAGAAGCCTTTGTTACATCTAGGTGGTGTATACTTGGGCATTCCCTATACCATTCTCCATAATCTTTTGTATGTTTAAAATATTTCATTATAGGCTGGGTGCAGTGGCTCACACTTGTAATTCCAGCACTTTGGGGAGGCCGAGGTGGGTGGATCACTTGAGGTCAGGAGTTCGAGACAAGCCTGGCCAACATGGTGAAACCCCATCTCTACTAAAAATACAAAAATTAGCTGGGCGTGGTGGCTCACACCTGTAATCCCAGCTACTTGGGAAGCCAGGGCAGGAGAATCACTTGAACCCGGGAGGTGGAGGTTGCAGTGAGCCAAGATCGCATCACTGCACTCCAGCCTGGGCAATACAGCGACACTCCATCTCAAAATAAAAAAAAATAAAATAAACAGTTATGTAATCCTCTTCATTATTTTCTTTAAAAATACTGTCTTCTTTTATCTTCTTGTTAACCAAAAAGTGACAGAGACTGGAGCCTTGATTAATAGTTTCCTTTAGCCAAAGTTTGAGAATACATCTGGGAAGAACACCAGCCACAGGAGCCTCTGTGACCTGTGCTTTTTCTAAAGAGGGTTTTGGGAACTTCAGAATTTAAAGGAGAAAGAGCAAGCAGGAGAGAGAAGAAGGAGAGTGTGTAGGTAGTGAGGCAAATGGTCACATTCTTGTGAGGCTCTGAGAAGTGCTCAGCAAATCTGCATTTTGCATGTGAAAAGAGGGCATAGAGGAAAAAGTCAGTTATATATTTCTATTGTGATAAAGAAATCTCCATTTTACATAAAATAATGCAAACATATGAAAAGAGAGAATAGAGGCAAAGTCGATTACGCATTCAACTTGGATTGGGTGGAGGGATAATTTCTTGGTCTTGTCCTTGTCCTGTGCCTGCCAAGGTAAACTGGAAATTGACATTGTCAGGGTAAGTGAGATTCAACAGAACTTGGTTTTAAGGGCTGGTTCATGGGGGGAAGGAGGATATGTATACTAAAAGATTTAGGGACTCATAAGGAACGTCCTTGTGAGAAACTTACGAGGGACGCCATCTGGGGAGATATGTGGCCTTCTATCATTTTGGGAATCTGGCTTTCTTATGAGGTTATGACACAGCATTGTGAAATTACAGCTATATGATTTGAACTAAAGGAAGGCAGTATTGCATGACTCAGTTTCCAACCATAACTTTTCATTTTGGCATAGTGAGTTTGGTCAGATTTTTGCTCTTAATTTAGTCAAGATAACTTTTTTTTTCATAAAGGACCACAGTATGTTTTATTACGTAAAAAGTGTTAAAACTTTTGTATGAAAAGATACCGTAAACAAAGTTAAAAGACAGGAAAGAGACTAAGAGAAGATATTTGTACAAGAGTTAATATAGAGAATCTATAAAACTTCTATAAATGAAGGATTTACTTGATAAGTGAGAAAAGGATATTAATAAGCAATTCATAGGAAATGAAGTCTGAATTATCAGTAATATGAATGAGTAATTGACAATGATAAGCATGGGAAGTTCCTCAGTATTGGTAGAAGTCAGGAAAATGCAAACTAAAAAGATGCCATTTTTATTAAAATGGCAAAAATTACATTTAAAAGCATAGATTGGCAAAGATGGAGGGAAAGGATACTTTTTTATATAGCTAGGGAGATTGTAAATTAACAAGTTTCCTTTGCAGAGTTAGTTTGGCAGAAAATGGGCATAGAAAAAGAAGATAACTTTTAAGGATAGACATGACCATTTTATAAGTCCTTTAAAAAATTTGATCTTTTAATTAATTGTTTAGAATAAAAGGTCACTAAAATTTTAAATTTAGAAGTCTTAATTCAAAGGCTCCCACTATTTTGTCATTGACAATTAGAATTTCTAATGAAGTATTTATTATAACAGCACATAGAGAGAGAGAGGCTGGGAAGGTGGCCTTGTTATGCAAAGAAAACCTCGTAGGTAGTAGCCCTCAGAGTATGTGTCAGATCCTTTTCTACTCTTCCCTAGATTTAGACAAGGGAAGTTCTGGTAAGGCCACATTAAAATGTGTCAAAGTTGGGAGGCTGAGGTGGCAGGATCACTGGGAGGCAGAGGCTACAGTGAGCCAAGATGGTGCCACTGCACCAACCTGGGTAACAGAGTGAGACTCCATCTCAATTAAAAAAAATGTGTAGGCCGGGTGCAGTGGCTCATGCCTGTAATACCAGCACTTTGGGAGGCCAAGGCGGGCAGATCACCTGAGGTCAGGAGTTTGAGACCAGCTGGCAAACATGGGGAAACCCTGTCTCTACTAAAAATACAAAAATTAGCTGGGCATGGTAGTGAGTGCCTATAATCCCAGCTACTCAGGAGGCTGAGGCAGGGGAATTGCTTGACCCTGGGAGGTGGAAGTTTTAGTAAGCCGAGATCACCCCATTGCACTCCAGCCTGGGTGACAAGAGCAAGACTCCATCTCAAAAAAAGAAAAGTGTCAAAGAAATATATTTTGAGTTGCATATTGATTTCTCTTAACTGGCTGGGGTTTCTAGAGGGGAAAATTGACATTTTGTAGCTGTGGGCATTCCAGTAAACATTAGAGGGGGCCACGAATTGGTAAAACTTAGTGGAAGGTAGATTGAAACTCAAAACAGAAAGTTATCACACAATTTACATAGGGTCAAGATCTCCAAGCATAAGGGGAAGTTATAGCTAGCTGACAATAAACCTTGACCCTCAGCTACCAAATTCCAAAATGAAAAGCCACATCGGCTCCTTATGTGGAGACGGATCTCAAGCTAAAAACTGTTCATCATTATGGAAGCAGAAAACTCACCTTCCTTGTTGGAAGTAAGTAAAAACTCCCAGAAAGGAGCTCTATGGCAGAAGAAAATTCAGGTCTCAAGCAACATTTTATGGGAGATCAAGGATCTCTAGAAGGAGAAGCTCCCAGACCTCAGCACATGAGCCAATTGGTTAGAGTGATAAAAAGCTCTAGCTGGTTCTATCACACTGATGGGAAAATTTCTGCAGGCTGAGGGCCAAACTGCCCTCAGTGAATCCCATTGTGGTTACCAAGGTGTTAACCAAAAAGTGACTGAGGCAGGTGTCTTGATTGATAGAGGTTTATTGAGTCAAAGCTTGAGGGGACACCTGGAAACACATGAGCCACAGGGGTAGCTGCGACCTGTGTTTTTCCAAAGAGGGTTTTGGGAACTTCCGAATTTAAAGAGGAAAGAACCAGCAGGAAGGAAAAAAGGGGGGAAAGAGTAGGCAGTGTGGCAAATGATTACATTTGTGTAAGGCACCAATTAGCTCTCATCGAACCTGCACTTTACATGTGAAAAGACAGAGTAGAGGAAAAAATCAATTATGCATTCATGTTGTACTCAGAAAATCTACATTTTACATGAGATATACATGTGAAAAGAAAGAGTAGAGGAAAAGTCAGTTACATATTCATCTCAAGGTAGGTGGAGGGATGATTTCTGGTCTTGTCCTTATTCTGTACCTGTGATAAGCTGGTAATTTACATGATCAAGGTGTGAGTCAACAGAACTCAATGACAGGGCTGGTTTATAGGGCAGATGTATAGAATTCCATGTGAGCAACTTGTGAGGGAAACCATCCAGAAAGATATGTAGCCTTCTATTGATATAGGAGCCAGAAAAAAATTATTTAGGCAGATAGTGAGGGCAAAGGGGTCCTCAGCAAAGCTTCCCTTTTAACAAAAAGCAGCCCCCCAAATCATTTCTTTTCTAACAAAGAGCAGCCTGAAAAAATCAAGCTGCAGACATCGATAAGCAAGCTGGAAGCTTGCACGGGTAAATGCTGGCAGCTGTGCCAATAGAAAAGGGCTACCTTGGAAGCTGGTTATGTTCAACATGGAGGCCCCATCTTCCCTTATCTTTGTCACCCCATTTACAGTAAAAAAAGCAGGCAACATGGTGCCAGCCAGGAAGAGAACCATCTGCATAATAAAAGATTAGGGTGGGGCAGCCAACTTCTTCACATGTTATGCAAACAGTACACCTAGTCCTAACCAGTTTTTTATGTGCTATGCAAATGACACACCTGGTCCAACCAATCTTTCATGCCCTATGTAAATCAGACACTGCCTCCTCAAGCTCATCTATAAAACCTCCTGCACTTTACCGCAGGTCAGAAGACCCACTGGGGGCCCCCTCTCTCGGCAGGAGAGAGCTTTTCTCTTTCTTTCACCTATCCAACCTCTGCTCTTAACCTTATTCTTTGTGCGTCCACTATAGGGAGACCCCCTATATCTGTGGGACAACAAACCTCGGGTATTACCCCAGACGAGTGATGCCACATTGCTATTGTTGTGGGAATGTGGCTTATGTATGAAGCTATTACCCAGGGTTGTGAAATTACAGCTATCTGTCTGGGGAAAAAAGGAAGGCAGTAAGGTATGACTTAATTCTCAAGCTCGATTTTCCCTTTGTCATAGTGAGTTTAGGGTCTCAAAGATTTTATTTTTGTTCACATACTGAATATGCATGGAGTTTCCTATGACACGCATATTCCCCTTGCAATGCTCAATTCCCAGATCATCTTTTTCTTTTAGATAGCCTCTCTCTGTTTGTTACTTAGGTTGACAATAGCATTATCCAAACAAAATCTGGGCTGAGATTGTTCTCTCTGCAGTAAAATAACTCAGCATAGCAACAGCTCTATCCAATGCAAGTTTCCAGAATACTCACCCCCACATTTCTCCGTATTTTTCATTACATTCTCTGTCAAAATTCCAAAGACCCTGGCAGAAGAAACAAAATACAATTCAAGTATTATTTCGAATGTACTGAACGCTACATTTAACCAGGGCAAAAAAGTCAAATCCAATGACTTGCTACCATTAGGCTTGCTACCATTTACTGGCAGTTAGAGGGAATCTTTTTTTTTTCCTTTTTTTCTGCTGCCCAGGCTGGAGTGCAATGGTGCGATCTTGGCTCATTGCAACCTCTGCCTTCTGGGTTCAAGCTCTTCTCCTGCCTCAGCCTCCCAAGTAGCTGGGATTATGGGGGCCCGCCACCACACCCAGCTAATTTTTGTATATTTAGTAGAAATAGGGTTTCACCATGTTGGCAAAGCTGGTCTCGAACTCCTGACCTTAGGTGATCCTCCTGCTTCAGCCTCCCAAAGTGCTGGGATTACAGGCGTGAGCCACCACGCCCAGCTGGGAATCTTATTCAGAGACCTCTTAAGGAAAAGGAGAGAAAATACAGAAGATATTTGAAATGGAGAATTTAAAGTCACTTTTAAATTTTCTCTAACTAGTGTAGATATTGAATGACTTACTTCTGTCTATGAACACTAAGCAACTCATTGTCTTTCTGATGTGTTTTCATTTCTGCATATGTTGTCTCTGCAATCTCATAAACCCCTGAATTATCACCACCATGGGAACATGAAGAAACCGAGGCTGACGGAAAGTGAGTGAGTGTCTCAAGGGAATGTGCAATCTTTTATCTCCTTGTTCAGCATCCTTTTCATTTATCTCATGTATTCTCTCTAGAATTCTAGCTGAATTAGAAAGTCAAAAACATCAGGGACCACTTTTAGTCTAGCAGATTTAAATAAAAGTCCAAGGCATTTTGTTGAGCGAGAAAATGAGTGAGTGGGCAAATGACAGAGTGGACTCACTTTCCAGTTTTCCAGCTTAACACATAATAAGTGTGGGAAATGCCACCTCTAGATGTCAGACACAGCACATTACAATACTCACTCAGAGTTTTCACTTCTGACACTTAAAAACAAACTTTCCTGCTTCCTTGTTTCAGTTTTGATGTTCTAACTAGGCAACATATAGCCCAGGACATGTGGATTTACTAAAGGATCGATCTGGGAAATATGAAGAGAAAATTATTGCTTTTTCGGGGGGTAAAAAAGGATGAAATTCTTAAGTGGTAATTTTGCAATGAAGGCCTCAGTTGGGAGAATTAGAATCTGAAAAACAAGCCTCAGGTCTGTAAGACAGAAAACCTGAGTCAGAGAGCAACCTGTACACAGGCTTTCTTACTGGCCATGTGGACACGCACTTGTGACTTTCCATCATGGCCCCAGGCCCTTGGTGGAGCATCAGACCAGGGTAGCCACAAGGCTCAGTCAAAATTCGAAGACTATGAGACACATATTACCTCCTGTTTAGATAATTAAATTTTGAATAAGTTTGTCAAATTATCCCCTTTCTAGTTATTTTGTTAAGTAATTTTGCCTTTCTTTTAAAAAAAAACAGAACTCATTTTGTGGTTAAATATCTGAAGTTGATGGACAGCCTCCATATTGTCTTCATTATAAGCACTCCCTGCTCAGGCTCACTCATAGGGTGCTGCCTTTGAAGAAAAGCAGCAGGAAAGCAGAACCTTCTTGTTCTTCCTCTCAAATCTGTAAAATACATCCTGGGGAGAAGAAGCTGGAGCACAACTGTGGAACTACCTGCAGGGAATTTAACAGTTCTTGAGAGAATTCAAGTATGTGCAAATTATCCAGCGGTAAATAGCTGCCTAGTGAACTGAATTTTCTTTTTCTTTTTTTCTTTTCTTTTTTTTTTTTTTTTTGAGACACAGTCTCGCTCTTTCACCCAAGCCAGAGTGCAGTGGCGCTATCTCGGCTCACTGCAAGCTCCGCCTCCCGGGTTCACGCCATTCTCCTGCCTCAGCCTCCCGAGTAGCTGGGACTACAGGCGCCCGCCACTGCGCCCGGCTAATTTTTTTTTTTTTTTTTTTTGTATTTTTAGTAGAGACAGGGTTTCACCGTGTTAGCCAGGATGGTCTCGATCTCCTGACCTCGTGATCCGCCCGTCTCGGCCTCCCAAAGTGCTGGGATTACAGGCGTGAGCCACCGCGCCCAGCCAATGAACTGAATTTTCAAAGCTCTACAGGAGGAAGGAAACAAAAGCTTACTAAAGCTCTTGGTGAAAACAGGAAAGTTTGAATGTGGTACATGATGCTAATGAGCGCTACTGGGGCTCCCATTTCCCCATTTCTGCTTTTCTCTTAATACTAAGGACAACTGTAGCTTCTCAAAAATCTGCACAGGGCAAAAGGAAAGTCCTCTTTATGGTTCGCAAAGTCTGAACATCAAGTCCTGAACATCGAGTGCTGATCCCCCAGATATCTGTGCCGTGCAACTGAGGCAAACCCAAACCCCCTGACCATTAAGATGAGAGTCCTGGTATAAACCTGGCCCTGCTCTGGGTGGAGCATACACACCATTTCTGAAAGTGTAAAACATTGGAAATTCCTCCTGAGGAGGAGCATTTTTACTGATAGGACTAAGCTTGGGTTTGCATCGATAAGAAGCAAAAGAGGGAGCTCAAATAACACTTACCCTAAGGTAGAACAAAATAGTTCCCAGAAAAGGCAGAGGGGTTGGCCCAGGAATTCCCAGCTTCTTAAAAAGTTTATGTGAATGGGTCCCATAACTATAAAATAAAAGAGAAAGCCAGGTTACAGAAATTGTAACTTTATAGATAAGGGGTTGGCCAGACATTACCTCAGGAACTGGAATGTTCAAGGGAGGGAGGTAACATGGAGGCAATAAATAACAACAGAAACTCTGATGGCAATAATTACATTTTATAGCAGGATTTTAAGGAATCAGAGAGACCAATGGGGTTCAGGAGGATATTTATTAATTATTTAGGTACACTGGGCCAGTCAGATTAACATCCAAAGGACTGAGCCTCACTTTCTTCCAAGCCTGACTTTTCGGGTGCTCCTGACTCTGCTTCCTGCCTTATTCTGACCAAAGACAGATATACTGGCACACATGGGGATGGACATTCCCTTTCCTCAGGTGGGGCCTGAATAATTGATTTCGGCTGATCTTTGGGGATTCCTGCAAGCTCTGCTCTAGTTACATCTCGGAAGCTGACTAGTCTATGCACAGCCGAAGCTAAGAGTACCATCTCTGGATAAGTAAATGTGGATACAATTTACAAGCCTAGTTATAATTCTGTCAGTACTGATTGTTCTGTTGTTACGTTATTACTGCAAATGCTGCAAATGTCTATGCCCAGAGGAAGGTTTGCCATTCCCACGTGTAGTGTAAGCATGTTTCTATTACATACGCTAATGTTGTTACCATTTCTGCCTACACTAAAAGGGGAGAAATCTCTAGAAGGATGCCCACACTGTGTACACACTACCTGGGTAAGGAATACCATAGTCAAAACTCTACTGTACCATAACTACTATGAATGTGCAGGAACCAAGTTAGAAACCTGCACATACAACCAGACCACCTATTCAGTCTGTGACCCAGGAAATAATCAGCTATATGTATGTTATGACCCTAAGCTCTCACCCTATGAATTCTGGCTTGAGGTACATGTTAAATCAGAGGGAGAAAAAGAAGGAGAGCTTATAGCTCAAACCAAAGAAGCCCTTCCCCTCTATAACAGGCCTATTTCCTTGTATTTTGATGCCTACCATACCGCATATGTTCATAATCCTAAAAAACCAGAAGCAGTCTGCAATGGTTTGACACGAGAGGCTTATCAGCAGCAGTCCTAAACATCTGTACAGAGAATGACAAATCGGATGCCCAGACTGTAACATTAAGTGGTCTACACTGACACAACACCAACACCTATATTCAGGGAAGACTGTTCTGCTAAGTAGTATGTCAACCAAACCAGATCGTAAGACAAAGACATGCAATCCTTTAAATTTTACTATCTTAAAGCCAGAGCTACCTTTTTGGTCTACAGGACAGACAGCACTATTAAGAGTTGATAGGCAAGGAGCAGGCCTTAGAATTCCACTACTGATTGTCAAAAAGACTAGAAGAACTCAGATGTGTCCAACCCCACAATTCTGGGTTCATAAGTCATTCTATAAGCATTTTGATCAGCCGGTGCCCGAGCTTCCCCCATCAACCAAAAACTTATTTGCTCAACTAGCTGAAAACATAGCTGGCAGCTTAGGAATTTCCTCATGCTATGTATGTGGAGGAACTAATATGGGGGACCAGTGGCCATGGGAGGCAAAGGAATTAATGCCACAAAATAACTTCACTTCGCTTAACCCTACCAGTGAACCAACAGCCTCAACCAGTGTTTGGTTGTTAAAAACCTCCATAATTGGAAAGTACTGTATTGCCCAATGAGGAAAGGCTTTCACAGGGGCAGTAGGAGAAACAATCTGCCTAGGGCAACAGTATTATGATGAGACTAAAAACAAAACTCTATTGAAGAAATGCCCAGAACAACTCCTACTTACAAGATCAAAACCCTTTCCCTCCACTGTCTATTCTAAGCCGCACTTGGCATCGGCTAGAGGCTCCAAATGCTTAGAAAGCACCCTCTGGCCTATATTGGACCTGTGGAGCACAGGCATATCAGCTGCTGACTAAATGGACAGGGGAATGTGTGTTAGAAACAATCAAGCCATCCTTCTTTCTAATTCCTCTAAAGCCAGGGGAACTCTTAGGATATCCAGTTTATGATGAAAATAAAAGAACTAGAAGAGGCATAATCACAAAAATAAACACAAATATCAAAAAAGATGTGGACATAGGAGACTGGAAAGATAACAAATGGCCTCCTGAAAGAATCATTAAATACTATAGGCCAGCTACCTAGGTGCAAGAAAGGTCATGGGGGTACCGTACCCCCATCTATATGCTCAACTGCATCATAAGGTTGCGGGCAGTCCTTGAAATTATAACCAATAAAACATCAAGGGCACTAGATTTATTGGCAATACAAGCAACACAAATGAGAAATGCTATATATCAAAATAGGCTGGCTTTAGATTTCCTCTTAGCCTCAGAAGGAAGAGTATGTGAAAAATTTAATTTAACCAATTGTTGCTTAGAAATCGATGATAATGGCCTAGCTGTCATGAAAATCACAGCTAGAATGTGCAAGATGGCACATGTTCTAGTTCAGACTTGGTCCAGGTGGTCCCTGGATTCCTTATTTGGAGGATGGTTGTCAGCCTTTGGAGAATTCAAAACCCTCATTAGTGAGTTCTTGCTTATTTTTGGCATTTGCCTCATCCTCCCTTGCCTTTTACCCCTGTTTATTAGGAGTATTCAGTCAACTATAGAGGCAATAGTAGCCTGACACGCTACCGCACAGTTGTGGCATTAACCAGATATCAGCTGCTGCCGGTAGAAGAAAAAGCTCAGCTCCGCGAGGAGGTGGCAAATAGTGGTGCTTTCTATTAACACTTCTGTTGTAAAAAGCACCAAAGGGGACAATGGAACAGGAATTAAAAGAAATTAAAGAGTGCGTAAGCAGAAACTGAGTTGTATATGAAAAAAACCCAACTTCCCCTGAAAAAGAGAAAGAGCTGGAGTCTTTTAAAAACTAACTGCCTGTTTTTCTGAGGCTAGTGAGCCTTATCTCTCCTCCCTTCCCAGGCATTGCAAAGACCCTGTTTCCCTAGCTGTGCAGCTGCAAGGTCACTAGACAGATAAACTCAAGTCACAAAACGTGTTTTTCCTTGAAATGTAAGAAATGATGTAATGCATTTCTCAATTGAATAACTGTGTTTGTTTCTTACTTCTCTAGTATGCTTCCCTCTCCACAGATCTCCCCCCTCCCACGAAATGCTTAAAAGGTAACTAAACTCTTTGTTCAGAGCTCAGTCCTCTGGATGTTAATCCGACTGGGCTGGTGCACCTAAATAATTAATAAATATCCTCCTGAACCCCATCAGTCTCTCTGATTCCTTAAAATCCCACTACATTTCAATCCTCATCTTTTTTGCTGCCTCCTCTGTGAGACCCCAAAAAGTCACAATGATTAACTAAAAGCAGCTGAAGTCTGCATGATCCCAGTGCTAGAGTGAATGCTTAATAAATGTTCCCAAATTTGAGTGCCCTTAAGAGGTTCAGACTGGAATTCTTCCAGGGCATTTCATTCACGTATGTCTATTTAGTTAATTGATTCTTTCCTGATTTGGAAATTCTCTTTCTAGGTGTATTAGTCCATTTTCACACTGCTATAAAGAACTACCTGAGACTGGGTAATTTATAAAGAAAAGAGGCTTAATTGACTCACAGTTCTCCATGGCTGGGGAGGCCTCAGGAAACTTAAAATCATGGTGGAAGGTGAAGGGGAAGCAAAGCATGTATTACATGGAGGCAGGAGAGAGAGAAAGACAGAGAGAGAGAGAAGAGGTGTCACACTTTTTTTTTCTTGTTTTGTTGTTTTGTTTTTTTTTCTATTATTATTATACTTTAAGTTTTAGGGTACATGTGCACAACGTGCAGGTTTGTTACATATGTATATATGTGCCATGTTGGTGTGCTGCACCCATTAACTCATCATTTAGCATTAGGTATATCTCCTAATGCTATCCCTCCCCCCTCCCCCCACCCCACAACAGTCCCCGGTGTGTGATGTTCCCCTTCCTGTGTCCATGTGTTCTCATTGTTCAATTCCCACCTATGAGTGAGAACATGCGGTGTTTGGTCGAGGTGCCACACTTTTAAAACCATCAGATCTTGTGAGAATTCATTCACTATCATGAGAACAGCATGGGTGAAAACACCCCTATGATCCAATTCCTCCCACCAGGTCCCTTCCTTGACACATAGGGATAACAATTCAAGATGAGATTTGGCTGGGGACACAGAGCCAAACCATATCACTAGGTGAGGTTTTTTTTTTTTATCTTTTGAACTAATAATGAGTTTGTGTATCACTACATCCATTGAATTACAGAGGGTTACTGAGGCCCTTTGCTGACACCTTCTTTCCTGTTTTCTCAGAGGTGTTTATGCTTTTCCTTCCCTCTAAACACTGACCTTGTTTTAGGATCTGGCCATCCTTAAACATTCCTGCACAGAGGAGCTCTGGAAGAATCATAGTGTTCTTATTTCTATGGAATGACAACCATATTCAAGGCTTCCACTGGCTTCATAGAAATGTGAGCACCTTCCAGCTACACCCAAATCTCTGTGGTCAGATGATTTGATTGATATAAACTACAGTAAATGTGATTGACCTATATGTTCTCTGAATGGCACTATGCAGAGGAACCAATGACTAAAGAATAAATTTCAAGGCCATTCCTCCTCTTGTGCAATCTGGCCCTCCAACTGGTGATCCTTACTTGATAAGCACAATGCCAGTCATGCTCACTTTTTTTTTTTCTCAAAATGATCAGTCACACAGAGTCAGTTTACTGCTTCTGTACATCAACTATCCTGCAGGAAAACCCATTAAGTCTGGTGCTCCTTATGGCAGGCCTGCCTGCAACTCATCTTTGATGGGTTATGTGTGAACTCCATCAATTGCAGGTTCTGGATCCTTGCAGAACTTCCCACTCTGGTGTTACTGAGGGATGGAAGACTGGAGGAAAAAGAGAGGCTGCATCCCGCCGATGTAACCATGCAACTGCTGGTGCCACAAAGTAGGCCCTATAAGGGTAAGTTAGGAAAGTGTGGCTGAAAATTATGGTATGCATAAATAGTTTTAAATGCCCCTTATGTGCTTTCAGCTGAAAGAGAGGTCTTCCAAAATTCAGGAACATTTCTGTTGATAGAAAAGTTTCACTGTGCTACATAGCATAAGTAACCATAAAATATTCCAGACAGTTGAATTAGAAACTTGATTTCTCTTCTTTATAGGTTAGCTTTTCTTAGATCCTAAATATTCAGTACAAATAAATAAATCTTATAAAATGTGATAAAGCTGAAAAATTGCATGAAGAGAATGTGTTTGAAGGACCCCACAGTGGCACCCTGGCCAGGCCCAGCTGTTAGCTTGGTTCCCTCTTTGGGGATCTTTTCCTACTCACACATCGAAAATAACCTCTTGGGTTTCCAGTTGTTTATAATCCATTATCTGCCCATGCTAAATTCTGGTTGTTAGTCTAGGTAGATCAAAACTCATAGTCAATCAGAAAGCATCCCCAGGATTGAATGATGTCAGTAAACACTCTTAGTAACAGAAATTGGAAGTTGAATGAAGAGGAGGTGGATAATGTTTATTTACTTCTTCAACGGATCTGTGTAACATCTGTAGGGTCAAGAGAACATTCCTCTATGGAGGTTTGATATTTGAGTCTGAGAAATGAACTAACAGTAGATCAATTAATAGGAGATAATCCTTATAAATTTATCTCATGAATATGCATGGGAGCCTTGAAAGATATGATACTCAAAGAATGGCCTGATGATTGAAGCTTAAATAGCATTCTGAGCTATAAAAATGTAGTATCTTCTGATGGGGAGTGGGTGACACAAGACATGAGAGAGTGAGGGAAGAAAAAGCATGATAAACAAAAGTCATCTTATTATAATGTCTGTCAGGCATCAGTGCTCCAAAGAACAAGTATTATCAACCTTAGTCTCCCTTTCTGTGAGCTAATATTATTTTTTTCTTTTTTTTTTCTTTTAGACTAAGTTTTGCTCTTGTTGTTCAGGCTAGAGTGCAATGGCGCAATCTTGGCTCACTGCAACCTCTGCCTCCAGGGTTCAGGCGATTCTCCTGCCTCAGCCTCCCGAGTAGCTGGGATTGCAGGCACCTGCCACCACACCCAGCTAATTTTTGTATATTTAGTAGAGACAGGGTTTCATCATGTTGACCAGGCTGGTCTTGAACTTCTGACCTCACGTGATCCACCCACCTCGGCTTTCCAAAGTGCTGGAATTACAGGTATGAGCCACCATGCCTGGCCCTGCTAAGATTCTTTTTCATGAGATTATAGGGAGGGGGCTCAAGACCATTGCTTTTTTTTAGGAGGATCTTCCTTTAGGTATGAGAACTTCAGAGAAAGCCCCTTCCTATATTTTGGGAGAAATAGCAGGGTTGGGAGACAGGAGAACATAAGAGTTAGCTTGGTTCTGAAGACTTTCTGAGACCTTTCAATTTCCTTTGGTTCAAAGTCCTCAACATGCTTAAGTGCCATATTTTGGGGTTTCATTTTTGGAGCCCCAACTTTCCCCTGTCATAAACTTCCCTAGAAAATGTACATACTAAAGCTGAGTTGATGCTTGTGGAGAGGACAATTGAATTGGTAGCTGAGTCGCAAGGAATCACATTAAACCAGTATAAACCAGTCTCACATTCCTAGCAATGTCAATCCAGTTAAACAGCTGTGCCTCATTTCAGGAGGTGATGTTGCAGGTCTGCTGTCATGAAAGATAGGTCTGTATATGGTGCAGTTAAACAGGTACTTAATAAGAGGTCATTCTACCAAAGCAAAAGGAGACCAAAAGTTAATCATTTAGCAGACTAGTTTCTGAGTTCACAGGGCAGCCAGACAAAAAGATTTCTACATGTTGGTTTTGAAACAGCTCCAGTTGGAGTAGAGGTAGGCAATGGTGATCTGACAGATTTTTTTTCTCTCCTATAGCTCCTTAGGGCCAGATCTGAAAGACTTTAAGTTGTTGCAATTTCTCTGGAGTCTGCTCTATCACAAAGAATTCTGCAAAAATCACATTTCCTGCCTTTGTGGACCAAACCAATGTATTTCTTAAATGTATTTGATATCTCATGCCTCCCTAAAAGAATAAAACCAAGCTGCACCCTGACCACCTTGGGTACATGTTCTTAAGACCTCCTGAAGGCTGTGTCATGGGCCATGGTCACTCATATTTGGCCCAGAATAAATCTCTTCAAGTATTGTACAGAGTTTGGCTCTTTTTGTTGGCAGCATGTATTAACTCATTCTCTATTACAATTCCCCTGTCTTGATGAATGGGCTCTGTTGAGGCAGGGGGCAAGGTGAATCTCTTGGGTGGTTACAGTGAAAATCCATACAAAATTTTACATGCATATGTGCTGGAGGCCCACAATATATGAGACTAAAATAAGGACTGAATGAGTAAAGCTTAAATAGCATTGTAAGCTAAAAAGTAGGGAGTGGCTTCTGATAGGGAGTTTCTGACACAAGTTATGGGAAGGTGAAGGGAGAAAACACATGATGAACAAAGGTTATTTTATTGTGGAGATAAAGTCTCTCAGGTAGCAGTGCTCCAAAGAATAAGTATTATCAAACTTTTTCTCTTTTCCTGTGAATTAGTTTTCTGATTGATGAGATTATTTGGAGAGGCTCAAGACAATTGCATTCTTTTTGGAAGATCTTCCCTTAGTCAGATAAGAGAACTTCAGAGCAACCCTGCACTTCAGGAGGGAAAGAATGGGGGATGGGTAGACAGAAGAGGGTCAGAGATTCTGAAGACATTTGTGAAGTCTTTCAGTCTTCTTTAGTTCAAACTACTCAGTATGACAAAGTTTTATTTTTTTTTTTGAGACGGAGTCTTGCTCTGTCACCCAGGCTGGAATGCAGTGGTGCAATCTCCGCTCACTGAAACCTCTGCCTCCTGGGTTCAAGCGATTCTCCTGCCTCAGCCTCCCAAGTAGCTGGGATTACAGGTGTGTGCCACCATGCCTGACTAATTTTTGTATTTTTAGTAGAGAAGGGGTTTCACCATGTTGGTCTGGCTGGTCTTGAACTCCTGACCTTGTGATTGGCCTGCCTCCACCTCCCAAGTGCTGAGATTACAGGTGTGAGCCACCGCACCCAGACTAAATTTTACATTTTCAAATGTTGTATTAGGAGTCCTAACATATTAATAATATTTTATGTGTTCACAGTATTTGGCACTTAGGTAACTTCCCCTCCGTTATCTCTTTTATCTTCAAAACAAATAAGAAAAAGATGGGCCCAATTAGCACTTCAGGTCTTAGAGTTAAGAGCAAACATGCCTGCATAGTTACTCACATATAGAGGAGTACCAGGCTGGTAGCCACAAGAACCCATGTTTCCATGGCAAAGTTTGGAATGAGATCCATCACCAGTTTTCTTTTTCAGCTCTGTCTTCTGAGTTTTTCTTTCAGCTGTGTGCTGCTCTTTGCTGGGCTGTGCATATAGAGCTTTGTTTCTCTGCCCAGAGGTGATTTAGTTAATGTTAACAGCGATATTTATGTGCTGGAGAAGGAGGTGGGTCTACAGCGGCAGCCAGTAGAAAAGCCACTTATGCTACTCCTCATATGGAGGGATTTGGGTACCCTTTTCAAATTGACAATTGGCAAATAATTATGGCTGTCCTTATTTTGGCCTCCTTTGATTTCCTATTCTGTGAACAATCAGTAAACAAATCAGTCACTGCTATTGGTAAGCCCAAAGGTTATAGATTCTCAGGAACCTAAAGAAAAATACTTCTGCAAGAACATCTGCCCAGCAACTGCCTGTCCAACCTCAAACTGATGTCAGTCTTGTTATTGATCTTTATAGCCAAGGATAATCATTCCAAAACAAATATGTAATCCTTCTCATTATTTTTTTAAACTTTGTCTTACTTTACCTACCTGAATAAGCACATAGTTTACCTTGGCACGCATATTCCCATTGCAATGCTTTATTCCCAAATAAAAATAATTCTTTTTAGAAAGCCTATCTCTGTTTGTTATCTAGGTTGCCAAATCATGCCTCCAGGTAAACAGACAAGAAGGACTCCCTGTGCCTCAAAAGCAAAAACAAACCCAAGAGGCCATGGCAGGTTTAGGTGATGGTCATGTTCTCTGTGTTCTTAGTAAGTGTTGCAAAACCTATTTTTCTGTAGCCAAGTCAAATAACATTTTCTGAAAAAATCTGTACCTGGGAATTTTCCAACTGCTCACCAACAGATCATGTGGTAAGAACTAACTGACCACCTAGGAACAGCCAATTAAGAGACATGTGACTTGGGGCTTAAAGGCTGTCTAATCAAGACTCTTTTCTTCACTCCTCTGACTCCTCTATCCTGCTCTGTGGTTTTTGACTTTATAGCTCTCCACCTCCGAGGCTGCATCTCCTCAATCTGCAGACTGTGTTTTATAGAAAATGAAGCTCTCCCTCTGTCCTCCACAGATCCCACAATCTTTACTCATATTTCCTGGTGATGAGGAAGGGATCAAAATTGGCTCTCAAGATCCTCTCCCTTGTCATCTGGACTAATCAATGCATTGGCACCAGCAAGAGTCCTCTAAGCTCAGTTATCTTCCTGGCCTGGCTGTTTTGTGGAAAAATCAGTAAATCCTCTTACATCCAAGATCTCACATTTAGGATGAGGTCTTGAGGTCTTTATTTTTTTCAGGGAACCTGCCCTTCTGGCTCTATGGCTACCCACTTGTGGGGTATGCTTGCACTTGGAGGGGCATGCCCATGTTTCTTGGGGTGCATTCATGCTGCATCAAGCAAGTTCATGCCTCACAGGATACTCCATGCTTCAGTGTTGCAAGGACTATCGCATTTTATTTGCCCTTGAAGGGACCCCTTCCTAAGGTGAGGGCTATGCATAACCTAGGTCCTAAGGCCATGGTCTCTAAGGCCTGCCATCGGGTAATTCGGTGGCTCTGTCTCTGATCAATCACTATCAGGTACTCTGGCAGTTTTTCAAGTTTAAAATTTAAAGGTAAAGGCTCGACAGAAATGGATGTGAGAGATACACCTAAATTGAACTCCGAAGCATGCAATGAGGATAAGAGGAGTCTGGACTTCTCAAAGACAGTAAGAGGCTTTCTTTCAATCTGCATTTTTGAAAGTTTCAAACACAATTGGGACTTTGGCTGTGTTTTACTAGGAGACTAACCTGAAGAGTTAACCCATGTCTCAGAAAATCTGAAAAACTTGAAGACCCTAAAATGGAGAGTCCCATATCTTCCTGCTGCTGCACTTGCATTCTACCTCCACTTTTCCCTTTTTACCATCACTGTCTTTGTCTGGAACATTGCAGGGACCTGGCAACTTGGTACCAGCAGGGGCCATTGAGCCCCTGGCTCCTTCATGATGATTGAAAACTGGGTGGGTCTCTCATGAGTTTTGGACTTCCCACTTGATTGACAGCTGTCAGTTTTGTTCAGCTAGTTGTTCTTACCCCTGGATAAAAGGGGGTGAAAGAAAGTCTCTTTCTTTGAGACTTACTGTTTCTCAAGAAGGGGGAATCACTCTGTATTTCTCCTCCATAAACATATGAATGAATATGTATGCTATTTCTCCCATTAATCTCCTTTGTGGGTGATTTTTTTTGTTGTTAACAAACCTTCAGAGGAGAAAGGACAAACATTTTTCTTGGCCTCAGCAGTTCTGTCCCTATGAGCAGGATACCAAAGCCACTCTGTTCTTTCAGAAGCCTCAGTGAAGGGAGCCCAAGCACTTGTAAGTCAGCAGAAAAGTAAGAATTTCTTTTTTTTTCTTTTTCTTTTTTTGACAGAGTCTCATTTTATTACCCAGGCTGGAATGTAGTGGTGTGATCTTGGCTCACTGCAATCTCCGCCTCCTGGGCTCAAGTGATCCTTCTATCTCAGTCTCCCAAGTAGCTGGGACTACAGGCACATGCCTCCATGTCTGGCTGAGAAAAGTAAGAATTTCTTTCCAGACAAGCTCCTGGCCTTTCTTTCTGGGAGATCCACTTGGGCAGATGTTAAGAATTGCTCTTTGTCTCCTCTGCAAAATCTTAATAAATAGGAGAAAAGGATTTGTGTTACTAGTGCTGGGTGCAGCAACTCTAGGGTACTCTCTAGTACTTTCTCTTATGAATACTCACATCGTTTGATCCCCTTTTCCTCTAGAAATAGTCTTTTCCTTTGTTCCTGTATTTCTGTGCTGTTCTGTCATAAAAGGGGCTACAGGAGTGTAGAACATGGGCCTGAAACCCCTATAAGCCCACTTGTTGGAGCTGGCTCTGCGGACTGAGCAGCTGGTGCTTCTGAAGAACACACCTGTTGTTCTACACATGTCCAGCTCTCGGGGGAGTTTCTCTTAAGAAGCCCCATCCCTATGGGTCTTTTGCTTCCCTAACCCTTGTGACTTGGTTAGTCCTGGGAAAGTCCAATCCCCGGAGAACCTACCCAGTGTCACATATCAACAGGCCTGAACTTACTGGTTTTGGTGTCACTCAAAAGGGTACCTTCAGTTTTAAAAAATCAAA
This sequence comes from Homo sapiens, assembly GCF_000001405.40. Classification (NCBI taxonomy): domain Eukaryota; kingdom Metazoa; phylum Chordata; class Mammalia; order Primates; family Hominidae; genus Homo; species Homo sapiens. The sequence continues at coordinate 99,824,999 of NC_000007.14, read as the reverse complement.
GCCTAAAATGTTTATAAAGGATAGATCCTCAGGTAAAATAGACTGACTTCTTTTTCAGAATTATTCATAGTACAGCCAAACATTAAAATGCTTTCTTTGGCTAGGTAAGGAGGCTCACGCCTGTAATCCCAGCACTTTGGGAGGCTGAGGCAGGTGACTCACTTGAGGCCGGGAGTTCAATATCAGCCTGGCCAACATGATGAAACCCCATGTCTATTAAAAATACAAACATTAGCTGGGCATGGTAGCGCATGCCTGTAATACCAGCTACTGGGGTGGCTGAGGTGATCCAGAGGATCACCTGAGCCCGAGAGGCAGAGGTTGCAGTGAGCTGACATCACACCACTGCACTCCAGCCTGGGAGACAGAGATAGACTGTTTCAAAAAAGAGGGAAAAAAAGCTTTCATCACTCTATTTAAGAGCTCCATCCTGAATTCAGTAATCTAATCAAGAAATTTCCATAAAAAGATAAGAAAATTATGGAGAAGACATCACAATAATGTTATAGGATCCTTGAGGTGTTGCTTTTATGGCCTAAAACCTCTGGCCAGTGGCACCTTTGCCCAAGTTTTGCTCGGACTTGCTGGGCTTCTTCCACCCACTTGGGTTGGCAAGCTGCACACAGTCCACACTACCAGCCTGGATCCCATGCCTGCCAAGGGTGAGTTAGGAATGGAGCCATGAGGGGTGTGTGAATGAATGTGGGGTCAGGCCACTGCACAGTCAGACACTACAGCCGCTGCAGTGACAGGCAGCTCCAGGTGCCGGCACAGGCACTGGCTCTCTGTGAGGCTGTGGCTGGACCAGGTGCACTGCAAGCAGTTTCCCCAGCCAGCACTGGGGAATGCAGTGGTTACTGCAAACTTGGAGACACCAGGCACTGCAGGATACCAAAGAGTCACAACCCTGTTTTGGGGAGCTTCCAGGTCTGGGCTCCCTGAAGGACTGTGGCTCTTCTCTCCTTCTCTTTGCCTGCAACGTGGTGAGCAAGGGGCATGTTTCAGCCCTGTTTATGTTATAGCTGTTTTACCTCTGCCATTCAGTGGGTCCTGAGTTCTTGTCCTTCGACCAGGAAGAATGAGGTATGCAGACAGGTGGAGGGAAAGCAAGATGAAGAGGAGCATTATTGAGCAATAGAACAGCTCACAGGAGACCCACAAAGGGTAGCTACTTTCCACAGTCAGGGTGTCCCGATCAGTGTTCAGCTCCTGGCAGAGAAGACACCCTGGGTTGGGAGGCTCCTCTCTTCAGGTAGGTCATCCTGTCATCTCTGCAGCTCTCAGCAGAGAGGGGGTTTTGGAGTGGGTTGCTCCTCTCTGCAGCTGGTAGTCTGCATGTCTCTGCGGGTCTCTGAGGCTCTCAGCAGAGAGGAGGCCCTAGAGTGGGTAGCCCCTCTCTGCTGCTGGTTGTCTAAATGTCTCTTGCTATCAGCAGAGAGGGTAGCTCATTTCTGCAGCTGGTCCACCTGATGTCTGCTCAGCTCTAGCAGAGCCTGGGGCTTTTATGGGCCCTAGAGGGGAGGAAGTGTGCACTGATCGGTCCTTGGGCAGCCATGGAAGGGCTGGAAAAAGAATCACAACTTCCCAGTCTGGTCAATGGGATTGGCAGCCCAGCCACCAGCCTTCAGGCCCTCCCTGACCTGAAGGTGGGGCCTCACTGGGGACCCACCTACTTCTACCTGGGAATCTGTCTGCCTCCTGCTTCCATTCTTGGCACCAGGGCTCAGCCTCACTTTGCTATGAGATTGGAGAGGGTGCTGACAGCAGGGAGAAGCCAGGGAGCAGGAGCAGGCACTTTGGAGCCTGTGAGGGTAGGGGGGCCTTCCTGGGCCCCCAAGAGTGCAGGGATGCCTGAGTCTGCAGCTGGTGGGTGGCTGCAGCTGTGCAGGGTAGGGGGGATGGGGGTGAGGAAAGGTGGGGTGGGTTGTAGGGGTGGGTGAGGGAGGATTTCTGCCTGCTCCATGGAGCTGGAGGCCTGGGTCTGCAGCTGTGGTTTGGGTGGCTGCAGCAGCACCCAGGGAGCTCCTGCCCCAACTTGGGCAGGGCTCCATGGAGTGTGCAGCCCCGCCCACCTCCCTGCTGCAGCCAGCGTAATGGCAGTGGCAGGCTGTCTGGAGCAGCCACTGCCATCAATAACCTTTGTACACTTGTTCCCAGTTATAGAATTTATGCAAATAGATCTATAAAAATAAATGTACTGACCACTTTAGGACAAATATTAGAGAGACCACAAGAAACTTTGCAGGACAACCAGAGTCTCTAAATTTCTTAGCTTAAATGGTTTTAACAAAATGCTCAAGTTTTATACAGCTAATTGCTACAAGTCTGTAACTAAAACCTAGATTATAGTAGCTCAGTGCATATAACTTACAGATAAGTCTATTTTGTAACCTTGCCTTTCATGACAAAAGTCTTTTGACTTTTGTTTTTTGGCTCTTATATTACTTAAAAAAGATTTTAAGGATTGATGAATGCCTTCCCACCTCTATTCCTGTCTGGCCTAGAACATATAAATCAGCGATTAGTCTTTTGGCTTTAAGTCCTTTGGCCATAAGAGCCCCATGGAGGGACAGGGTGGACTTGGGGCAGACAGCCACACCATTACAGCAATGATGAGACCAAATAAAAGTCTGCCATTGATGTTGGCTCTGGAAAATCTTGGCCCAAATAAAGGAGAATGTAAACCAAAAACAAAATCCCAAGCCCCCTCCACCAAATAAACAGACCCACCGTTGGCTAAGTGGACCCCAGAGGAACCTGAAAAACTGAATTCCAGGGCATGAGGAAAAGGGAGGTCCAGCATGCCTCATTATACCCCCTCCATTGCTCACTGTCATTAGACCTTCTTTCCTAAAGGTGAAAAAGAAAGCAGCCCCTTCAAAAGATTCCACACCAATATTGTCAGTTATGAGCTTATCCTTCCAGGTACAGGGTAAGGATAAGATGAGATTAATCCTTCCCTCACCCTTCCCTGAGATATCTACTTCCTCTATTACTTTTTCTTTAAATGTTCACCTTATCATATGACAAGGCACTAACTAAAGTCTCACAAGTATGTAATCACTCATCTCATAACACCCCCCCACCATTTTAAAGGAAAATGTATAAATATTAAATCTCTGAGAACCTCTTTGGAAAAAAACCAGCCACAGATGCATGTGTGACTTACATTTTTCCTGGGCATGCACTTAAGCTGGCTCAATAATCCTCGGTGATTGAGACTTATGCTTCAGTCACTCATTTTGGTGAAGGTTGAGATGACAAAAGCCCTCATGGACTTGAGCCTCTTAAGACTAACTCCCCTAAGAGCTGGCATGGTCAGACAAAGAGAATGCTACTTTCTACTTCATGTCATGGGTCCCTGGCCTTTTTGACTAGCAGCCAGATGGGAACCAAAAATCAGACCCCCAGGTAACAGAGACCAGAGAGAGATGTTCTCACTTGGCAACAAAGCCAATTTCTCAGGACATACAAATAGACAAAAGGAAGATCTCATTTGATTTTTTTCTGAGAGATACACTGCAAAGTTTGCCTAAACAGATGCTGGTCTGCTGAGAAATATGAAGTCACCAGTCTGCTTGGTGGGCTTAAATGACAGGCTTATAAAAAGACCTTATGCCCATGTTCTGCCCTACAATTCTCCTCTTTCTGACAAATGACAACAAGACAAAGGAAAGCAAAGACCATCTCTGAAGGGGCAGGGACCAGAAATGCAGAATACTCATAGCAAAAATAAAAACACTAGATGTATACCAAGAACAAGTTTACAAAAAGGTTTTCTACTACTAATCTAAGTTTGGAAAGAAACATGAGACTAGTAGTGATATTACCACTTGTTCAACCTGGTTCCACAAGCAGAGATCCAGGAGACAGACTGGGTAAGGATTCCTACCTTTCTCCAGCTTCATCAGGTCTCAGGGTCTCTCAACTGTAGCTTCAGAAGCTGCGGAGTGACTTTATCTCCTGGTTGTCTCACCAAAACTGTAGGAGGTGGGGAGAGAAAACTTCAGTTCCTCTGGAGGCTTAATGTTTGAGTCTGAGAACCTGACAATGGATTGATTAACAGCACCTGTCATCTCAGTTACTCGGGAGGCTGAGGCGGGAGGATGATTTGAGCCCTCAGGAGGCTGAGGTGGGAGGATGATTTGAGCCCAGTTGTTCTAGGCTGCAGTGAGCTATGATTGCATCACTGCACTCCAGCCTGGGTCACAGAGCCAGACTCTGTCTCAAAAAAAATGCATACACATTTATGAAATGCATACACACTGGAGACTCACAATATATAAGACTAAATAATGACCAGGTGGTTGAAGCTTAAATAGCATTGTGACTTACTAAAAATTTAAAGACTTCTGGTGGGGAGTTGGTGACACAAGCTATGGAAGGATAGGGGAGAAAATGCATGATGAACAAAGGTTATTTTATTATGGAGATAAAGTGTGTCAGGTAGCAGTGCTCCAAAGAATAAGTATTATCAACTTTCTACTTCTTTCCTGTAAGTTAATATTCTGTTTGTTGATATTATTTGGAGGTGCTAAAGACAATTGCATTCTTTCTGGCAGGTCTTTCCTTAGTCAGATAAAGGAACTTCAGAGAAAGCCCCTCTCTGCACTTTTGGAGGGAAAGTATGGGAGGCAGGAGAAGGTCAGAGAGACCTTAGTTCTGAGGCCATTTCTGAGATCCTCCAGTCCCCTTTAGTTCAAAGTACTCAGCTTGCCACAGTGTCCTATTTTCAAGTGTTTTCTTCTGAGCCCCAACAGATCAGTAATGATAATTTATGTTTGTAGCATTCAATGCTTAAGCAACTTCCCCTCCATTATGTCTTTCATCTTCAAAACAAATAAGAAAAATAGGCCTGATTAGCACTAAAAGTCTAAAGTTACAGAGCAGATGGCCTGGACAGTTATTCACAGGTAGAGGAGCACCAGGCTGGTAGCCAGGAGAACACACATTTCCATGGCAAAGTTTGGAATGAGATCCATCGCATTTTCTTTTTCAAATCTATCTTCTGAGTTTTTCTTTCAGCTGTGTGCCGCTTTTGGCTGGGCTGTGCATGTAGAGCTTTCTTTCTCTGCCCAGAGGTGATTTAGTTAAGGTTAACAGGAATATTTATGTGCTGGGGAATGAGTTGGGTCCATAGCTGCAGCCAGTAGAAAAGCTACCTATGCTGCTCCTCATGTGGAGGGATTGGGGTGCTCTTCTCACATTCACAGTTGGTGAAGAATTATGGCCACCCTTATTTTGACCTCCTTTGACTTTATATTGTGTGATATCAGTAAACTAATCAGTGTTTGATAAGCCCCAAGAGTTATAGATTCTTATCAGAAACTCTTGTGAAGTCATTGGCATTCAATCTCTAACCAGCCCTTATCTTCATGGCTGCCTTCAATCCAAAATACTTCAAATCCATCAAAATAATGCACACATACACATCTTTATCCAGGAAGTTTCCACTGCCTAGAATTTCTCTATACTCCCTAGAAGACTACTATTCATCCTTTCAAACCCAGATCAGATAGACTTCTTTTTAAGTTTTTATTCATTTATGTTTCTTTTTTTCCCACGCAATATACCTATGTTAGCCTGTACATGCATTGCTATAAAGAAGTACCTGAGTCTGGGTAGTTTATAAAGAAAACAGGTTTAATTGGTTCACGATTCTGCAGGCTATACAGGAAGCATGACTGGGGAGGTCTCAGGAAACTTACAATCATGGTGCGAAGGCACATCTTATATTGACCAGAGAAGGAGGAGGGAGAGAGAGAAGAGGGAGCTGCTACACACTTTTAAACAACCAGATCTCATGAGAATTCACTCACTATCATGAGAACAGCAAGGGATAAGTCTGACCCCATGACACCCAATCACCTCCCACCAGACCCCTCCTCCAACATTGAGGATTACAATTTGACATGAGATTTGGGTGGGGTCACAAATCCAAACCACATCAATACCCATATAATAATTTGTTTTATTTATTTTTTTGAGACACACTCTCACTCTGTTGCCTAGGCTAGAGTGCAGTGGCACAATCATAGCTCACTGTAACCTCAAACTCCCAGGCTCAAGCGATCCTCCTGCCTTAGTCTCTGGAGTAGCTGAGGATACAGGTATGCATCAGCACACCTAGCTAATTTTATTTTTTTATTTTTATTTTTGTAGAGACTGTGTGTCTATGTTTCCGAGGCTGGTCTCGAATTCCTGGCTTGAAGTGATCCTCTGGCATTGGACTCTCAAAGTGCTGGGATTATAGGGGTGAGCCACTGCACCAAGCCCAGACCTCTCCTATTAGAGGCTTTCTCTGATTTAGGAATCAGACATGACTGCTTCCTCCTCTGGGCAACTTCTTTCCCCCCTCCCATGGTTCTATTATTGTCTTTCCTCCTCTCCAGCACCGTGTTGGTTTCCACACATGAGCAGTGGTGATCCCTTACCAGAGCATGAGCTTCTTAAGGACAGTCTGAGTATTATTCACCACTATGTCTGCAGGCCCTAGCTGAGTCCTTTACACAGAGTGGGCATCCAGAAAGATTTGTTGAGTTTAGTTGGGTTAGATTGCTGCATATTGCAAAACTTTTCCTGGGACTCTTTCCCTAGGACTCTGGTGACCAAGCCACTTTCCTGCATACAGCAAGAGCTTTTGGCTGGGCCTCAGCTGCCATTCCTGTACATTCAGAATGATCCACCAGGATTCTGTTGTCAAGAGGGCCTGTAATGGAGACACAGGGAAGGAGATGAAGATGACGGCTTCAGTGAGAAGCAGCATACTGTGCTGCTTCCTGTGCACCCCCTCAAATGGTTCTGCAGAAGACGGAAAGCTAGAGATGCTCCTGACCAAAGAATGCCCCTCTCTCTGGAAATAATGCATGTCTGGGAACAATGGGTGTGAAAGGAGAGAAGAGGAGAACAGCTACCTGGATTGCCAGGTGGACTCCAGCCACCTTAGCCACCAGGGATGTGGCTGATGTCACTACAAGCAGCACATACAACATCAAGGACTCCAATAAGATGATTTGAGCTTCTTCTTTGGGGTAGTAGGGGTCAGAACAGACACATCCTGCTTTCTGAAGAGTGAAATATTTACCCCAGGAGCTGGTAAGGATGAGGCCTGCGACAGCAATGCTGTCATCTGAGAGCCCCTCTATGCCTGCTTGCTGGAAGAGATCCCAAAGCTGAGCCTTTGGAAATGGCACTGGCTCATTATCATCACTGACCCACGTTCCATGTCTCCTTGCCCTGAGGAATTATGAATTATGTGACAAGTAAATCCTCGACATTCTTAAAAGTCAGCAGAAATACAGCCCTAAACTCCTGGGCTCAAGTGATCCTCCTGCCCTAGCCTCTCGAGTAGCTGGAACTACAGGCATGCATCAACATGTCCAGACTTTATTTGTTGTTGTAGATATGGGGTCTTGCTATAATGCCTAGGCTGGTCTCAAAGTGCGGGCTCAAGCAATCCTTCTCTCTCAGCCTCCCAAATTACTGGGAATACAGACATCAACCACTGAGCCTGATCTTGATAGAAATTCTTAGTAAAAAGGATGACTTTTAAATATTAAATCTAGATTCTCAAGCAGTATGGTAAACTATTTTTGAAAAGCCATATACAATTAAATTTGTATATGTTAAAACTTGCAAAATAATCTTGAGTAGGCTGGACGTGGTTGCTTATGCCTGTAATGCCAGCACTTTGGGAGGCCAAGACCAGCGGATCACAAGGTCAGGAGATCGAGACCATCCTGGCTAACACAGTGAAACCCCGTCTCTACTAAAAATACAAAAAATTAGCCGGGCATGGCGGCGTGTGCCTGTAGTCCCAGCTACTTGGGAGGCTGAGGCAGGAGGATGGCGTGAACCTGGGAGGCGGAGCTTGCAGTGAGCCGAGATCTTGCCACTGCACTCCAGCCTGGGCGACAGAGCAAGACTCTGTCTAAAAAAAAAAAAAAATCTTGAGTAGATATTATACATTTTAATTATACAAGCAGCCATTGACTTCTGAAAAGTCCAGTAACCCCTCCTAATTAAACCCATCCTATGAAATGATGGGAAGAGGGCTTCAGGAGACTTTATTTATTTATTTATTTATTGAAACAGAGTCTTGCTCTGTGGGCCCTGAGCTGGAGTGCAGTGAAGTGATCTCGGCTCATCGCAACCTCCGCCTCCTGAGTTGAAGCACTTCTCCTGCCTCAGCCTCCCCCGTAGCTGGGATTACAGGTGGGCACTACTGAGCCCAGCTAATTTTTGTATTTTTAGTAGAGACGGAGTTTCACCATGTTGGCCAGGCTGGTCTTGAACTCCTGGCCTCAGTGATCAGCCTGCCTCGGCCTCCCAAAGTGCTGGGATTACAGGCATGAGCCACCGCGCCTGGCCTGTGCTTTTGCTTTTAACATCTCATCTTGGCTACAAAGAGCAGTGCAAATGGGGAACTTCTCAAGTCCTACAGCATTTTGACCATAGTTTTAGCCTCACTCTTATCAAGTCAGCAACACTGTAACTTCCAATCTCAGTTGAGTGGAGGGCAAGCAAATTGCTATAGAGACTGAGAAACATCAGCCTGTAGATGCCTGGGAGCTGGGCTAGGGACTATCTTCCCCTTCCCAAATGTGCCACAAGCCTGCTTTCTCCCGCACTGAGCCCCCTATTTGTACAGATGCACAGATTGGCTACAAAGCTTCCATTAAGCCACAAATAGGATGAAAACCATCTCTACCCTCCTCCATTCCCATGCAGAAATCCTGCTTCAGAGAAGGAGTTGCATATTGAATGCATGAATCCTAGAAATAAGACTTAGAAGGTCTTGTTTGACATCAATCAATGACAACTGTCTTTAAGTTCATCAGGGAAAAGATCCCAACTTTTCTATAAAGGTAACACCATGTTATTTTTAATTTTAAAGTGACATGAATGTATTTTTCTAAGAGACAGACAAACACACCCACAAACACCCACACATACATAAATGTCAGATTAAAATTAAAAATTAAATACCTTAAAATTTGTGGCCAGGAACCCCAATTCAACTGCAAATCACTCCTTGAACATTTACTGAATGCTTGCCATGGAAATGTCCCCTGCAAAGTGCTATTTGAATTTTATGAAAGAAATAAAATGAAGTGATATTTTTTAAGGGGCTGAGGACAGACATTCTTAGATATAGAGAGAACTTAGTAAACAAACATGAATGATTTAGTGACAAATATGAAATCAGGTGATGATAACAGCCTGCAGTAATGAATAACAAAGCAGAGGACTGAATGGGCCCTGGACTAGATGGAAGGGCTTTTCGGAGGAGGTTGGGGATTGAACCAGGACATGAAGGATGGGGAGAGGATAAGAAAGAGAGAGGGAAGAACATTCATAGAATTATTGTTGGGTTGAGAACTAGCTTGGCTTGTCAGCAGGAAGGGTCCTGGAAGGTGAGTTCTAACAGTCAGGATGACCCTGACCTCTGGGAGATTTTCTACTCTGGAAGAAATGTCTTGATTTAGTGATTCTCAAATTTGGTTTCACATGAGAAGCAATGGAGAGGATGTTTAAAGCAACACTGTGGGGAAAGTATTTTAGAATCTCTGAGATGACACAAGCATCGTGAATATTTAAAACTCCCAGGTGATCACAATGAACAGCTAGTGGTTGAGAACCACTGTCATAAGAAATCTTCTGGAAATTCTTTTTTAAATTTTTATTTATTTAAATTTAAAATTTTTATTTTTGGTGGGTGTGAGAAAACATTTTAAATGATCCATTTTCTTTTTTTTTTTTTTAATGTTTTTTTTTTTAATTATACTTTAAGTTTTAGGGTACATGTGCACATTGTGCAGGTTAGTTACATATGTATACATGTGCCATGCTGGTGCACTGCACCCACTAACGTGTCATCTAGCATTAGGTATATCTCCCAATGCTATCCCTCCCCCCTCCCCCGACCCCACCACAGTCCCCAGAGTGTGATATTCCCCTTCCTGTGTCCATGTGGTCTCATTGTTCAATTCCCACCTATGAGTGAGAATATGCGGTGTTTGGTTTTTTGTTCTTGCGATAGTTTACTGAGAATGATGGTTTCCAATTTCATCCATGTCCCTACAAAGGACATGAACTCATCATTTTTTATGGCTGCATAGTATTCCATGGTGTACATGTGCCACATTTTCTTAATCCAGTCTATCATTGTTGGACATTTGGGTTGGTTCCAAGTCTTTGCTATTGTGAATAATGCCGCAATAAACATACGTGTGCATGTGTCTTTATAGCAGCATGATTTATAGTCATTTGGGTATATACCCAGTATTGGGATGGCTGGGTCAAATGGTATTTCTAGTTCTAGATCCCTGAGGAATCGCCACACTGACTTCCACAATGGTTGAACTAGTTTACAGTCCCACCAACAGTGTAAAAGTGTTCCTATTTCTCCACATCCTCTCCAGCACCTGTTGTTTCCTGACTTTTTAATGATTGCCATTCTAACTGGTGTGAGATGATATCTCATAGTGGTTTTGATTTGCATTTCTCTGATGGCCAGTGATGATGAGCATTTTTTCATGTGTTTTTTGGCTGCATAAATGTCTTCTTTTGAGAAGTGTCTGTTCATGTCCTTCGCCCACTTTTTGATGGGGTTGTTTGTTTTTTTCTTGTAAATTTGTTTGAGTTCATTGTAGATTCTGGATATTAGCCCTTTGTCAGATGAGTAGGTTGCAAAAATTTTCTCCCATGTTGTAGGTTGCCTGTTCACTCTGATGGTAGTTTCTTTTGCTGTGCAGAAGCTCTTTAGTTTAATTAGATCCCATTTGTCAATTTTGACTTTTGTTGCCATTGCTTTTGGTGTTTTGGACATGAAGTCCTTGCCCACGCCTATGTCCTGAATGGTAATGCCTAGGTTTTCTTCTAGGGTTTTTATGGTTTTAGGTCTAACGTTTAAATCTTTAATCCATCTTGAATTGATTTTTGTATAAGGTGTAAGGAAGGGATCCAGTTTCAGCTTTCTACATATGGCTAGCCAGTTTTCCCAGCACCATTTATTAAATAGGGAATCCTTTCCCCATTGCTTGTTTTTCTCAGGTTTGTCAAAGATCAGATAGTTGTAGATATGCGGCATTATTTCTGAGGGCTCTGTTCTGTTCCATTGATCTATATCTCTGTTTTGGTACCAGTACCATGCTGTTTTGGTTACTGTAGCCTTGTAGTATAGTTTGAAGTCAGGTAGTGTGATGCCTCCAGCTTTGTTCTTTTGGCTTAGGACTGACTTGGCGATGTGGGCTCTTTTTTGGTTCCATATGAACTTTAAAGTAGTTTTTTCCAACTCTGTGAAGAAAGTCATTGGTAGCTTGATGGGGATGGCATTGAATCTGTAAATTACCTTGGGCAGTATGGCCATTTTCACGATATTGATTCTTCCTACCCATGAGCATGGAATGTTCTTCCATTTGTTTGTGTCCTCTTTTATTTCCTTGAGCAGTGGTTTGTAGTTCTCCTTGAAGGGGTCCTTCACATCCCTTGTAAGTTGGATTCCTAGGTATTTTATTCTCTTTGAAGCAATTGTGAATGGGAGTTCACTCATGATTTGGCTCTCTGTTTGTCTGTTGTTGGTGTATAAGAATGCTTGTGATTTTTGTACATTGATTTTGTATCCTGAGACTTTGCTGAAGTTGCTTATCAGCTTAAGGAGATTTTGGGCTGAGACAATGGGGTTTTCTAGATAAACAATCATGTCGTCTGCAAACAGGGACAATTTGACTTCCTCTTTTCCTAATTGAATACCCTTTATTTCCTTCTCCTGCCTGATTGCCCTGGCCAGAACTTCCAACACTATGTTGAATAGGAGCGGTGAGAGAGGGCATCCCTGTCTTGTGCCAGTTTTCAAAGGGAATGCTTCCAGTTTTTGCCCATTCAGTATGATATTGGCTGTGGGTTTGTCATAGATAGCTCTTATTATTTTGAAATACGTCCCATCAATACCTAATTTATTGAGAGTTTTTAGCATGAAGGGTTGTTGAATTTTGTCAAAGGCTTTTTCTGCATCTATTGAGATAATCATGTGGTTTTTGTCTTTGGCTCTGTTTATATGCTGGATTACATTTATTGATTTGTGTATATTGAACCAGCCTTGCATCCCAGGGATGAAGCCCACTTGATCATGGTGGATAAGCTTTTTGATGTGCTGCTGGATTCGGTTTGCCAGTATTTTATTGAGGATTTTTGCATCAATGTTCATCAAGGATATTGGTCTAAAATTCCCTTTTTTGGTTGTGTCTCTGCCCGGCTTTGGTATCAGAATGATGCTGGCCTCATAAAATGAGTTAGGGAGGATTCCCTCTTTTTCTATTGATTGGAATAGTTTCAGAAGGAATGGTACCAGTTCCTCCTTGTACCTCTGGTAGAATTCGGCTGTGAATCCATCTGGTCCTGGACTCCTTTTTTGTTGGTAAACTATTGATTATTGCCACAATTTCAGAGCCTGTTATTGGTCTATTCAGAGATTCAACTTCTTCCTGGTTTAGTCTTGGGAGAGTGTATGTGTCGAGGAATGTATCCATTTCTTCTAGATTTTCTAGTTTATTTGCATAGAGGTGTTTGTAGTATTCTCTGATGGTAGTTTGTATTTCTGTGGGATCGGTGGTGATATCCCCTTTATCATTTTTTATTGTGTCTATTTGATTCTTCTCTCTTTTTTTCTTTATTAGTCTTGCTAGCGGTCTATCAATTTTGTTGATCCTTTAAAAAAACCAGCTCCTGGATTCATTGATTTTTTGAAGGGTTTTTTGTGTCTCTATTTCCTTCAGTTCTGCTCTGATTTTAGTTATTTCTTGCCTTCTGCTAGCTTTTGAATGTGTTTGCTCTTGCTTTTCTAGTTCTTTTAATTGTGATGTTAGGGTGTCAATTTTGGATCTTTCCTGCTTTCTCTTGTAGGCATTTAGTGCTATAAATTTCCCTCTACACACTGCTTTGAATGCGTCCCAGAGATTCTGGTATGTGGTGTCTTTGTTCTCGTTGGTTTCAAAGAACATCTTTATTTCTGCCTTCATTTCGTTATGTACCCAGTAGTCATTCAGGAGCAGGTTGTTCAGTTTCCATGTAGTTGAGCGGCTTTGAGTGAGATTCTTAATCCTGAGTTCTAGTTTGATTGCACTGTGGTCTGAGAGATAGTTTGTTATAATTTCTGTTCTTTTACATTTGCTGAGGAGAGCTTTACTTCCAACTATGTGGTCAATTTTGGAATAGGTGTGGTGTGGTGCTGAAAAAAATGTATATTCTGTTGATTTGGGGTGGAGAGTTCTGTAGATGTCTATTAGGTCCGCTTGGTGCAGAGCTGAGTTCAATTCCTGGGTATCCTTGTTGACTTTCTGTCCCGTTGATCTGTCTAATGTTGACAGTGGGGTGTTAAAGTCTCCCATTATTAATGTGTGGGAGTCTAAGTCTCTTTGTAGGTCACTCAGGACTTGCTTTATGAATCTGGGTGCTCCTGTATTGGGTGCATAAATATTTAGGATAGTTAGCTCCTCTTGTTGAATTGATCCCTTTACCATTATGTAATGGCCTTCTTTGTCTCTTTTGATCTTTGTTGGTTTAAAGTCTGTTTTATCAGAGACTAGGATTGCAACCCCTGCCTTTTTTTGTTTTCCATTGGCTTGGTAGATCTTCCTCCATCCTTTTATTTTGAGCCTATGTGTGTCTCTGCACATGAGATGGGTTTCCTGAATACAGCACACTGATGGGTCTTGACTCTTTATCCAACTTGCCAGTCTGTGTCTTTTAATTGCAGAATTTAGTCCATTTATATTTAAAGTTAATATTGTTATGTGTGAATTTGATCCTGTCATTATGATGTTAGCTGGTGATTTTGCTCGTTAGTTGATGCAGTTTCTTCCTAGTCTTGATGGTCTTTACATTTTGGCATGATTTTGCAGCGGCTGGTACCGGTTGTTCCTTTCCATGTTTAGCGCTTCCTTCAGGAGCTCTTTTAGGGCAGGCCTGGTGGTGACAAAATCTCTCAGCATTTGCTTGTCTATAAAGTATTTTATTTCTCCTTCACTTATGAAGCTTAGTTTGGCTGGATATGAAATTCTGGGTTGAAAATTCTTTTCTTTAAGAATGTTGAATATTGGCCCCCACTCTCTTCTGGCTTGTAGGGTTTCTGCCGAGAGATCCGCTGTTAGTCTGATGGGCTTTCCTTTGAGGGTAACCCGACCTTTCTCTCTGGCTGCCCTTAACATTTTTTCCTTCATTTCAACTTTGGTGAATCTGACAATTATGTGTCTTGGAGTTGCTCTTCTCGAGGAGTATCTTTGTGGCGTTCTCTGTATTTCCTGAATCTGAACGTTGGCCTGCCTTGCTAGATTGGGGAAGTTCTCCTGGATAATATCCTGCAGAGTGTTTTCCAACTTGGTTCCATTCTCCACATCACTTTCAGGTACACCAATCAGACGTAGATTTGGTCTTTTCACATAGTCCCATATTTCTTGGAGGCTTTGCTCATTTCTTTTTATTCTTTTTTCTCTAAACTTCCCTTCTCGCTTCATTTCATTCATTTCATCTTCCATTGCTGATACCCTTTCTTCCAGTTGATCGCATCAGCTCCTGAGGCTTCTGCATTCTTCACGTAGTTCTCGAGCCTTGGTTTTCAGCTCCATCAGCTCCTTTAAGCACTTCTCTGTATTGGTTATTCTAGTTATACATTCTTCTAAATTTTTTTCAAAGTTTTCAACTTCTTTGCCTTTGGTTTGAATGTCCTCCCGTAGCTCAGAGTAATTTGATCGTCTGAAGCCTTCTTCTCTCAGCTCGTCAAAATCATTCTCCATCCAGCTTTGTTCCGTTGCTGGTGAGGAACTGCGTTCCTTTGGAGGAGGAGAGGCGCTCTGCGTTTTAGAGTTTCCAGTTTTTCTGTTCTGTTTTTTCCCCATCTTTGTGGTTTTATCTACTTTTGGTCTTTGATGATGGTGATGTACAGATGGGTTTTCGGTGTAGATGTCCTTTCTGGTTGTTAGTTTTCCTTCTAACAGACAGGACCCTCAGCTGCAGGTCTGTTGGAATACCCTGCCGTGTGAGGTGTCAGTGTGCCCCTGCTGGGGGGTGCCTCCCAGTTAGGCTGCTCGGGGGTCAGGGGTCAGGGACCCACTTGAGGAGGCAGTCTGCCCGTTCTCAGATCTCCAGCTGCGTGCTGGGAGAACCACTGCTCTCTTCAAAGCTGTCAGACAGGGACACTTAAGTCTGCAGAGGTTACTGCTGTCTTTTTGTTTGTCTGTGCCCTGCCCCCAGAGGTGGAGCCTACAGAGGCAGGCAGGCCTCCTTGAGCTATGGTGGGCTCCACCCAGTTCGAGCTTCCCGGCTGCTTTGTTTACCTAAGCAAGCCTGGGCAATGGCGGGCGCCCCTCTCCCAGCCTCGTTGCCGCCTTGCAGTTTGATCTCAGACTGCTGTGCTAGCAATCATCGAGATTCCGTGGGTGTAGGACCCTCTGAGCCAGGTGTGGGATATAGTCTCGTGGTGCGCCGTATTTTAAGCCGGTCTGAAAAGCGCAATATTCGGGTGGGAGTGACCCGATTTTCCAGGTGCGTCCGTCACCCCTTTCTTTGACTCGGAAAGGGAACTCCCTGACCCCTTGCGCTTCCCAGGTGAGGCAATGCCTCGCCCTGCTTCGGCTCGCGCACGGTGCGCGCTCACACTGGCCTGCGCCCACTGTCTGGCACTCCCTAGTGAGATGAACCCGGTACCTCAGATGGAAATGCAGAAATCACCTGTCTTCTGCGTCGCTCACGCTGGGAGCTGTAGACCGGAGCTGTTCCTATTCGGCCATCTTGGCTCCTCCCCCTTAAATGATCCATTTTCAAGGCATGGTAAATCTAAGCACTGGCAGCCAGCCTGTGGATGTAACAAACTGCACGGCTCATGCACCTAGAAGGTCATAATAAGTGAACAGAATGTAGAGGAGGGGTCAGCCCATAAAAGGGAAGAAAGTTTTATTATCAGGAAGTCAAACTTAAGCAGGGAAGGGAACCGGGGTATAACCTTATAAGGGGGATAATGAAACTTAGGCGATGTCCAGGAAGATAACTCTGTAGTACTTGACCAATGAGGAACTGGGGGAAGGAATTCTGTGCTAGGAGATAAATTACCTGCTGTAACTGCCCTGGTTGTACCTGCCTACCAGACACCCGATCTTGCAAGGCCACCATTAAAAGTCTTGCTTCCGGCCAGGTGCAGTAGCTCACACCTCTAATTCCAGCACTTTGGGAGGCCAAGGCCAGGAGTTTGAGACCAGCCTGGCCAATATGGTGAAACACTATCTGTACTAAAAATACAAAAAATACAAAAATACATGGACATTGTCCATGGCAAGCATTCAGTAAATAGTCAAGGAGTGATTTGCAGTTGAATTGGGGTTCTAGGCCACAAATTTCCAAGCATGGTGGTGCACACCTATAGTCCCAGCTACTTAGAAAGCTGAGGCAGGAGAATCGTTTTAACCCGGGAGGCAGAGGTTGCAGTGAGCTGAGATCACACCATTACACTCCAGCCTGAGCAACAGAGCGAGATTTTGTCTCAAAAAAAAAAAAAAGTCTCACTTCCACTGTTCTTCATGTCTCCAAGTTCATTCTTTGGGTTTGGACAGGTGAATGTGTTTACCACAAACTTGTGGACCCACCTGGGGCTTCTGTGCCTGTGTGGAGTGGGACTCTTGCTGAGAGGGGAGACACATCTCACCTGATTTAGATAGCCCGCTCTGTTTAGGTATCCCGACTTCCCGCAGAGGCCATAGACAAACCTGAGACTGTTATTCAGGAGGCAGAGGAGGTGACACAGGAGGAAAGAAGGCACCACAGCAACCAGGCAACCTTGTGTATGAGCCGAGGAAGAAAAATTGGACCATAAGTACTACCTTGGTGGTTGGGCATTTTTGGAGGTCAAGTGTGTGTGACTGAGATGTATCCTAGATATGAAGTGAGTGCGGAGTCCCAATCTGCAGTTCTGTTCTCCCACGAGGGAAATGGCCATAGATGGATGAAGCGATTCTCAGGGTGTGCAGGAAACCTCCAGTGAGGCTGGGGGGTGGTTGAGTACACAGGGAAAAAGCTCAGACACAGAGACTGACTGAAGATGAGAAACAGAAATTCTAGGCCTAAGGCACAAAGGAAAGAGGGAGCCAAAAAGATTCCCTCTGACATTCCCCCGGACAGTCCTTTAGGGATAATGCTGCAGGTTTGGAGGGACAACCCTCAAGCCAGGGACAAAGAAAAGAAAAGATGGTAAGTACTGCTGTTTTATCTGTCCTAAAGACCCCATTCATAAGCCTTCAGTCTTTTGACCTAGGTTTGGCCCAGATGAGGATTGGGTGTGCCAAGCTTTATTTTTCTATGTGAATGATAAAACCCCATCCTCACAAGAGATAAGTTATGCTGTCTGCTGGATCAAGGAATTAGCCCTCATATTCCCCCTTCAAAGAAAAAGAAAAAGAACCTAGTAAAAAATCCTTGCCCAGTGAAAAGCCATGGGACCCCCTATCATGCTTGCCCCCTCCATACCTCTCGCAAAATAGGGGACAGGAAGATCAAGGGGCAGCAGGAGGATTAGCGGAAGAAAGACCTGGAGACCATGGGGGAGCCGAACAAATTGCTCCTTTAAAACCTTATCCAAATTCAAGCAAAGTATTAGAACAGTGAAGTAGACTGAGTACAAGTCCCTTAGCAGCATTACAAAAGGTCCAAAAGCCTATAGTCCTGGAACAGGAATTAAAAGAAATTAAAGAGTGTGTAAAGCAGAAACTCAGTTGTATATAAGAAAACCCAACTCCCCCTGAGAAAGAGAAAGAGCTGGAGTCCTTTAAAATTAACTGCCTGTTTTTCTGTGGCTAGTAAGCCTTATCTCTTCTCCCTTCCCAGGTTTTGTGAAGACTCTGTTTCTCTTGCCATGCAGCTGCCAGATCACTAGACAGATAAACTCAAGTCACAAAACATATTTTTCCTTAAAGAGTAAGAAATGATGTAATGCATGTCTCAATTAAATAACTGTCTTTGTTTCTCTCTTCTGTAGTATGCTTCCCCCTGTACAGATCTCCCCCGACCCATGAAATACTTAAAAGATAACCCTTTGTTCAAGGCTCAGTCCTTTGGATATTAATCTGACTGGGCTTTCTATCAGACTTGTCTTTCTTTTTAAGGCTGAATAACCTTCCATTTTGTGTATACATCACATTTCGTTTACCCATTCATATGTCAATGGACACTTAGGCTGTGTCTACCTTTTGGATATTGTGAATAATGCTGCTATGAACATGGCTTAAAAATATCTTTTTGGAGTCCAGTTTCAGTTATTTTCGGTATATATCCAGAAATAATATCACTGGATCATACAGTAATTGTATTCTTAATTTTCTGAGGAACCACCACACTTTTCCATAGTAGCTGCACCATTTTACATTCCCAAATAGAAGCTACAGATGTTCCAGTTCTTCCATATCTTCACCAACATTTGCTATTTTTTAGTTGTTTTTTTTATAGTAGCTATCCTAATGGGTGTGAGGAAATATCTCATCATGGTTTTGATTAGCATTCCCTAATGATTTGTGATATTGAGCATTTTTTCATGTGCTTTTTGCTATTTGTATATCTTCATTGGAGAAATCTCTATTGAAGTCCTTTGCCTATTTTTTAAGTCAGGTTATTTGTTTTTGTTGTTGCTGAATTACAGGAATTCTTTATATATTCTGGATATTAACCTTTTTTCAGATACTTAAATTGCAAATATTTTCTTACATTCTATAAATTGCTTTTTCACTTCGTTGATTGTGTCCTCTGTCACACAGAGTTTAATTTCAATGTAGTCCACATTATCTATATTTTCTTTTGTCGCTTGTTCTTTTGGTGTCATATTCAAGAACTCATTGCCATATCCAATGTCATAAATCTTTTCCTTTATGTTTCTTTCTAAGAGTTTTTATAGCTTTAGCTCTTTTACTTAGGTCTTTGATCCATTTCAGTGAATTTTTATGTATGGTGTAAGCTAACGGCCAAGTTTCATTCTTTTGCATGTAGATATCAATTTTCCCAATACTATTTGTTGAAAAGACTGTCTGTCCATTCCCTATTGGTCTTGGCACCCTTGTCAAAAATCATTTGACCATGTATACAAAGTTGATTTCTGAGCTCTCTGTTTTGATCCATTGATCTCTATGTCTGTCTTTATGCCAGCACCATACTGTTTTGATTACTGTAGCTTTGTAGTAAGTTTTGAAGTCAGAAAATGTAAGACCTCCAGCTTTGTAATTTTTTCAAGATTATTTTGGCTATTTGGGGTCCCTTGAGATTTTGCATGAATTTTTTTGTTTCTAACAAAAAAACCCACCGTTTGGATTTGGACAGAAATTGCATTAAATTTACAGATCTCTTTGGGTAGTATTGACATTGTAAGTATATTAAGTCTTCCAATTCATAAACATGAAATGCCTTTCCATTTATTGGCGTCTTTAATTTCTTTAAGCAATGTTTTGTAGTTTTCAATGTATGTTTCTTTCCTTCTTGGTTAAGTTTATTCCTAAGTATTTTATTCTTTTTGATGCTATTGTAAATGGATTTTTTTCTTAATTTTCTTTTCAGACGGCTCATAGTTAGTGTATAGAAACACAACTGATTTTTGTGTGTTGATTTTGCATCCTGCAACTTTGCTAAATTTGTCTTGAACTCCTGATCTCAAGCGATCCTCCCAGCTCAGCCTCCCAAAGTGCCTGGGATTATAGGCATGAGCCACCATGCCCAACTATGCCAAATTTGTTTATTAGTTCTAGCAGCTTTTCTTGTGGAATCTTCAGTGGTTGCTACATATAAAATCATGCCATTTGTGAACAGGGATAATTTTACTTCTTCCATTCTAACTTGGATGCCTTTTATTTATGTTTCTTAGTTAATCGATCTGGCTAGTGCTTCCAGTATTATGTTGAATAGAAGTGGTAAAGTAGATATCCTTGTCTTGTGCCTGATCAAGCAGAAAAAGTTTTCAGTCTTTCATAAATGGAAATGAAGACATATGTGGCCTTTATTATGTTGAGGTATTTTCCTTCTATTCTTAATTTATTGAGTGTTTTTATCATGGAATGGTGTTAAATTTTGTCAAATACTTTTTCTGCATCAATTTAGATCATCAATCACGTAGTCTTTTTTTTCCTCTTCATTCTGTTAATATGGTGTACATTGGTTGATTGACATCTGCTGAATCACCCTTGCATTCTAGGAATAAATCTCATTTGGTTATGGTTTATAATCCTTTTAATATGCTGTTGAATTCTATTTGCTAGTATTTTGATGAGGATTTTTGCACCAATATTCATCAGATATTTTGGCCTATAGTTTTCTTGTAGTGTCTTTATTTTTCTTTGGTATCAAGGTAACACTGCCTCATAGAATGAGTTTGGAAATGCTCCCTCCCTTTCAATTTTTTGGAAGAATTCGAAGACAATTTGTTTTTGACAATGATCCCTTTAATGTTTGGTAGAATTCACCAGTGAATCCATGTGTCCTGGACTTTTTATTATGGGGGGGTTTTGATCAGTGATTCAACCTCCTTAACAGTCACAGATCTGTTAAGATTATTTATTTATTCTGATTCAAACTTGGTAGGATGTGTTTTTATAGGAATTTGTCCATTTAATCAAGGTTAACCAATGCATTGTTGTACAATTGTTCATAGTACTATCTTATTATTTTTATTTTTGTAAATTTGATAGTCATATTCTTTCTTTTCTAATTTCCATTATTTGTGTATTTTTTTCTTACTGTATCTAACTAAAAGTTTGACCATTTTGTTGATCTTTTAATGAACCAACTCTTGGTTTCATTGATTTTCTCTATTGCTTTTGTATTCCTGATTTTGTTTTTCTTTGCTCTAATCTTTATTATTACCTTACTTTTGCTAGCTCTGGGTTTAGTATATTTTTCTTTTCCAGTTTCTTAATGTATAAGGTCAGATTGTAGATTTGAGATCTTTCTTCTTTCTATTTTTTTTCTGTGATAACAGATTAATTTAAATTCTAGACCTGAAGCTCTACAAGGGTATGCTCTTTAAACATTCTATAAATGTGTACAACTGTGCAATACCACTTAAAATCTCAGAAAACGAACACACTTTAGAATTGTTTAAACACAATCCACAGAATTAAAAACAAAACCAGAAGCCATTCACAGTTATACTATTGTCAATTAAAAGTTTTATACTTAATACTTGATATAACAGTCAATATCTAGTGGGGGATATTGAAAGTGATTTCAGGGGGCAGAGCCAAGATGGCCAAATAGGAACAGCTCCAGTCTACAGCTCCCAGTGTGAGTGACGCAGAAGACGAATCATTTCTGCATTTCCAACTGAGGTATCGGGTTCATCTCACTGGGGATTGTTGGACAGTGGGCACAGGACAGTGGGTGCAGCACACTGAGCATGAGCTGAAGCAGGGTGAGGCATCATCTCACCTGGGAAGTGCAAGGGGTCAGGGAATTCCCTTTCCTAGCCAAGGAAAGGGGTGACAGACGGCACCTGGAAAATTGGGTCACTCCCTCCCTAATACTGGGCTTTTCCAATGGTCTTAGCAAATGGCACACCAGGAGATTATATCCTGCGCATGGCTCAGAGGTTCCTATGCCCATGGAGCCTCACTCATTGCTAGCACAGCAGTCTGAGATCAAACTGCAAGGAGGCAGTGAGGCTGGGGGAGGGGCGCCCACCATTGCCGAGGCTTGAGTAGGTAAACGAAGCAGCTGGGAAGCTCGAACTGGGTGGAGCCCACCACAGCTCAAGGAGGCCTGCCTGCCTCAGTAGACTACACCTCTGGGGGCAGGGCATAGCCAAACAAAAGGCAGCAGAAACTTCTGCAGACTTAAATGTCCCTGTCTGACAACTTTGAAGAGAGTAGTGGCTCTCCCAGCATGCAGCTTGAGATCTGAGAACAGACAGACTGCCTCCTCAAGTGGGTCCCTGACCCCCGAGCAGCCTAACTGGGAGGGGCAGACTGACACCTCACACGGCCAGGTACTCCTCTGAGACAAAACTTCCAGAAGAATGATCAGGCAGCAACATTTGCTGTTCACCAATATCCACTGTTCTGCAGCCTCTGCTGCTGACACCTAAGCAAACAGTGTCTGGAGTGGACCTCCAGCAAATTCCAACAGACCTGCAGCTAAGGGTCCTGACTGTTAGAAGGAAAACTAACAAACAGAAAGGACATCCACACCAAAACCCCATCTGTACATCACCACCATCAAAGACCAAAGGTAGATAAAGCCACAAAGATGGGGAAAAAACAGAGCAGAAAAACTGAAAATTCTAAAAATCAGAGCACCTCTCCTCCTCCAAAGGAACACAGCTCCTAACCAGCAACGGAACAAAGCTGGACAGAGAGTGACTTTGATGAGTTGAGAGAAGAAGGCTTCAGACGATCAAACTACTCCAAGCTAAAGGAGGAAGTTTGAACCCATGGCAAAGAAGTTAAAAACCTTGAAAAAAGATTAGACGAATGGCTTACTAGAATAAACAATGCAGAGAAGTCCTTAAAGGACCTGATGGAGCTGAAAACCATGGCACGAGAACTATGTGACAAATGCAAAAGCCTCAGTAGCCGAAGCAAACAACTGGAAGAAAGGGTATCAGTGATGGAAGATGAAATGAATGAAATGAAGCGAGAAGAGAAGCTTAGAGAAAAAAGAATAAAAAGAAATGAACAAACCTCCAAGAAATATGGGACTATGTGAAAAGACCAAATCTATGTCTGACTGGTGTACCTGAAAGTGACGGGGAGAATGGAACCGAGTTGGAAAACACTCTGCAGGATATTATCCAGGAGAACTTCCCCAATCTAGCAAGGCAGGCCAACATTCAAATTCAGGAAATACAGAGAACACCACAAAGATAATCTTCGAGAAGAGCAACTCCAAGACACATAATTGTCAGATTCACCAAAGTTGAAATGAAGGAAAAAATGTTAAGGGCAGCCAGAGAGAAAAGTCGGGTTACCCACAAAGGGAAGCCCATCAGACTAACAGCTGATCTCTCGGCAGAAACTCTACAAGCCAGAAGAGAGTGGGGGCCAATATTCAACATTCTTAAAGAAAAGAATTTTCAACCCAGAATTTCATATCCAGCCAAACTAAGCTTCATAAGTGAAGGAGAAATAAAATACTTTACAGACAAGCAAATGCTGAGAGATTTTGTCACCACCAGGCCTGCCCTAAATGAGCTCCTGAAGGAAGCACTAAATATGGAAAGGAACAACCAGTACTAGCCACTGCAAAAACATGCCAAATTGTAAAGACCATCGAGGCTAGGAAGAAACTGCATCAACTAACGAGCAAAATAACCAGCTAACATCATAATGACAGGATCAAATTCACACATAACAATATTAACCTTAAATGTAAATGGGCTAAATGCTCCAATTAAAAGACACTGACTGGCAAATTGGATAAAGAGTCAAGACTCATCAATGTGCTATATTCAGGAAACCCATTTCACGTGCAGAGACACACATAGGCTCAAAATAAAGGGATGGAGGAAGATCTACCAAGCAAATGGAAAACCAAAAAAGGCAGGGGTTGCAATCCTAGTCTCTGGTAAAACAGATTTTAAACCAACAAAGCTCAAAAGAGACAAAGAAGGCCATTTCATTATGGTAAAGGGATCAATTCAACAAGAAGAGTGAACTATCTTAAATATATATGCACCCAATACAGGAGCACCCAGATTCATAAAGCAAGTCTTTAGAGACCTACAAAGAGAGTTAGACTCCCACACAATAATAATGGGAGACTTTAACACCCCACTGTCAACATTAGACAGTCAACGAGACAGAAAGTCAACAAGGATATCCGGGAATTGAACTCAGCTCTGCACCAAGTGGACGTAATAGACATCTACAGAACTCTCCACCCCAAATCAACAGAATATACATTCTTTTCAGCACCACACCACACCTATTCCAAAATTGACCACATAGTTGGAAGTAAAACACTCCTCAGCAAATGTAAAAGAACAGAAATTATAAGAAACTGTCTCTCAGATCACAATGCAATCAAACTAGAACTCAGGATTAAGAAATTCACTCAAAACCGCTCAACTACATGGAAACTGAACAACCTGCTCCTGAATGACTATTGGGTACATAATGAAATGAAGGCATGTTCTTTGAAACCAACGAGAACAAAGACACAACATACCAGAATCTCTGGGACACATTCAAAGCAGTGTGCAGAGGGAAATTTATAGTACTAAATGCCCACAAGAGAAAGCAGGAAAGATCTATAATTGACCCCCTAACATCACAATTAAAAGAACTAGAGAAGCAAGAGCAAACACATTCAAAAGCTAGCAGAAGGCAAGAAATAACTAAGATCAGAGCAGAACTGAAGGAAACAGAGACACAAAAAACCCTTCAAAAAATCAATGAATCCAGGAGCTGGTTTTTTGAAAAGATCAACAGAATTGATTGACTGCTAGCGAGACTAATAAAGAAGAAAAGAGAGAAGAATCAAATAGATACAATAAAAAATGATAAAGGGGATATCACCACCAATCCCACAGAAATACAAACTACCATCAGAGAATACTATAAACACCTCTATGCAAATAAACTAGAAAATCTGGAAGAAGTGGATAAATTCCTGGACACAGACACCCTCCCAAGACTAAACCAGGAAGAAGTTGAATCTCTGAATAGACCCATAACAGGCTCTGAAATTGAGGCAATAATTAATAGCTTACCAACCAAAAAAAGCCCAGGACCAGATGGATTCACAGCTGAATTCTACCAGAGGTACAAGGAGGAGCTGGTACCATTCCTTCTGAAACTATTCCAATCAATAGAAAAAGAGGGAATCCTCCCTAACTCATTTTATGAGGCCAGCATCATCCTGATACCAAAGCCTGGCAGAGACACAACAAAAAAAGAGAATTTTAAACCAATATCCCTGATGAACACTGATGCAAAAATCCTCAATAAAATACTGGCAAACCAAATCCAGCAGCACATCAAAAACTTATCCACCATGATCAAGTGGGCTTCATCCCTGGGATGCAAGGCTGGTTCAACACATGCCAATCAATAAACATAATCCAGCATATAAACAGAACCAAAGACAAAAACCACATGATTATCTCAATAGATGTAGAAAAGACCTTTGACAAAATTCAACAGCCCTTCATGCTAAAAATTCTCAATAAATTAGATATTGATGGGACGTATCTCAAAATAATAAGAGCTATCTATGACAAACCCACTTTTTGATGGGGTTGTTTGTTTTTTTCTTGTAAATCTGTTTTAGTTCTTTGTAGATTCTGGATATTAGCCCTTTGTCAGATGGGTAGATTGCAAAAATTTTCTTCCATTCTATAGGAAGTGGGGTGATTACAAGGGTCCAGGGCAGTGGGTGAGGGTGGGGGTGCTCCTCTATGTCTCTCTGCAGCACAGCTATACATATGGCCATCTGGGAGCACTGTTTTCTTAAGTTTTAGCTTAGGTTCAGGGGTACATGAACCTAAGGTTTGTTACATAGGTAATTATATAACAGGTTTGTTATATAGGTAAATTACATGTCCCAGGGGTTTGTTGTGCAGATAATTTTGTCACCGGGACAACAAACCTAGCACAGGATAGGCAGTTTTTTTTACCCTTACCCTCCTCCTACCTTCTGCCCCCACATAGGCCCCAGTGTCTGTTGTTTTCTTCTTTGTGTCCATGTGTACTTGATGTTTAGCTATCACTCATAAGTGAGAACATGCCGTATTTGGTTTTCTGTTCCTGTGTTAATTAACTTAGAATAATGGCCTCCAGCTCTGCTCTTGTCCCTGCAAAGGACATGATCATATTATTTTTAATGGCTGCTTAGTATTCCATGGTGTATGTGTGCCACATTTTTTTTTTTACCCAGTCTATCATTGATGGGCATTTAGGTTGATTCCACGTCTTTGTTATTGTAAGTAAAGCCACTGTGGAAAGCAGTTTGGCAATTTCTGAAATAACTTAAAATATAATTGCTATTTGACTCAGCATTATTGACCCACTATTGACCCATTATTGAGTATTTACCCAAAGGAATGTAAATATTCTACCATAAAGACACATGCACACATATGTTCATTGGGGCACTTTTTTTTTAATGGAAATGTTTATAACTACAAGTTTCCCTTTTAGCATTGTTTTGCTGCATCTCATCAGTTGGTATTTTTTTGTTTTCATAATAACGAAACAAAAAATATCTTGTCTTGAGATATTTTCTAATTTCTCTTGTGATTTATTCTTTGACCCATTGGTTGTCTAAGAGTATGTTTTTTAATTTTCATGTATTTGTGAATTTTCCAGTTTTCCTCCTGCTATTGATGTCTAGTTTTATTTAATTGTGATTGGAAAAGATACATTACATGATTTCAATCTTTTTAAATTTATTAAGACTTGTTTTGTGGCCTAATACATGATATATCCTGAACAATGTTCTATATGCACTTGAGAAAAATGTCTTCTACTACTGTTGGGTGGAATGTTCTATATATGTCTGTTGGGTCTAATTGGCCTATAGTGTTGTTCTTGTCCCTTATTTCCTTATTATCCTCTGTTTAGTTGTTCTATTTAATATCGAAAGTTGACTGTTGAAGCCTCTTACTATTATTGTAGAGCTATTTATTTTCTCATTTAATTCTATCAATGTTTGTGTCATATACTTAGGAGCTCTGATGTTTAGTACATATATGTTTATAATTATTATATCTTTTTGGTTAATTCACTCTTTTATCATTATGTAATGTTCTTTGTTTCTTGTAACAGTTTTTGAACTAAAGTCAATCTTGTATGACACTAGTGTTAGTATAGCTACTCCTTCTATCTTCTGATTATTATTTGCAGGGAATGTCTTTTTCTATTCTTTCACTTTCAATGTATGCATGTTTTTAGATCTAAAGTGAGTCACTTGTAGACAGAATATAGTTGGATCCTATTTGTTTTATTCACTCTGGCAATCTATGTCTTTATATTGAGGGGTCTAATGTATTTACATTTAAAACATACTGATGGGGAAGGACTTACTACTGTGATTTTGTTATTTGTCTTCTGCATATCTTACAGCTTTTTTGTCCCTCATTTTCTTATTGCCTTTCTTTGTATTTGGTTGATATTTTATAGTGACATGTTTTGATTACCTTCTCATTTTCTATTGTGTATTCTGTATATATTTTCTTTGTGGTTACCATGGTGATTACATAAAACTTCCTAAGGTTATAACAATGTATTTTAAATTGATTACAATTTAACTTCAGTTTCATTAAAAACCACTACTCCTTTACAGCTCTGCACTCCCTCCTTTATGTTATTTATGTCACAAATTACATCTTTTTATATCATGTACCCATTTACATAGACATAGTTATTTGTTATGCTTTGGTCTTTTATATCCTATAAAATAATTAAAAGAGGAGCTACAAGCCTAAGTTGCAATAACACAGGTTTTAGATTTGTACATATATTTACTTTTACCAAATAACTTTATATTTTCATATTTTCATATGGTTTCTAGTCACTTTCTAGCAATAAATAAATAAATAAATCAAGGAGAATCCATCTCTACCAGCCTGTCACAGCACTAAAAGAATACCACGCAGTCCCTGCCTCTTTCCTAAAATTTTTTTTTAAATTTTGGCTTTTGTTGTTATAACTTTACCAAAATTATTTAAAGTAACTTTACCAGCATTGAGTTTTATTGACTAAAGTCACCCGGATTATTTCATGGGTATAAACCCATTTTGTTTCAGCCAGTTTGCATGGGGCCTTTTCTTTGGAAAAAATAATTTCTGAATTGCTGGCAAGATGGCGGAATAGAAACAGCTCCGTTCTGCAGCTCCCAGTGAGATCGACAGAGAAGGCAGGTGATTTCTGCATTTCCAACTGAGGTACCTGGTTCATCTCATTGGGACTGGTTGGACAAGAGGGTGCAGCCCACGGAGGGTGAGCCAAAGCAGGGTGGGGCGTCGCCTCACCTGGGAAGCACAAGGGGTCGTGGAATTTTCTCCCCTACCCAAGGAAAGCCATAAGGGACTGAGCCTGAGGAACTGTGCACTCTGGCCCAGATACTGCACTTTTCCCATGGTCTTTGCAACCCGCAGACCAGGAGATTCCCTCCGGTGCCTATGCCACCAGGGCCCTGGGTTTCAAGCACAAAACTGGGCAGCCATTTGGGCAGACACCGAACTAGCTGCAGGAGTTTTTTTTTTTTTTTTTCCATACCCCATTGGCACCTGGAACGCCAGTGAGACAGAACCGTTCACTCCCCTGGAAAGGGGGCTGAAACCAGGGATCCAAGTGGTCTGGCTCGGTGGGCCCCACCCCCATGGAGCCCAGCAAACAAAGATTCACTTGGCTTGAAATTCTTGCTGCCAGCACAGCAGCAGTCTGAGATTGACCTGGGACCCTCGAACTTGGTTGGGTGCTGTGGGGGGGCATCTTCCATTGCTGAGGCTTGAGTAGGTGGTTTTACCTTCGCGGTGTAAACAAAGCTGCTGGGAAGTTTGAACTGGGTGGAGCTCACCACAGCTCAGTAAGGCCACTGTGGCCAGACTGCCTCTCTGGATTTCTCCTCTCTGGGAAGGATATCTCTGAAAAAAAGGCAGCAGCCCCAGTCAGGGACTTATAGATGAAACCCCCATCTCCCTGGGACAGAGCCCCTCGGGGAAGAGGTGGCTTCCACCATTGTGGAAGACTGTGTGGCAATTCCTCACGGATTTAGAACTAGAGATACCATTTGACCCAGCAATCCCATTACTGGGTGTATACCCATAGGATTATAAATCATTCTACTATAAAGACACATGCACACTTATGTTTATTGTAACACTATTTACAATAGCAATGACCTGGAACCAATCCAAAAGCCCATCAATGATAGACTGAATAAAGAAAATGTGGCACATATACACTGTGGAATACTATGCAGCCATAAAAAAGGATGAGTTCATGTCCTTTGCAGAGACATGGATGAAGCTGGAAACCATCATTCTCAGCAAACTAGCACAATAACAGAAAACCAAACACTGCATGTTGTCACTCATAAGTGGGAGTTAAACAATGAGAACACATGGACACAGGGAGGGGAACGTCACACACTGGGGCATGTCGGGGAGTGGGGGCCTACGGGAGGGATAGCATTAGCAGAAATACCTAATGTAGGTGACGGGTTGATGGGTGCAGCAAACCACCATGGCACATATACACCTATGTAATAAAACTGCACGTTCTGCACATGTACCCCAGAACTTAAAGTATAATTAATAATAATAATAATTTCTGGGCATGTAAGTAGCTGTCTTTCAGGTTCTACTTTGATACATATTCTGAGAGAATTAAACCTGTCAAAGAAACCTTGACTTTCAATGGCAGGCACTGGAATTGACCCTAATAATGTGTTTTGGGGTAAGCCTACTCATATTCTCAACCTGTCTGCAGTAGTCGTTAGAATCTGAACTTCCTGAAGTTCATGTGCAAAGTTGAGTTAATTGTTTAATATTCAACAAGGATTATGCCAGTAAGATGGTAGGAAAATATTAGATATGTGTCATCACTGCTGGTATTATTTAAACTGCAACATATTTTAGCTGGCTGCTGATCTCAGCCACCATGCCTGCATTTTATCTCTGTCTCGTGGTCTGCAACCTTGGAAGCTTTGAACTTAGCTCATAGAATCCTGGGCATCAAGAACATGTGGTTCTAATGGCTAGATAGGGAATGAGAGTAAAAGGATTTTGCCCACGGTCACGTGAGTAAACAACAGATTTGGAGGGGTCTGGACTACTGTGATGACTTCATTCTGACAATATGTTCCAGTTGTCCTTTCATTTCCTCCTAATCACATGTCTGGTCTGATCTGGCTGTTTCCCACCTTCCAATTCCTGCCTTCTCCAATGCTCCCTTCCGTAGGTCACTCTGTGGCTCAGAGACCCTGCTTAGCAAGCGCCCAACCTTTCAATTATTTGTTCAGTAAAACTTGAACTCATGTCTCCCCTTCTTGATAAAAAGAAAATACGTTATGTAATGTCGGGTTACTCTATAACTCTTGTCCTGTCTCTCGGCAACTACTGAACTAACTGTTTTCATATTGAGCAAACGTTTATGGAAGGACTGCCAAGAGTCAGGTACTAGGCTTGGTAATATTCCCCGTTCTCTCTAGTCAAAGCCAACACCAGCCAGACTTGCAGATCTAGGTCCCAAGCCCACTGCAGATCACAGGCCAGGGTCTGGTCTCCTCTGAGCTCCTTTGGGAGGGAAAGACAGAATTATTAACACCCATTTTGTAGATTAGGCAACTGAGGCTGAGGAAGTTTAAATAACTCAGACAGGGCCTGCACGTCAGTCATATTCCAAGGATCCCTACTCACTGTCTTCTCTCTACAGAACGAGATGTCTCTGGAGTCCATAGAAAGCCCAGGAGCCTGGCTGGGCACGGTGGCTCCTGCCTGTAATCCCAGCACTTTGGGAGGCCGAGGCAGGCAGATCACCTGAGCTCAGGAGTTCAAGACCAGCCTGGGCAACATGGCAAAACCCCATCTCTACTAAAAATACAAAAAATTAGCTGGGCGTGGTGGTGCATGCCTCTAATCCCAGCTACTTGGGAGGCTGAGGCACAAGAATTGCTTGAGCCCAGGAGGCAGCAGTTGCAGTGAGCCGAGATTGTGCCAGTGCACTCCAGCCTGGGCAACAGAGCAAGATTCCATTTCAAAAACAAAAACAAACACAAACAAACAAACAAAAATAGAAAGCCCAGGGACCACCTGCGTCAGGTTCCCAGCCACACCTTTTTCTTGTCCTCCTCTGTCTCTGGCATCTTCTCACAGGTTCCTAATTGTTTGTGGTTGCACAAATTCAAAATCCCAGAAAAATTACCACTTCACACCCACTCAGATGGCTATTTTTTTTTTGAAGGAAGATAACAAGTGTTGACAAGAACATGGAGAAATTGGAATTCTCACCCATTGCTGGTGAGAATGTAATACGGTGCTGCTGCTATGGAAAACAGCTTGGAGTTTCCTCAAAAAGTTCAACAGAATTTCAATGTGACCCAGCAATTCCCCTCTAAGTTATAGATCTGAGAGGATTAAAAACAGTTACTAAAATACACGGACTCACATATTTCTAACAGTCCAATTCACAAGGGCCAAAAGGTGCTAATAGCCCACATGTCCATCGATGGATGGATAAATAAATTGTGGTCTATCCATACAATGGAATATTATTCGGCCATAAATGGAATGAAGTACTGACGCATGCTACAGAATGGATGAACCGCAAAAAAAATGGATGAACACATGCTACAGAATGGATAGCCTCACTTTACTATGAAGTGAAGGCCAGAAACGAAAGTCCATATATTGCATCATACAAAATATCCAGAAGAGGGAAGCCCACAGAGACAGAATGTGCAATGGTGGATGCCAGGGTCTGGGGAGAGGGGAGAGTGGGGAGAAACTGCTCAACTGGTACAGGCTTTATTTTGGAATGATGGGAACATTTTGCAACTAGATAGAGGTAGTGATTGCAGAACACAGAATGTACTGAATTCCACTGATTTTTTTCACCTTAAAATGGTTAATTTTCAGTCCTGAGATTGGATAATCATAAAAAAATGGTTAATTTTATGTTATGTGAATTTCATCCCTATACATATTTTAAACCTCAGAAATATACACTAGCAGGCATGGAACAGGTCACTGTGGTGCCTGCCAAGCCCGGTGATGTTATCTGGGGTCCCCGGCCAGCCTTAAGCCTCTTGCTGACCGGTGGAGGGCAGAACCTTTGCCCTAAAAGTATAATATCCACATGCTGGCATGATTCCTGGCCAGATGGCTTCTTTATTAGCAGTAATTGAAACTGCCTCGATACAGACACTGTACCTTGCAACCAAAAAATGACTCAACAATGATAATAAGGGTTAAGCTGGGCCTTTCTCTCTTTGCCAGTTAAATTATATTTATTATAGCTTGACATGAAAAACAAAGCAACTCCAACAGGTATCACAAGGGCAAAGGACATGAACATTTTATCAAAGAAGAAATGCAGCTGTCAAAAATACAGAAATATTCAACCTTGTTCATAATAAAGTGGCTGGGCTCAGTGGTTCATGCCTGTAATCCCAGTGCTTTGCAAGGCTGAGACAGGAGGATCATTTGAAGCCAGAAGTTCAAGACCATCCTAGGCAAGTCAGTTCAATACCAGACTTCATGTCTACAAAACATCAAAAAATTAGCCAGGCATGGTGATGCATGCCTGTTGTCCCAGCTACTCAGGAGGCTGAGGCAGGAGAATTGCTTGAGCCTGGGAGGCTGCGGTGGCGGTGAGCCATGATTGTGCCATTGTACTCCAGCCTGGGCAATGCAGCAAGACTGTCTAAATAACAAAAATAATAGTAAAGAAAAGGATTGGGATGCCATTTCTTGCGTATTCAATACACAGAGTTAAAAGTAATTTCTACGTTTTCTATTTTTTTATTACTAAAAAAAGCTGGACCATTCTCACAGCCTGAAATGCTTCTCACTTTCCCTTCTTCTGTCCAAACACTTCTCTATGATAATGCAAACAGTCACTCCTTTAGGAAGACTTCACCCCAGGTAGTTCCAGATCCCCTTATCTCTGCCTTCCCAGAACTCCTGGTGTCTCTCCAGTTCCCTCCGTGTGGTGAAGTACCCTACCTAGGGTTTCAGTATGGCTCTGTCTGCAAAGGTCTTGTTCACACCTTCCCTTATGGTTCTGTTGCCCTGTGTTGTGTCATAGCACAGGGCACAGTGGAGAACCCATTCACACTGATAGAGAGGGCCCCATGGTCCTGGAGATAACCATGTAACCGATCAGAATAGGGCATTGAGGGCTGGGTGTCAGGCGTGGGCTGCACTTGGGTGGGCAGGTCCCCTGGAAAGTCACTGGGTTTGGCAAGCTTCCTAGTAACATGTCTCTCTGGGGTCCCCTTGGAACTTCATGCAAAAATGCTGGTTGCTGGTTTATTCTAGAGAGATGGTTCATTCCTTTCATTTGATTATCAAAGAAACTCATGTCCCAATTAAAGGTCATAAAGCCCAGTTTGTAAACTGAGATGATCTCAGCTGAATGAACTTGCTGACCCTCTGCTTTCCTCCAGCCTCTCGGTGCCCTTGAAATCATGTCGGTTCAAGCAGCCTCATGAGGCATTACAAAGTTTAATTATTTCAGTGATTATTAAACCTTGTCCTGTGTTGACCCCAGGTGAATCACAAGCTGAACTTCTGACAAGAACAAGCTATCATATTCTTTTCAATTACAGAAAAAAGTAAGTTAATTGATAGGATTTTTTTTGTTTAAAAAAAATGTTACTAGTTTTGAAAAGGTAATATGTGCACATGGTAAACACTAAGAAGGTATAAGAGCATAATGCTTTTATACTACTAAGAATAATGTTTTCTCTAAGTTTTTTTTGGTAGATGCTTTCATCAGATTAAGAAAATTCCCTGCTATTAGTTGTTGAAGGTTTTTATATCATAAATGAAAGTTGAATATTATTATCATATATTATTAATATATTGTTATTGAACTATCAAAGCCTTTTCCTAAAACCATTGAGATGATCTTATAACCATTCTCCTTTAACCTGTTGACGATATCATTGGTATTTATACTATTTCTCTGTTAACCATTCTTGAGTCTCAGGTTTAAATTCAACTTGGTCATGGTGTGTCATCTTTGATCATTGCTGTCTGTGGCTTGCTACTGTTTTGTTTAGGATTTTTGCACTGATGCTCATCAATGAGACTGGCATGCCATCTTCCTTTGCAGTCCTGATTTTTTTCTGATTTGGATCATGTGGTTATGGCCCTCATGGAATGAGTTGGGCATGATGCCTTTTTTTCATGTCTCTGGATTGATGGGACACTTTGGATTCTCTCCAGATGGCCCTCAATGGTCCCTGCCTCCTCATTGTTAGGCCCCTGGGCAAGCCCTTCTCATTTCTGGTAGGCCCAGGAACCTGTGGGGGTTTTGTTTGTTTGTTTGTTTCTTGAGTCGGAGTCTCACTCTGTCACCCAGGCTGGAGTTGGAGTGCAATGGCCCGATCTTGGCTCACTGCAACCTCCACCTCCCAGATTCAAGCAATTCTCCTGCCTCAGCCTCCTGAGTAGCTGGGATTACAGGCACCCACCGACACACCCTGCTAATTTTTGTATTTTTAGTACAGATGGGGTTTCACAATATTGGCCAAGCTGGTCTCGAACTCCTGATCTCATGATCTGCCCGGCTTGGCCTCCCAAAGTGTTGAGATTACAAGCATGAGCCACCACACCCAGTGAACCTGTGGTTTTTAGAAGCTCCCCATGCATGTGAATGCTGTGAGCATCCCAGGATGACAGCCACTGTGTGTTCAGCTGTTGGAACTGTGAGAAAGCACCAGTGGGACCCTCTCCAGCACCTGCCTGCTGAGGTCATGGAAGAGGCTTGTTGGGGAGATGATGCCCTGGCTGACTCCTGAAGGATGGTTAGGAATGCACCAGATGGAAGCTGGGTTGGACCCACTCTATGCTGAAGAACAGCTTGTGTGGACACAAGGAGACACGGATATGTCATTTTTGTAGAGCCTGAGGAGTGTCCAGTCACACCATTTGCTTAAAACATCATGCACACTTGGAAAAGTGGACTGAGACCGAATGAAGAAGCTAACAGTGGCCAGATCAGAAAGGGTCTTGTGTTACTTCCTAGAGATACTTAGATTTTATCCTGTGGGTGATAGGAGCAGTTGGAGGGACTGAAGACAAGGAAAGAAACATGTTTCAAGATCTATGTTTTTCAAGACGCTTTCTGGTGGCTGAGTAGGGAATTCCCTGGATAAGTCCTGCCCAGGGTCAGGCAAAACAAGTTAGGGGGTTACTGAAATAAGGAGTATGAGAAATGGTGTAGGTTGTGCTGACGTTTTGTAACACATCTCATGATGATCTTCATTTCCTTCACTAATTTCCTGTTTCATTAATTCCCTTCCACGTGCTCTTCTGAAATTTGCCTCACATTCTCTGATTTCTCTTTTACCTGTTGGTTTCATCACCTTTTACTTTTTGCTTTCCTGGAAACACAAATGATTCTGATTGTGACATGTCAGAATTATTTGCAACATTTGCCTTTCTGCTGAAACCATGAGTTCACTGAATACACAATTTAGTAAAGTGTAGGATGCACATGTCGTTTTCGTGGTCACAACCAGCTCTGTAGCATTTTATAACTACACTGGCAGTGTGCTGGGAGGTGTAGAGAGAAATATTTATCACATGTGTGGCTGACACAACCTGCCAAGTTATTTTAGGAGCCTCCTTGGAATCCCAGCAAGAATGCTACCGGCACAATTTGTAATCACAGCATCCTGCTCCATGCCTTGGCTTCATGGCATAGTCACTTCTGCAAGTCTCTTTCCAGCTGTCTGTTCCCATGTCTATAAAGTATGAGTTAAATCATCCTAACACTACTCATCTTACAAAGTTTTCTTGCTGATGTTAAGAGAGTTGGGAAAGAACTGTATAAACTGTGAAGTGCCATGGAGATGTTAGTGGTTACTTTATCAAGAAATAGACACTCTAGAATGGAGTAGAAAGCCAACAGTTATGATTGAGTCCTCCTCCTCTTCTTCTTTTTATTAATTTATAAAGAAAAGAGGTTTAATTGACTCACAGTTCCATATGGCTGGGGAGGCCTCGGGAAACTCTCAGTCATAGCAGGAGGCAAAGGGGAAGAAGGCACCTTCTTCACAAGGCGGCAGGAGAGAGAGAGCTCCTGTTCTTTTTTGTCATAAAGTCTACAGAAGTGCTTATACTTCAGGACAAGGGCAGGCAGAGAGAAGGAAGGACATTGCTTCACCCCAGCCCTCACTGACGAGTTTGCTAGGGGACCTCACTTTGTCCCAGAGTAGGGGCAGAACTCTGGCCACTACCCATTCAGAAGGCCTGGGCTGCACTGCTAGTTCCTCACTAACTCTGTGTGGCCTTGGGCAAGGTTGGGCCTGTGTTAACAGATTATGACCCTGGGCTCTCAAGCTAGAGGATCTAAATTTGAATCCTGGCTCTGCTAAAGCAATTAGTGATGTAAACTTTAATGGGTCAGTTAACCTTCCTGTGGCTTAGTTTGCTCATCTGTAAAATAGGGATCATAACAGTATCAATACCACATGATTGTTGGACAGATTGAATCAGTTAATGCAGGGGAAGTACTTAGCATGACACGTATTCACTATCATTTCCTGGAGTAAGAGCTGTGTGTGAGTGGGTGTGAGCATGTGTGAAACCTTTTCTCTGCAATCTCAGTTAAGAAACCAATCCAGAATTTAAAGTTCAGGGCCTAAATGGGTGGTTATCTTCTCCCAGTTCCATCCTATCCCACCTTTGCTCTTCCTCCCGCCCACAGGAGCTGTTGGTCCTTGATTGGGCTGGAAGACCTGGTGGACCCTAAGTGATCTATAAGAGGAGAATAGAGAACAGGGAATGTCTTCAAAAATCCTAGAGGGACACAGAGGCTGAGAGGCAGGCAGTCCTGCAGGGGTCTTCTGATTGGGACAAGGAGAACCTTGGTCTTCACAGGCCAATTCTGGTCAGTTTCCCCCATGGACAGATGAGGAAACAGGCCCAGGAATATCCAAGGTCTCACACTTCCCATCTGTCAAGTCTTGTTGATGCTGTTGTATTCATGTCTCTCAAAGGGAGATAGAGTTTAGGGAAGAAAGAAGGATCAACTGTGTCTGATACCACTGGGAGCTTAAGTAAAGGGTTCTTTTACTTCATAGCATTTATCCCAATTTGTAATTCAGTATTATTTGTGTGGCTGTTTGGTGTCTCTTTCTCCTATATGAGTGCTAGCTTCATAAGGGCAAGGATTTTGATTCTTTAATATTTAGTGCTTGCCACATGCCCTGAACACAGCAGGCATACAGGCTAACCAACATACAGTGGCATGAAAGTCATGAAAGTGAGACACCTACCTCCTCCAGTGCCAAGAGAGCATAACCATGCACCTGTCACTCTCCTCAACACCACCCCCAAGCATGAGGCCCAAAAGCATTAGCTAATCCCCTCCTCCAGCCACTAAAACTTAAAGGCCAGGTGTGGTGGCTCCCATCTGAAATCCCAGAACTTCAGGAGACAGCAGCAGGAGGATCACTTGAGGCCAGGAGTTTGAGATCAGCCTGGGCAACATAGCTAGGTCCCATCTGTACTAAAAATTAGCTGGGCGTTGTTGCATGCCTGTAGTCCCAGCTACTAAGGAGGCTGAGGTGGGAGGATCACTTGAGCCCAGGAGGTGGAAACAACAGTAAGCTATAATCACAGCACTGAACTCTAGCCTGGGCAACAGAGTGACACCCTGCCTCAAAACAATTTTAAAAATAAATAAGAGCAAAACTTAGATACCACGTGGTCACCCCAACATGCAAAATCAAGTTTTCCCCTACTGAGAAGAATGGGGACTTGACAGCTGAGTTACAGAGAGATAATCTTCTTCTTCTTTTTTTTTTTTGGTTTACATCCTCAAGATCATGACTTGTGAAATTTGAATCGAATACACATGTAATTCCAGAGCAATGTTGCCTCCGCATACCATCAGCAATTCACTTGGCTACTGGAAGTCAGGATAAGCTTCCCAGAAGAGAGGTACCACTTGGGCTACCAGTATAAAAGGATGAAAATATCAGAGTGATGGTGTTCTTTACAACGTTGAGTCCCTGGACAGCCTGTCCACTGATGCTGATATCTGAGCCTAATGCTTCTCTGAATGTTGAGATTGAACTTTGATCCAATGAAACTAGAACGAGAAAGAAGATAAGTCTTTCATTGTTGATAAGGACATTATGTTTCTCATACTTGTATGATTATTTTTCCTTAGCTGTACTATAATTATCTGCTTATTTGTCTCTGCTCTATGTGCTTAGGGTACAAAGTTGACCAAGACCAACTTTGGTTGGAAGCATAGTACTAAGAGCACAGTACTGAGAGCACAGCTTTAAAAAACATGATGAAGGCTTTAATACAGGAAATGAGCAGGGGAGAGGCATGTGGTGGTTGGATGTATCTTCCTTGACACAGTCAGTGCAGCTCTCAGTAGTCAAGTCCCTACATGTTAGAAGATGTTACCTTCTGTGGAATTAAGTGGCAGAACTTGCCTTCAATTATTTTCCTTTGCAGAACAACACCAACTGCATTAGTTAGGACACAGTGCTGGCTGCATTTAAGTCCCAAGCGATGATTAGTCTCTCACTGTTGGTATAGATTCAAACCAATCAGACCACCTCCTAAAGTTTGTAGGGCAGGTAAATCCTCATCTTAGAATAAAAATCATCTTACCAAGTATGTGTTTTAGAGGCAAGAAGAAAACATATTTGTTTCTGTAAGAGTTTTGTTTAAAAAAAATATAA
This sequence comes from Homo sapiens, assembly GCF_000001405.40. Lineage (NCBI taxonomy): Eukaryota > Metazoa > Chordata > Mammalia > Primates > Hominidae > Homo > Homo sapiens. The sequence goes on along the minus strand of NC_000007.14, from coordinate 99,786,602 downwards.
GAAAGGCTCTCGGTTTAGGTGAGGTAATGAAGTTGTTGATAGTTATCAGATGACACTGGAATCTTTACTTCTCTGAATGTGTTCTGTGCATCTCTCAGTGTGGGAACATAGAGAGGGAGATCCTCCAGCAATGCCACTGATATGGTCAGAAACTGCATCTTTCTTTCTCCCTGCTGAGATGAGATGGAGTCCTTTGTTCTAGAAGACCCATGGTGGTGCCGCTGGGAGTAACCCTTGAGACAGGAACACAAATCCCAACCAATTTGTGGTTGCAGCCTTGAGTCTCACTATTTCCCATAGTGATGCGTAGCAGGGAATGGCAGGTGCACCAGAGCAGGAGAGGACCTAATATCTCCCTTCCTGTTAGCTTTTTATAAAGTTTTATTGTGATCAGTAGCAGTTGGGAAGCTACTTGCAGTCACTGAGCCTCAGTTTCTACATCTGTAAACTGGGGATAGTAGCATGGCCCCTACTTAATGTGCTCAGCAAAGCCACTGAAAGGAGACAGAAATGTATCTAAATTCCCTGGACTTTTATCCTACCTCTCTTGGGGATTGTCACCACCTTCCCATGTTTGTCCTTTTTGGTTTGATGCTTGCTGTCACTTCTTTCCTTAGGTGCCTCTCTGTACGGCTCTTTTATCCCAGGGATTCCAGAGTTACAGCACATGCATACCACCATCCAAGCATGTTTATTTGTCTCCTGCTTCACTAGGCTGTCCCCAAGGAACATGTGGCTCCCGGCACACACCTGGCACAACACTGCACATGACATTCACCCACTTGGCCTTGAATCTGACAAGGAATCTGGCATGATGTTCACCCACTCAGGCCAGGTGCCGAGCAGCCCTGGAGGCTTAGGGGCCAGAGGGATGGGAAAAGGTGTCTTTCTGGGGTGAGTATCAGTTTCTGCAGGAGGGCTGAATGTGAGAAAGAATAAAGAGAGAAGGAAGCGAACAAGCACAGCTTAAACATCGCCTATTTCTATTGAGTTTTAAGAACGCTGTGATTTTGTTTGTCATGCAATCCATTCATCAGGCCAGGCAGACACAGAACTTGGGTGTGAGTGACGATAATGAGCTGATATAATTTTCACACCCTCATCACTGAGATCTCTCCCATCAGGAATGGGTCAGGGAGCTCACAGGTGGCAGCAACTGCTATTACAGGCCTCATCTCTACCAGCTCCTGGGGCCTGCCCTCCTCCCATTAGAAAATCCTCCACTTGTCAAAAAGGAAGCCATTTGCTTTGAACTCCAATTCCACCCCCAAGAGGCTGGGACCATCTTATTGGAGTCCTTGATGCTGTGTGACCTGCAGTGACCACTGCCCCATCATTGCTGGCTGAGGTGGTTGGGGTCCATCTGGCTATCTGGGCAGCTGTTCTCTTCTCTCCTTTCTCTCCTGTTTCCAGACATGCAGTATTTCCAGAGAGAAGGGGCCACTCTTTGGCAAAGAACCTGTCTAACTTGCTATCTATGGCAGGACCTTTGAAGGGTTCACAGGAAGCAGCACAAATTGATACTATTCCACCAAGCCATCAGCTCCATCTCATCCATGCCCTGTCTCTCCTTTAGGGGTCCCCTTGCCAACAGAATCACAGAGGACCAGCCTGAAAGTGCAGAGACAGCAGCTGAGGCACAGCCAAGAGCTCTGGCTGTATTAATGACCTAAGAAGTCACCAGAAAGTCAGAAGGGATGACATGCAGAGGCCCAGCAATCTCAGCTAAGTCAACTCCACCAGCCTTTCTAGTTGCCCACTGTGTGTACAGCACCCTGGTAGGGACCAGAGCCATGACAGGGAATAAGACTAGACTATGCCCTTGAGGAGCTCACCTCTGTTCAGGGAAACAGGCGTGGAAACACAATGGTGGTAAAGAGGAAAGAGGACAATAGGATTGCATGAAGGGGATGGAAAGTGCCCAGGGGAGGAAATGGTTACATCTGTGTGAGGAGTTTGGTGAGGAAAGACTCTAAGAGAAGGCTCTGTCTGTCTGGGTTTGGAAGGATGTGTAGGAGTCTTCTAGGGGGCACAGGCACACTCCAGGCATAGGTAAAGATCTGTAGGTGTGGCTTGTTGGGATGAATTTCAAGTATTTTGGAATGAGGACAGCCATAGAGACAAGGGCAGGAGAGAGGCGATTTAATAGATTTTATGCCAATGGCTCCACTTGAGTTTCTGATAAGAACCCAGAACCCTTGGACTCCCCAGTAACATTGATTGAGTTGTTTATGATACCTCATAGAATATGAACTCAAAGGAGGTCAGTGAGTGGTGTGTGTGTGATTCTTTGCCAACTTCCAAGGTGGAGAAGCCTCTTCCAACTGCAGGCAGAGCACAGGTGGCCCTGCTACTGGCTGCAGCTCCAGCCCTGCCTCCTTCTCTAGCATATAAACAATCCAACAGCCTCACTGAATCACTGCTGTGCAGGGCAGGAAAGCTCCATGCACATAGCCCAGCAAAGAGCAACACAGAGCTGAAAGGAAGACTCAGAGGAGAGAGATAAGTAAGGAAAGTAGTGATGGCTCTCATCCCAGACTTGGCCATGGAAACCTGGCTTCTCCTGGCTGTCAGCCTGGTGCTCCTCTATCTGTGAGTAACTGTCCAGGCTCCTCTTCTCTGTTTCCTTGGACTTGGGGTGCTAATCAGGCCTCTCTTTCCCTTATCTGTTTTGAAGATCAAAAAAGATGTTCAGGCCGGGCGTGGTGGCTTACACCTGTAATCCCAGCACTTTGGGAGGCTAAGGCAAGTGGACTGCCTGAGGTCAGGAGTTCAAGACCAGCCTGGCTAACATGGTGAAACTCTGTCTCTACTAAAAATACAAAAATTAGCTGGGCATGGTGGTGCACGCCTGTATTCCCAGCTACTTGGGAGGCTGAGGCAGGAGAATTGCTTGAACCCGGCAGGCGGAGGTTGCAGTGAGCTGAGATCATGCCAGTGCACTTCAGCCTGGGTGACAGAGTGAGGCTGTCTCAAAAAAAAAAAAAAAAAAAAAAGATGTTCAAGGAGCAGTAGCTTAAGTGTTGGATGCTACAAACATATAGAGGTTATTGTAGATCTTATGCAGCTCTATAAAGGAATAAATAAGCATCTTCCCCATCCATCTTTAGTGGCAAGAAGGGTTTTGGGATAGCATTGATTGAGGATGATCTACTTGACAATAGTTTGGACCCAAGGAGGATAAGGAAGGAAAGTAGTGACGGATCTCATTCCAAACTTGGCTGTGGAAACCTGGCTTCTCCTTACTAAACTAGAATTTGGATTTTACATTTTCCCCTTTATGTTGCAGTAGAAGAGGATGAATCCTCTCACTGGTGGGATCCTGCCATCCTAGAGCAGGTAGAGAGAAGAGTCACTCCCCACTGTGGGTAGTGGAGGCTTCTCACATGTCACATTTCACTTCTACCTCAATTTCACTCTTACTAAGATTTGGGAATCATAATGACAGGAAAATAGAAAATATAAACCTCATTTTAATTCTTTCACAGAAAGGTTAGAAATTCAGTGAGTTGTGGCAACATATTTTCCATCTTCTGACCTTTTAACACTAATTGATATGGCTTAAATTCATTCTATTTTAAACCAGATTTTTTTGGAGATAGTCTATTTCCAACATGTTCCTTCTAGGTGACAAATGAGGGCTGTTAGTTCAGTATTTGTTACAATAAATGTGTGTAAAATAACCTCACCTTTCCAGAATCATGTCAGGAATATGAATCTAATGCACAAATGTATAACTCTATGACAAGATTGCATATATCTTTTAAAATATACCTTCCCAACGTTCATTTTAATACCCCTATTTCAAACAAACCTGCTTAGCAGGTTATGTTAAACGCTCAGGGCAGAGGAGTAAGCAAGACTGTGAGCCAGTGATGACAGCAAAAGCATCCAGGTAGGATCAAAATGGAGTAAGAAAATATTCCTCATCCCTCAGGGTAGAACTCCAAAGAGATATTCATGGGTCCTGGCCCCGTAGTGGAGGTCACTCAAAGGACAAACATGTTTGCATCTCATCTGCTTGAAGCCTGGACACAGAGGCACCATCTGTGTCACTCTGTGTGTGGTCTGCCATGTTGTGGGGTGGTCACTACAGACTCAGGCAGCTGGGCAGACAATACCTTAGCCTTAGATGATGCTGATGCAGCCCAGGAGTCAGAAACTGTAGTGCAGACAATGCCCTCCTTAGGCCAACACAATTAAGTGCAATAGATGACTGGCTTTTCTGTTAGCCTCTTCATTGGAACCAAAAGCAGCATTACTCTACCAAACAGAGGGGAGCTGGAAAGAAACTACACAGTTTGCCCAGCCTAGCCTCTGCCTTGACACGGAACCATGTGAGTCTAGACATTCACCTAGATCATTCCTTGGGGACCAATGCTGCTGACACATTAACTCAATAGTTTGTCCTGGCCTGAGAGGTCATGTAACTTGTAGAAAGTTTAGAAGCAGAGATTAGTGTCATTTATTTGCCATGGCTGTGACAACAAAGGAAGGAACAGGAGTGGGAAAACCCAAGGCCACCCTGGTTTTGGTAGATGGTGCACACGCTTCCACTAACTGTTCTGGGGCAAAGATCCAAATGCACTATTGGGCCTGGCTATGCTGCTTCTGCTGGGTCCCCCAAACATGAGCCTCCACGCCATTTCTCAGTTGTATTTTACCACATATTATCACAGTCACCGGATTTGTACAGAATATTTGGAACCTATACTGTCTTAAGGGCTACCCTTTAAAGAAGAGAAAACAAGGTTTTAATTCAACTGTCTGGAACATTTTATGTTTACTTATGTGGAATACTACATCTTTTGTTATAAACAGGAGGGAATGTGGACATTCGAAGGCCCCTACCTTTTAGCTAAAAGCCCATATGAAGCATATGGATCCATTTATACACACCATGCTTTTCAGCTACATTTTCCTAATTTGCCTCTCTGGGGCCAACCTTGTGGGACTAGCAGATTCATGGTTGAGTTGAAGGATGGTGACCTCTTCCATCAGCTTTTCTTCTTCCTCCAGTCTTCCAACCCTCAGTAACATCAGACTGGGAAGGTCTTCAGACATCCAGAAACCCCAGTTCGGGGAGTTCATACATGACCCATCAAAGATGAGTTGCAAGCAGGCCTGCCTTAGGGAGCACCAGCCTTAATGGGTTTTCCTACAGAGATAGTTGATGGGCAGATGCAATAAACTGACTGCTTTGTGATTGACCACCTTGAGAAAAATTAGCATGTCTGGCTATGTTAGTCTTTTCTTGCATTGTTATAAAGAAATACCAGAGTCTGGGTATTTATAAAGAAAAGGGATTTAATTGTCTCATGGTTCTGCAGGCTGTACAGAAAGCATAGTGACTTCTTCCTCTAGGGAGGTCTCAGGAAATTTACAATCATGGCAGAAGGTGAAGGAGAAGCAGACAGATCTTACATGGCTGGAGCAGAAGCAAGAGAGGCTGGGGAGAAGGTGCCACACATTCAAACCACCAGATCTCATAAAAACTCATTGTCACGAGGACAACACCTAAGGCGGGATGGTGTGAAACGATGAGAAACTGCCCCTAGGATCCAATCATCTCCTACCAGGCCCCACCTCCAGTATTGGGGATTGCATTTCAACATGAGATTTTGGTAGGGGCACAGATTCAGACCATATCACTGGCACTGTGCTAATCAGATGAATATCACCAGTTGGAAGGCTAGATTCCACAAGAGGAGGAATGACCTGGAAATTGGTTCTTTAGTTGTGATTCTTCTGCACACTGTCATTCAGGGAAATATGAGTCAATCATCCTTCCCAATAGGTCAAATCAACCAGATCATCTGATCACAGAGACTGAGGTGTAGCTGAAAGCTGCTCACATTTCTATGAGGTCAATGGAAGCCTTGAGCACAGTTGTCAATCTGTAGAAATAAGGACTCTGTGACTCCTCCAAGACCTCTCTGTGAATGACGGTTTAAGAAGAACCAGATCCTAAAACAGGGTCAGAGCTTAGAGGGAAGGGAAAGCATAAAAGCCTCTGAGCAAATTCTAAAGACAGGGTCACCATAGGCTCTCAGTGACCCTCTGTGACTGAGTGGCTGCAGTGATGCAAAATCTCATCATCACTGCGGAAGACAAAAAAATGTCACCCTTTCTACCTAGGATGAGAATCCCCAAATTTGGGGAGAGGCCACTTACTAAATAGACGTAAAGGAACAAAGTGACCTGGAAGAATTCCTGCCTGAACCTCTCAGGATCATTCACATTTGAGAACATTTATCAAATATTCATTCCAGGACTGGGACCATGAAGACTTCAGCTGCTTTGAGCTAATCATTGTAACTTTTTGGTGTCTCATGGTGGAGGCAGGAAAGGACCTGATGAACAAATATAATCATTGCCGTCAGAGTTACTGTTATTATTTCTTGCCTTAATGTTACCTCGTTCTCTTGAGCATTCCAGTTCCTCAGTCAATGACTCATCAACCCCTATATCTATAAAGTCACAATCGCTGTGACTTGATTTCTGTTTCACTTTGTAGATATGGAACCCATTCACATGGACTTTTTAAGAAGCTTGGAATTCCAGGGCCCACACCTCTGCCTTTTTTGGGAAATATTTTGTCCTACCATAAGGTGAGTGTTTTTGAGCTCACTCTTTTGCTTCTTATGATTGCCAAGAGCAGCTTAGTTCCATCAGTAAAAATGCTTCTCCTCAGGGGGAAGGTCTGAAGTTTTACACTTTCAGAAACAGTGTGTAGGCATCACCCAGAACATGGCAATGTTTACCCAAGGGCTCTCTTGCTAACTCTCAGGAACCTCAGGTTTGCCTCAGTTGAACAGCCCAAATCTCAGGTAGATCAGCAACCTGATGCTCAGAACTTGATGTGCAAACTTTGTGAGCGCCATAAAGAAGGTTTTCTTTTTGCTCTATGCAGGTTCCCAGGAAGGTACAGTCATACTTAGTTAGTATTAAAAGTAGGAAAAGGACCCCCTGATTGTGACTTGTTATCTGTGTACATGAGAGTCAAACTTTCCTCTCTGTAGCAAGAGCTCTTGAGTAGCCTTTTTTCCCTTCCTTCTGGACAGCTTTGAAACTCAATTTATTAGGGAGCCCAGGT